>NT_187614.1:2237724-2557399 GCF_000001405.40 Homo sapiens | reverse complement strand
TGGGGCAGGAGAATCACTCTAGCCCAGGAGGTGAAGGTTGCAAGGAACTGAGATCGTGCCACTGCACTCCAGCCTAGGCAACAGGGTGAGACTCCATCTCAAAAAAGAAAAAAAAAAAGAGAAAAACATTTTTTTGGTAGAAAGGGGGTCCTGCTATATTGCCCAGAGTGGTCTTGAACTCGGCGTCTGAAAGCGCTGAGATTACAGGACCTGCCACCACACCCGGCTAATTTTTGTATTTTTAGTAGAGATGGGGTTTCACCATGTTGGCCAGGCTGGTCTCGAACTCCCGGGCTCAAGGGATCCACCTACCTCAGCCTCCCAAAGTGCTGGGATTACAGGCGTGAGCCACCGGCCTGGCCTCTTCTCACATTCTTGATGATGTCTCGTGACATACAGAAGTTTTAGATTTTTCTGTTTTTTCTTCCATTGTTCATGCTTTTGGTGCCAAATCTAAGAATCCATTGTCACATTCAAGGCCATGAAGATTTACCTTATTTTTTTTTCTAAGAGTTTTAGATTTTATTTTAAAGTCTATGATCTATTTTGAGTTAATTTTTGTAGACAGAGTGAGATAGTGGTCCAATTTCATTCCTGTGCATGTGGTTATCCAGTTGTCCCAGCACCTTTTTTTTTTTTTTTTTTTTGAGATGGAGTCTTGCTCTATCGCCCAGGCTGGAGTGCAGTGGTGCAATCTCAGCTCACTAACCTCCGTCTCCCAGGTTCACACCATTCTCCTGCCTCAGCCTCCCGAGTAGCTGGGACTACAGCCGCCCGCCACCACACCCAGCTAATTTTTTATATTTTTAGTAGAGACGGGGTTTCACCATGTTAGCCAGGATGGTCTCGATCTCCTGACCTTGTGATCCGTCCACCTTGGCCTCCCAGCATGCTGGGATTACAGGCGTGAGCCACTGCACCCAGCCTCCAGCACCATTTTTTTAGAAAAGATTATCATTTGCCCCATTGAATGGTCTTGGTAACGTTGTCAAGTGTCAAATTGACATCCAGTGTGTATCATGGATGTAAAAAATATATGTATCTGTTGACCATAAATGTTTGGGTTTATTTCTGGATTCTTAATTCTTTTCCATAGGTCTATATATCTAGCCTTATGCCAGTACCACACTGTTGAGATTACTGCAGCTTTGTAGTAAGTTTTGATATTGGGAAGTGTAAGTACTGCTACTTTGTTTTAAATTTTGTTTTCACTATTTGAGGCCCCTTGGAGTTTCCTATTTCATGGATTCCTTAGAATTTTCTACATACAATCTCATGTCATCTGCAAATAGAGACAGTTTTACATCTCTATTTGTGGATGGCTTTTATTTCTTTTTCTTGCCTAATTGCCTGGGCTAAAACTCCCAGTAGAATGTTGACTAGAAGTGGTAAGAGTGGACATCTTGTCTGTTTCCTGATCTTAGAGGGAAAGCTCTCAGTCTATTAATTTAATAGCATGAAATACGATATTAGCTGTAGTTTTTTTTTTTTTTTAGACAGCGTCTCCCTCTGTCACCCTGGCTGGAGTGCAGTAGCTCAATCATGGCTCACTGCAGCCTTGATCTCCTGTGCTCAAGCAATCCTCCTACTTCAGCCTCCCAAGTAGCTGGGACTACAGGTATGAACCACCACGCCTGGCTAGTTTTTGTATTTTTTGTAGAGACGGGCTTTCACCATGTTGCCCAGGCTGGTCTTAAACTCCTGGGCTCAAGCAAGCCACCCACTTCAACCTCCCAAAGTGCCAGGATTATAGGCATGAGCCACCCTGCCTGGCCTAGCTACAGATTTTTCATAGGTATGTTTATCAGGTTGAGGAAGTTTCCTTCTATTCCTAGTTTATTGAATTTTATAATCATAAAAGAGTGTTGAATTTTGTCTTGCTTTTTCAGCATCTATTGAGATGATCATGTAATTTTTATTCTTTATTCTCTCAATTTTGTGTGTTTCATCGATTGATTTTCAAATATTAAACCAACCTTGTATTCCTGGGATAAATCCCACTTGGTCATGGTGTATAATCCTTTGTATACGTTTCTTGATTTGTTTTGCTTGTATCTTTTTGTTGTTGTTGTTTTGAGACAGAGTCTCGCTCTCTCTTCCATGCTGGAGTGCAGTGGCGTGATCTCAGCTCACTGCAATCTCTGCCTCCTGGGTTCAGGCAATTCTTGTGCCTTAGCCACCAGAGTAGCTGGGATTACAGGTGTGTGCCACCACACCCAGCTAATTTTTGTATTTTTATTAATAGTAGAGATAGGGTTTTGCTATGTTGGCCAGGCTGGTCTCCAACTCCTGGCCACATGTGATCTGCCTGCCTCGGCCTCCCAAAGTTCTGGGATTACAGGTGTGAGTTGTCACACCCAACCGGTTTGCTGGTAGCTTGTGGAGGACTTTTGTTTCTATAGTCACAAGGGATATTAGTCTGTAGTTTTCTTGTGATATCTTTTTCTAGCTTTGGTATCAGGGTAATACTGGCCTCACGGTTGCTTCCTCTTCTTTTTTTGAAAGAGTTTGTGAGGGATTTGTATTAATTTTTCTTTAAATATTTGATAGAAATCACCAGTGAAGCCATCTGGGTCTGGAATTTTCTTTGTTGAAAGTTTTTAAATGACTAATTCAATCTTTTTCCATGTTGTAAGTCTGTTCAGATTATTTATGAGTTCTCCTTCTTATGTCAGTTTTGGTAATTTATGTCTTTCTAGGAATTTTTTCATTTCTTCTATTTATCTAACTTGCTGGCATGCAGTTGTTCACAGTGTTCCCTTATTATCCCTTTACTTTTGTGTGTGTGTGTGTGTGTGTGTGTGGAGATGGACTCTTGTTCTGTCTTCTAGGCGGAGCGCAGTTACACGATCCCAGCTCACTGCAACCTCTGCCTCCCAAGTTCAAGTGATTCTCCTGCCTCAGCCTCCTGAGTAGGTGGGATTACAGGCGCCCGCCACCACGCCTGGCTAATTTTTTTATTTTTAGTAGAGACAGGGTTTCACATGTTGGCCAGGCTGGTCTTGAACTCTTGACCTCAAATGATCCACCCGCCTCGGCCTCCCACAGTGCTGGAATTACAGGCGAGAGCCACTGCACCCAGCCCCCCTTTACTTTTTATAAGTATTGATAGCTCCCTTTTCATGCCTGAGGTATTAATCTGAGTCTTCTCTTTTTTTTTTCTTGGTCAGTCTAGCTAAACAGTTGCCAATTTGTTGATCTTTTCCAAGAAAAAACTTTTGGTTTTACTGACTTTCTCTATTTTTTCTATTTTCTATTCCATTTATTTTTACTCTTACCTTTATTATTTCCTTCCTTTGGCTTTCTTTTGGTTGAGTTTGCTCTTCTTTTTCTAGTTTCTTAAGGTGGAAGTTTAGGTTATTAATTAGAAATCTTTCTTCTTTTCTAATATTGACATAGTTACAAATGTCTCTCTAAGCACTGCTTTAGCTGCATCCAGTAAGTTATGTTATGTTGTGTGTTAGTTTCCATTCATCTCAACATATTTTCTAATTTCCCTGTGATTTCATCTTTCACTCATTGATTATTTAGGAGTGTTTTTAAATTTCTACATATTTCTAGCCAGGCGTGGTGCCTCATGCCTGTAATCCCAGCACTTTAGGAGGCCAAGGCAGGCAGATCACTGGAGGTCAGGAGTTCGAGACCAGCCTGGCCAACATGGTGAAACCCTGTCTCTATTAAAAATACAAAAATTAGCCGGGCATGGTGATACACTCCTGCAGTCCCAGCTACTTGAGAGGCTGAGGCAGGAGAATCACGTGAACCCAGGAGGCGGAGGCTGCAGTGAGCCGAGATAGCACCACTGCACTCCAGCCTGGAGGACAGAGCAAGACCCGCCTCGAAAAAAAAAAAAAAATTCTACGTATTTGTTAATTTCCTTGGTTGTCATTTTCTAATTTAATTCCATTGCAGTTGGGGAACAGACTTTATGTAATTTCAATCCTTTTCCATTTATTGAGGCTTGTTTTAAGGCCTAGTATAAGTCTACCCTGAAGAGTGTGTCACGCGTAGCTGAGAACAATGTGTGTTCTGCTGCTGTGTGGAGTGTTTCGATGTCTTTCAGGTCTTGGCTTACAGTGTTGTTCAAGGCTTCTACTTCCTTGTTGATCTTCTGCCTCGTTGTTTTATCCGTTATTGAAAGTGGGGGCCGGGCGCAGTGGCTCAAGCTTGTAATCTCAGCAGTTTGGGAGGCCAAGGTGGGCGGATCACGAGGTCAGGAGATCGAGACCATCCTGGCTAACACGGTGAAACCTCGTCTCTACTAAAAATACGAAAAATTAGCCGGACATGGTGGCGGGCACCTGTAGTCCCAGCTACTCGGGAGGCTGAGGCAGGAGAATGGCGTGAACCCCGGAGGCGGAGCTTGCAGTGAGCGGAGATCGTGCCACTGCACTCCAGCCTGGGCAACAGAGTGAGACTCCGCCTCAAAAAAAAAAAAAAAAAAAGAAAGTGGGGTATTGAAGTCTCCAACTACTATATTGAATGGTCTAATTCAGTTCAGTTCCCTTCAGTTTTATTAGTTTTTGCTTCATGTATTTTGGGATCTGTTGTTAGGAGTATATATGTTTACAATCATTTTATCTTCCTCATAAACTGGCTCTTTTATCATTATAAAAGATATTGTATCTTTAGTAACAATTTTTTTTTTTTTTGAGACAGAGTCTTGTTCTGTCGCCTAGGCTGGAGTGCAGTGGTGCTATCTCGGCTCACTGCAACCTCCGCCTCCCAGATTCAAGCAATTAGGAGCGCCTGTCTCAGCCTCCCGAGTAGCTGGGACTGCAGTGCACGCCACCATGCCCAGCTAATTTTTGTAGTTTTAGTAGAGATGGGGTTTCACCATGTTGGTCAGGCTACTCTTGAACTCCTGACATCAGGTGATCCACACATCTTAGCCTCCCAAAGTGCTGGGATTACAGGCGTGAGCCACCTCGCCCAGGCTTCAGTAAGAATTTTTGTCTTAAAGTCTAGTTTGTCTCATGCTTGTGTAGCCACCCTAGCTCTCTTTTAATAACTCCTCACATGGTTTCTTTTTCCATCCTTCTACTTTCAACTCTTGTGTCTTTGACTCTAAAGTAAATCTCTCACAGTTAGATCATTTTATTTTATTTTATCCATTCTGGGATGGGCCCGGTGGCTCACACCTGTAATTCCAGCCCTTTGGGAGGCCCAGGTGGGAGCATCACTTGAGCCCAGGAGGTTGAGACCAGCCTGGTTAAGATAGCATGACCTCATCTCTACAAAAATTTTGTTTTTAAAATTAGCCAAGCGTGGTGACATGGCCCCGTAGTCCCAGCTATTTGGGAGGCTGAGGTGGGAGGATTGCTTGAGCCCAGGATGTCGAGGCTGCAGTGATCTAGGATCACACCACTGCACTCCAGCCTGGGCAATTGAGCAAGACCCAGTCTTATAAAAGGAAAAAAATAATAATCCATTCTGCCAATTTCTGCCTTTTGATTGGGGTGTTAAATTCATTTACATTCAATGTATCACTAATAAGCTAGGATTTATGTCTGCCATTTTGCTAATTGTTTTCATATGTCTTGCCTTTTTTGTTCCTCTATTCCTTGATTCTGCCTTCTTTCTTTCTTCCTTCCTTCCTCCCTCCCTCTCACCCTCTCTCTCTCTCTCTCTTTCTTTCTTTTTTTTTTTTTGGAGACACGGTTTCACTCTGTTCCCCAGGCTGGAGTGCAATGGCGCCATCTTGGCTCACTGCAACCTCCGCCTCCCGGGTTCCAGTGATTCTCCTGCCTCAGCCTCCCAAGTAGCTGGGATTACAGGCACACACCACCACACCCGGCTAATTTTTGTATTTTTGGTAGAGACGGGGTTTCGCCATGTTGGCCAGGCTGGTCTCAAACTCCTGACCTCTGGTGATCCTCTGACCTCAGCCTCCCAAAGTGCTGAGATTACAGGCGTGAGCCACTGCCCCCAGCCTGATTCTGCCTTCTTGAGTGTAAAATAAATATTTTCTTTCTTTTTTTATTTTTATTTTTATTTTTTTGAGATGGAGTCTTGCTCTGACGCCCAGGCTGGAATGCAGTGGTGCGATCTCAGCTCACTGCAAGCTCCTCCTCCCAGGTTCACGCCATTCTCCTGCCTCAGCCTCCTGGGTAGCTGGGACTACAGGCGCCTGCCACCACGCCCAGCTACTTTTTTTGTATTTTCAGTAGAGGCGGGGTTTCACCGCATTAGCCAGGATGGTCTTGATCTCCTGACCTCGTGATCCACCCGCCTCGGCATCCCAAAGTGCTGGGATTACAAGCTTGAGCCACTGCGCCTGGCCTCTTTCTTTTTTTTAATACAGGGTCTCACCTCCTGGGCTCAATCGATCATCCCACATCAGCCTCCCAAGTAGCTGGGACTACAGGCATGTGCCACCATGCATGGCTAACTTTTAAAAATTTTTTTATAGAGATGGGTCTCGCTAGATTGCCCAGGCTGGTCTCAAGCAATCCTCCTGCCTCAACTTCCCAAAGTCCTAGGATTACAGGCATAAGCCACAATGGCTGGCCAATATTTTCTGATATATCATCTATTTAATTCTGTTTTTTTGTTTCATTTACAATTTTTTGAGTTATTTTTAGTGGTTGCCCTAGGGATTACAATTAGCATGTTAACTTAGAACAATCTAGTTCACCTTAATAGTAACCTAATTTTAATAGTGTTTAAAAACTTTGCTCTAATATAGCTCCATTCCTCTCCAGTCCTTCATGCCATTATTGTCATACAAATTACACCTTTATATGTCAACACAGTTTTGTAATTATTGCTTTATGTAGTTATCTTTTAAAGACAGGGTTAAAGACAAAAAGGAAAATAATTACTACAAAAATGTTTATTCTTTCTTTTTTTTTTGAGACAGAGTCTTGCTCTGTCACCCAGGCTAGAGTGCAGTGGCACTGTCTCAGCTCACTTCAACCTCCACCTCCCAGGTTCAAGTGATTCTCCTGCCTCAGCCTCCCAAGTAGCTGGGATTACAGGTGCCCACCACCACACCCAGCTAATTTTGTATTTTTAGTAGCGAAAGGGTTTCACCATGTTGGTCAGGCTGGTCTCGAACTCCTGACCTCAAGTGTCCACCTGCCTTGGCCTCCAAAAGTGCTGGGATTACAGGCTTGAGCCACCGAGCCTGGCCTATACTGTCTTTCATAATGCCTATGTGGCTATCCTTACAGTGTTCTCTATTCATTCGCGTGGACTCAAATTACCATCTAGTGTACTTCCGTTTCAATCTGAAGGCTGCCTTTACTATTTCTTATATGGCATGTCTGCTAGTGATAAATTCTCTGTTTTTTAAAATCTAGAGATATCAGTGGGGGTATGGCGGCTCACACCTGTAATCCTAGCACTTTGGGAGCCTGAGGCAGGAGGGTTGCCCAAGAGTTTGAGACCAGCCTGGGCAACATAGGGAGACCCTGTCTCTACAGAAATTAAAAAATTAGCTGGGTATGGTGGCACGCACCTGCAATTCTAGCTACTTGGGAGGCTGAGGTGGGAGAATCGCTGGAGCCCAGAAGGTCCGGGCTGCAGTGAACTTCGATCGCCACTGCACTCCAGCCTGGGTGACAGAGTGAGACCCTGTCTCAAATAAATAAATAGGCCCGTCACAGTGATTCACGCCTGTAATCCCAGCACTTTGGGAGGCCAAGGCAGGAGGATCGCTTGAACCCAGGAGTTCAAGACCAGCCTGGGCAACATAATGAGATCTTGTCTCTACTAAAAAAAAAAAAAAAAAAAAAAAAATAGCTGAGTGTGGTGGCACATGCCTGTGGTCCCAGCTACACTGGAGACTGAGGCAGGAGGTTCACTTGTGCCCAGGAGGTCCAGGCTGCAGTGAGCTGTGATCACACCACTTCACTCCAGCCTGGGCAATGGAGCAAGACCCTGTCTCAAAAATAAATAAATAGAATAATAAAAATAAAAATAAATCTAGAGATATTTTCATTCCTTATTTATTTATTTATTTATTGAGACAAAATCTCACTCTGTCACACAGGCTGGAGTGCAGTGGCACAATCTCGGCTCACTGCAACCTCCACCTACCAGGTTAAAGCGATTCTCCTGCCTCAGCCTCCCGAGTAGCTTTCCTGAGTAGCTGGGATTACAGGCATGTGCCACCACGCCCGGCTAATTTTTGTATTTTTAATAGAGATGAGATTTCACCGTGTTGGCCAGGCTGGTCTCGAACTCCTAGCCTCAGGAGCTCCCTGCCTCAGCCTACCAAAGTGCTGGGATTATAGGCATGAGCCACTGTGCCAGGCCTATTCCTACTTTATTTTTGAAGGAGAGCACAGGGTTTTCATCCATTCTCACTCAAAGTCTACTACAGTCTGGAGAAGGTGGCCCAATGGGCTTGTTACCCCATCTCTGTGTCCTTTCTTTGGACTTAAACTTACCCTGGTTCTACAGCTTACTAGCTATGTGATCTTGGGCTGGGCAAGTTATGACACTGCTGCGTGCCTCCATTTCCTCATATATAAAATGCAGAAAACAATGGTGGTGTGCTCAAGAGTGTTGGACGACTGATTTAAGACGTGTTGGCCGGGTGTGGTGGCCCATGCCTGTAATCCCAGCACTTTGGGAGGCCGAGGCGGGCGGATCACCTGAGGTCAGGAGTTCGAGACCAGCCTGACTAACGTGGAGAAACCCCATCTCTACTAAAAATACAAAATTAGCCTGGTGTGGTGGCGCATGCCTATAATCCCAGCTACTTGGGAGGCTGAGGCACGAGAATCACTTGAACCTGGGAGGTGGAGGTTGCAGTGAGCCGAGATCCAGCCTGGGCAACAAGAGCGAAACTCGGTCTCAAAAAAAATAAAAATAAAAAAAATAATAAGACGTGTAAAGCCCTTGGAGCTGGCAGAGCCTACAATGCTATAAGCTCATTTGCCCAACAGAAACGACTTGGGAGGGTGGGGCATAGGATTCAGTGAGCAACTGAGCTCTTCCCAGCTCCTGGGCTCCTCCCTAGATTCTCTTTATATATATACAGATTTAAATATATATATATATGTATATATATAATAGAGGAGGGGGAGGGACTATACTATGTTGCCCAGGCTGGTCTTAAATTCCTGGGCTCCCGCCTTGGCCTCCCAAAGTGCTGCGATTACAGACGTGAGCCACTGCCCCAGCCCTCCCTAGATTCCCTTTAATGACTGTCACCTGGTCTTCCTACAGAAAGCTGCGAGGCTCAGCAGAGGCAGCCTGTAAACTGGCTGGGGCAACTACAAAGCAACCGCCGGCACAGAAGGACGCCCACCCCATGTTGTAAGCTTACACATGTGAAGGGGACAACGGGCAAAACCCATTCTGTCCTTTTGCAATATTATCTGGGCCTGGAGTGCCTACGACAGCTGGCCCAAGCCTCCTGTCTGCGGGGCAGGACTGCTGGAACCATTGTGAAGCTCCAGGTAGGCCTGAGAAGGTGCCTGTGCACCTGCCTGGGCTCTGTAGGAATAGAGAGCAGGTGCCTGGAAACTTCGCACAGCAATGAGGGCCACCCACTCTTCCAACTCATATCTGTCCCTGTGTCATTGACCAGTCCCCCAGGACACTTACAAAAAGGTCACCAGGAAAAAGTCTGCCTCCGTCCTGCCACCCCTTGGTCCAGTCCCCATCGCCCTCCTTCCCTGGGCCAGGTACCTCTCCTGTCTCCCAGCCCCACTCTGGCCCTTTCCCTCCAAAACAAGTGAGACAGCTGACTCATGCCTTGAGGAAAGCTATTTATTTCCAAGATATAGACTGTACTTTTAAGACAGGACTTTTCAGAAGCAGGAAATTTTAGTTGTTGCCAGAGAGGTGTGTCAAGGACACAGTGAAAGGAGCCATGCGGACATGGGGTGGAAGGCTTTGTCCAACACTGTTACAACACTTTTGTAAATGAGCAAAACATCTTTAAAAATCCTTATAAATTCTTTATAATATGTTACACATTTAGAGACAATATTTACAATAAAAGAATGGGGGAGGGAGGGAAAGAAATCTACTTTACAGTAAATCTTTGCATAAAACAAGAGGACTGATAGACGTGGCAGCGGGTTCACCACCTACCTGGGCTTCCCTGGAATGAGTGAGGGTGTGTGGGGGCTGGCCTGGTGATTGGAAGTCTATTTACAGCCTGTGGGGAGAAGAGGGCGCTGGGTCCTGTCCATCCTGCAGGAACAGCCCAGCTCAGACCCCATAAATCAGTGTGTGAGTGACAGAGAGACAGCAGGGGTGTTGACTATCCCTCCTCCTAAGGGGAAGAAGGTGGGCTTCTGTGTGCCTGGGCTGTGGAAGGAACAGGCACAGATGGAAAAACAAAAAGAGGGGTGAGGGAGGTACCAGCAAGGGGGACCCTGGACCCCCCCCACCAAAAACTGTCTGGGGAACAGGCAGCTGCCCGTGGTTAAAGCGCTTAGAGGGTGACTCAGGCAAAAGGATGTTGGGGAGTAACCCTGGTGAGGGTTTCAGTCCTGCCTCCTTGGAATGGCCCCAACCCCCTTCTCTGGCTCTGGCAAGGGGGGCGGGCAGGATCCTGTGTGCACCAAAGGCAGGGAGCCCGGGGGCGCAAAGTGGGGACCAGGGTGGGGATAGGGGGACAGAAGTCGCTACTGGAAACACCTTGGGACAATGACTGCACACACAAGCCCCTCCCCCCATGGACATACGCACCCTACACCTCCTCTCCCCAGACATACACACATCCCCGCTTACAAGCTGAGGTGGGAGGGCAGAAGAAAGAAGCAAAAAGCCAGCATCACCCAGGATCTTTCCTTTAGTCTGAAACTTAGGGGTTCCCTAGCCACACCCCATGGTCCACAAGGGTCCCCAAGTGCAGCCACAGAAAGGCTCAGAAGGACCTATCGGGCGCATGTGTGCAGGGACACAGACCCCAGCAGCCCACGCCCCCTCCTCTTCTGCTCATCACCTCTGGAACCCCCTTCCATTCAATTAGTCCGGCCCCAGCCTTCTCCTCTGCCCTGCCAGTTCCAGCACACCAACTAGAGACACTGCCTGCTGCGCCCTCCACCCACACCATGCACCCAGGGGCCACAGAAGAGGAGGTGCAGGCTGGTGAAGCCTCCTGGTTCCAAAGGGGCTCTAGGGAGGGGTGGCGCCCGAGCGGCGCGGGAGGTGGGGATCACAGACACTGATGCAGGCGGGAGGCGGCCGAGCGGCGCGGGGGCTGGCTCTGCAGGGACCCCGTGTCCCCGGGCGCGGGCGGCTGCGAGGCAGCGGACGACGGGGCCCGCGCCTTGGTGGACTCCAGGCTGCTGAGTCCGGAGTCCTTGTTGTCACTGTGCGCCCGCGCGCCCGCAGGCTCCGGGGGGCCCCCTCCGCCCAGCTCCTTCCACTCGTTGAAGTTGAGGTCAGTCAGCGGGCTCTGCACCACCACGGTGTGGCGGCGCCAGCTGCTCCGGCGCCGCCGGGTCTCGGGCGACAGCGGCCGCCGCAGGCGCACGGCGAGCATGTCGTCCGCCGTGCCGCGGAGCCTTAGACGCAGCGCCTCCATGCGCGAGGGCCGGGAGGCCAGCGCCGCCGCCGGGGGCCGCAGCGACTCCTGGCTGCTGGACGACGCCGAGCCGGGCGGCTCCGGGGCGCGGGGACCGCCCCGGCCCGCGCCCTCGCCGTCTGGGCGGCCCCGGGCCAGGCGGCGGCGCGCCAGAGTGTCGCAGGGCATGAGGTGGTGCGAGCTGAAGGACGGCCGGCGTGTCAGGCGCCCCCCAGGCCCCGCGCCCGCCGCGCCCTCAGTGTCCGTCTCCACGTGGCTCAGCTCGCTACGCTCGTCGTCCGCCTCATCCCCCGCCCCTGCCCGCCGACCGCTAGCGCCCGAGCACACGCTGCGGTCCATGGTGGACAGGGTGGAGTAGCCCGACACAATGGAGCGCGTGTCCGCGGCCGGCCGCTCCTCCGGCGCCGCCGGGGGACTGAGGCGTCCGGGGGCCTCGGGGGCGACGGCGCCAGGCAGCGGCCCCTGCGGCCGCTCCTGAGTCCCCGGCGCTGTGGCCCCCGCCCCAGGCTTGTGCGCCTCCTGCTCCGAGTCGTCGTCGGTGCTGCTGCCCAGCCCCCGCGCCTCCCGCCGCTTCTTGCGCTTGCGGTTGACGGCCGAGATGAAGGAGATCGCCAGCATCTCCCGGGCGTACGGCTCCTTCTTGGGGGCCCACGAACCCTGTGTGGGAGACAGGTCAGGATGCGGGGGGCGCCCGGACTCGGCCCCCTGCCGACCCCGCTCTACCCGGTCCACCCCCACGTCACGGCACCCAGTCGCCACAAGCCCCAGCCAAGGCCAGCACCCACGGCCGCATCATAAAACGCTCCTCCTCCAGCCCCGTGCCGCCCTCCGTCCAGAGACTACCCCCGCTGGCCCAAATCTAGGCTCTCAGCTCTTTCTTGTGAGGTGGGCTGGTCTCCCAAAGCCCCCTTCCATTCTGTTTTCCGTATCCAGCCCTGGCTAAATCCTTTAGACACGGCTCTGGTGATGACAATCTCTCCACAGTGAATAACGCTTGGCAGCCTGAATCCGTTTCACACACGCCCCTGGGGTGTCATCACCAGAGCTTCCTGCATGCTGATCCCCAAATCCCCGCCAGGGGC
The DNA here is from genome assembly GCF_000001405.40 of Homo sapiens. Lineage (NCBI taxonomy): Eukaryota > Metazoa > Chordata > Mammalia > Primates > Hominidae > Homo > Homo sapiens. Next base: position 2,544,820 of record NT_187614.1, on the reverse strand, counting down.
GCTCTCTGACCACAAGTCCCCCACCTCCTCTCCACCCGCTGCCACCTGGAAACCTGCCTTCCCACCTGCCCAGCATCTACAGGCCTCTCCAGGGCAACCCGCCCAAGTTCACGTCCTCCCCTTTCCGCCGGACCCCACCAGCTCCCCACCCCGCCAATCCCCAATCCCAGGTCAATCCCGCCGCCAGCTCCGCCCCTGCAAGTGGCTGAAAGATCCCGTATGGTGTCATGGTTTGGATTGGAGCCGCTCCCAAACTGTGATTTCCAACCCCAAGTTGGGCAACTTCATGCCGCTGTTCTCACCTGAACCAGCCCTCACTGCTACACCCTGTGGTGTTTTGGGGCCTTGGCCTTTCACACTTTCCCAGGAGGGCCCATGCTGCCGCCCATGGCCTTCTGGAAGCTGGTTTTCATCCGCCCTTCTGGCCTCTCCTCTGCCTCTTGGGAGGTTCTTCTTGCCCGCCCCCCGCCCCGCCCCTGCCTTCCCCACTGAGACTCAGTGTTCCCAGGACTGTTTTTGGCCCCTTTGCCTTCTCTGTTCGTGTTCCCTAGAAAATACCATTCCCAAGCAGCGCTGCTATCCAGGCCTCCCTGTCCAACACCACACTCACTTGAGCTCCGGGACTCTTCTTCCCATTGAGAATCCATTTCTACCTGGGTGTCTGTAGGCTCTTAAAACTCACCTATCCGGAACCACAGCATCCTACCTACCCCTGCCCCAAACTGCCTCCATTCACACTGCTCACCTTAGGGCGGTCTTGTGACTCCTCCCTCTCTCCTCCACCCACAGCCAAGTCCTGGATTCTTTTGAAATGGCTCCCAAAGCCAACTCCTCCTCCTCCTCCGGCAGGCCCTCATTCTGCCCTCTCTGGGCCCTCCTGCCCCTCCTAATAGGGTTTCCTGCCTCCACCCTTGCCCCAGCCCGGGTCTCTCCTCCAGAGCCACCATTCTGAAGCAGGAATCTGATCCTCACCCAGCTTTGCTCAGAAGCTTGCATGCCCCAGCACCCACCAGGATAAAGCACAAGTTCCCCAGTTCAGCACATGGGGCTCTTCATAACCCAGCCCCAACTTTCCCAGCCTACTGCCCTGCTCTGCCCTGACCCCAACCCCAACACAGCCCTCACTGTGGAAATACAGCCCTACCAACCCTTCCTTTGATGTGACCTACACTGTTACATTGCTGCCAGCCCTTAATGTCCCCCTGCCCTATTTGCTGGATGAGCTCCTACTCACCCTACAAGGCCCAGCTCGAACATGGCTTCCTCTGTACAGCCACTTCCCAGCCCTCCCTTTGCCTGAGATGGGAGATCACTTCTCTATGTTCCTGTCATCTCACTATGCTCCTAGCTCTTCTCACATCAGCCTCATCAAACTCTGAGCTCCTTAAGAGCAAAGGCTGTGACTTGGTTGTTTCTGCATGGCACATAACAGGTGCTCAATAAACATGAAATGAACAAACAATTGGTGAATGAAGTCCCCTTAACACAGGAAGCCTTGTAGAAGCAGACGCTGGGACTGGTTCCTGTCTTGGGCTGGAATGACCTGACAAGGTCACGCTGCCCTTTCAACCCCTCCTCACAGACCACCTCTTGTTTCAGCCATGGTGTAATAATGAATGGAGACCCAGATGCCTCTTGTGGCCACTGCAGCCACTGTCCTTGCTCTCACATTAATTAGTTCTGAGAAAACCAGAGCATGTCAGGGACTCAGGAGTCACAGGCATGTGGCTCCTGGGCCATGGTTGCCCACAATGCACAACACCAGAAGGCACCCCCTGGAGTTGTGCAATGTGGTTGCACTGCTAGGATCAGCCTGGAGCATATGGTGGCCAGTACTGCTTTCTTTCCTGGCCAGTGCTCTCTGAGAGACTTAAGAGGCCGCTAGGATCACCTGATCAAACTACCCTCTCATCCCAGCTGGTTCCAGAAGCAACGAGGTCAGACTGATTTCTCTTCCAAGGAATGCAGAGGTCAGCAGATTCACAGAGAGATCAGGGAGTTAATCCAGGATATACTGCAGGAAAGCAGGGGGCCAGCAGGAGCAATGGACGGAAGTGACAAGGACCTGGATGTAGGTCACTATAATGAACTTTCTCCCTGTCACAGCAATCTTATGATGGAGGTCTCTGTCACCAGAGGTGTCCAGGTGCAGGCAGGGGCTCCATGCAGAGCTTACAGGGGACCCTTGCACCAGGCTAGAGCATTATTATTATTATTATTATTATTATTATTTTGAGACGGAGTCTCCCTCTGTCACCCAGGCTGGAGTGTAGGTGGCGCAATCTCGGTTCACTGTAACCTCTGCTTCCCGGGTTCAAGCAATTCTCATGACTCAGCCTCCCGAGTAGCTGGGATTACAGGCATACACCACCACACCTGGCTAATTTTTGTATTTTTAGTAGAGACGGGGTTTCACCATGTTGGCTAGGCTGGTCTTGAACTCCTGGCCTCAAGTGATCCTCCCACCTTGGCCTTCCAAAGTGCTGGGATTATTACAGGCATCAGCCACTGCGCCCACAGCCTTTTTTTCTTTTGTCCAGTGTATTCATCCGACACACACGGAGCACCTGCCAGGTGTCAAGCACATGGCTGTGGAGTGGGCTTACAAACCTGGCCAGTGCAGTGCTCAGAGACCCAGACAGAAATGAGCCCAGTTCCACCAGCCAGTCATCAGCTGGTTTCACTCACTGCTATGGACTAAATCGTGTACCTCCCAAACTCACATGTGGAAGCCCTAACCCCCAGTTTGGAGGTGGAGCCTTTGAGAGATAATTAGGTTTAGGTGAAGGTGGGACCTTTTGATGGGATTAGTGCGGTTATTAGAAGGGACACCAGAGGGCTTGGGCTCTCTTGCGCTCTCTTTTCTTTCTGCCTTGCCTTGTAAGGACACAGTGTGAGAAGGTGGCCATCTACCATCTACAAGACAGGCAGGGAACCCTCACCAGAAATGAGCCACACTGGCACCTTGATCTTGGACTTCTAACCTGTAGAACTGTGAGAAAATCAATTTCTGTTGTCTGAGGCACCTAGCTATGGCATTTTATTACAGCAGCCTGAGATGACTTTATACACACCCTGCCCTCAAGCTCTAATCTCACAGCCGGGCAGGGTCACCCAGGGCAGGCCTCATCTCCTAACGGGTTCTGTCTCACAGGGGAGGCTCTGGAGCAGGCGACTTGCTGGTTGTGAGACCTGGGGCAAGTTACAGAAGCTCTTCTGGCCTCTGTTTCTTCAACTGCAAAATAAGGACAATTTTATCTCTAACTCACAGGGCATTTGTGAGGATTAGTAATTCTAAGCACAGTAACACAGCAAATGCTCAATAAATTGTAACTATTCATATTGTTGAATACTTTAAACTTAGGAATCAGCGATGACCAAAGGCATTATTGACAGCTGGACTGACACCTTCTGCCAAACAAGCTAATTACCAGCCGGAATACTCTGGAGAAGGTGCTGTTAACTGGAGTCCCTGGGTTGGCTTTGGGGGTCCATAAACTCCTTGAACTTGCCACAGGATTTGTGTAGATAGGTGTCGTTCTGGAGCAAGAGTGCATAACTTTCCTTTTTTCTTTTTTTGGAGACGGAGTCTCACTCTATTGCCAAGGCTGGGAATGCAATGGTGCAATCTTGGCTCACTGCAACCTCCACCTCCCCAGTTCAAGCGATTCTCCTGCCTCAGCCGCCTGAGTAGCTGGGATTACAGGCGTGCACCACCACCCCCAGCTAATTTTGTATTTTTAGTAGAGACGGGGTTTTGCCATATTGGCCAGGCTGGTCTCAAATTCCTGGCCTCAAGTGATCTCCCCACCCTGGCCTCCCAAAGTGCTGGGATTACAGGCATGAGCCACCATGCTTGGCCTCCTCTGATTCTTGAAGGTGCCTGAAGTAGATAGGGAATCCCTGCATTCCAATATCTGTTGTCAATGCAAAAATTTTCACAGCCAGTTCTCTGTCAGGGTCAGGGTCATGGGGAGGTTTCTTATGGGGCAAGGGTTGGGGTCAAGGAATTTGAGGAACTTGAATAGGGCAGGGCCGGGGAAATCAGAGCCTGGTCAGGAGCTAGACTTCTCCCTGTACCAGTGGGGGTGCTCGGGGATTATTGCAGGCTGTAAAGAAAGCTAAGCAGTAGGTGAGGGACCACCAGAGAAGACAAAAGTGGTCCCCTTCCTCAAGAACTTGGAATTAAGATGATAAGGAGAGTGGGGTGCCGTGGCTCATGCCTGTAATCTCAGCACTTTGGGAGGCCGAGGCAGCAGGATCCATTGAAGCCAGGAATTCAAGAACAGCCTACGCAAAGAAGCAAGACCCCATTTCTACAAAATAATACAAAAACATTAGGCAGGAGTGGTGGTGTGTGCCTGTAGTCCAGCTAACTCAGGAGGTTGAAGCAGGAGGATCACTTGAGCACAGCAGTTAGAGGCTGCAGTGAGCTGTGTTCAGGCCACTGCACTCCAGCCTGGGTGACAGAGCAAGACCTGTCTCAAAAAAAAAAAAAAAAAAAAAAAAAAAAAAAAAAAAAAAAAAAAAAAAAGATGATAAGGGAGGCTTCTGAGTAATGAACAGCTCCACTCCACCCACCACGGAGCTGAGAGACTGCCATGTGTGCCTGGCCACACTCCTACCCGGGACAGCCTAAACCATCCACACAGGGAGGCAAGATCAGAATGTGGCTGTAACTTGGGGCACCGACGCCGCCTGGGTGTCCTGGACACAGCCTGGAGAACGTCTACAGACAGGACTGTCACATCTAGAACAATGGTTTCTGATGAGCTTGGGAGCACTCTGTCCAAATCGAATCCTCCCTAGAGACCCAGCAATGTGAGACAGAACCAAGAGTGGCTCAGATGGAGGCCGTGGGAGCTTGGATCCCTGCACGCTTGGTCCTGTCATACACCTGTTGGTGGTCACAACCCCATGGTGGCTCCAGGGAACACAGTTTGACCATCACAGACCTGGGTTTTAGAGTCAGGCAAGAGAGACAGAGGCTGGCAGTCGTGAATGTCCGGCACTTGCAGGATTTGTGCCCACCCTCAGAGCTCACAGCCTGGCGGGAGGCCAGGCCCTGGTGCCCGAGGCAGCCCCTTCCTTACAGCCGGGACAGGAGGCCGCAGGCTCTCAGATGCCTGGTGCCTCCTGCTTCCCTGACTCCGATTCCTGGTCTCCCCAGTAGATGAGACTGAGACCACTGCGGCACACACAACTCAACGTCCCTGTCCCTGCAACAGTTATTCCTATCGCTGTACTTAATAGACCGGCAGCCTCGTCTGTGCCTCCGTTTCTTAGAGGCTTGGCCGGTTGGTTTCAGCTCAGGCTCAGGACAGAGCCAGTCCCTGTGCCAGAAAATCAAGAAACACTCAGAGCCTGAGAACAGAGGATCAGAACTCAGATACCAGAGCACCAACCAAGGAAGGAGGCCACCTAACCAGCTCCCCTGCCTGAGGCCCAAGAATATGCCCAAACTTCTAGTTACTTAAGTTCTCTGAGCCTTGGTTCCCCACATCTGTAAAATGGGGATGGTACAAAATTCAAGGGTCTTCCGTAAAAATGAAATGAAACCGATGTTCGTGAAAAGTTATCTGCATACTGGCTGGCACCTAGTAGGTGCTCAGTAAATGTGCATTCCCTCCTCTTTCATCTCATGCTAGTGATTGTGATGAACTCACTGGGTCACAGTGAAGTCTCTGAGTCAGTTTACAGTAAAGACGTACTCTCTGAAAAGCACGTTCTATTGTTCAAGGCCCTGTGATTGAGAAGGCCTCCTGCAGGAGTTCCCAGGTTAATGCAGGAGTCAGGCAGGCCCAGACTGGGAAGCGGTAACTGCTAGCGTCTCAGGAGGAAGGAATTTCAAGCCAGGAGGCTTCCGGGAGGCAGTGGCCTGTGAGCTCTGGGGAGGTCAGTGTTGAGTCCACTGGAGACACGGTGGGGTCACAGGAAGCAAATGAGGACATCTTCTGGCCAGAAGGGACTCAGAAGGGGCTCTCCGGGGAGTGTGGAGAAGCCAGGCCCAAAGGGGCGGGGCACGGCTGCTGGGCAAAGTGCTGGCTCTCGAGAAGGGGCCGCAGCCTTCAGAGGCCTCGGCCTGCCCATGATGCTTCTCGGCCCCTTCAGGAAATCTGCCTTGCTTCATGGGACCCATTTCAGACTTCCTTCACTCTGCTCAGACTTTCCCTGCCACCTTCACGCCCAGCAGAGGTCCTCACCTTCCACTTCGCTGAGGAAAGAGCCATCAGCTGGGAGTGACCCCAATGACCTGCTGCCAACACTGCCTGCCAGTGTGCCCCTGCCACCTCCCTCTCTTCCTACTACACCTGGGGATGCATCTGCTAGGAGCACAGGCTACTGCTGCTTCACGGGCTCTGGGCCCAGCTCTTCCTCTCTCTCTCTGTCTCTCACCTGGATCATTCCCATTGGCAAGTAAATATGTGCTTTCGTCTTTTTTTGTTTGTTTGTTTGTTTGTTTTTGAGATAGGATCTTGCTCTGTTGCCCAGGCTGGAGTGCAGTGGCATGATCACGGCTCATCACTGCAGCCTCAACCTCCCAAGCTCAAATGATCTTCCTGCCTCAGCCTCCCAAGTAGCTGGGACTACAGGCATGCCCCACCATGCCTGGTTAATTTTTGCATTTTTTGTAGAGTTGAGGTCTCACTATGTTGTCCAGGCTGGTCTCGGACTCCTGGGCTCAAGGGATCCTCCTGCCTCGGCCTCCAAATGTGTTGGGATTATAGGCGTGAGCCACCATGCCTGGCTGCTTTCATCTTTTAATGAAAGTTTCCCTCAAGCCACATATTTTTCCATTTTTGTTCTGTAAATATCTCTTCACAATCGGACTTCTCACAAGAGTGGTCTACGTATGCGCTTTTCCCTCCCTCACTTTATTAGCTCATTCCATCTGGTTTCTGCCTCCACTGTGCCTCCAAACCTGCCAGACAGATAGTCTATTTCTTCATAAGCTTAGTGTCTGTCTCTCATTAGAAGATAAGCTTTGTGAGGGCAGGAACCTATCTGTTTGGCTCATTATTTATATTTTCAGTACCCAGCACAGTACTGATATAAAGTAGACGTTCAACAAGTATTTGTGGTATTATCAAATGAATTAGCCCTATCTTTTTCAAAAGCATTGTTAGGTTTTGGTATCAGGGTAATGCTGGCCTCATAAATGAGTTGGAAAGTGTTTCCTCCTCTTCTATTTTCCTTTCTTTTTTTTGAGACGGAGTCTCGCTCTGTCGCCCAGACTGGAGTGCAGTGGCACGACCTCGGCTCACTGCAACCTCCTCTTCCCAGGTTCAAGCAATTATCCTGCCTCAGCCTCCTGAGTAGCTGGGATTACAGGCGCATGCCACCACACCCAGCTAATTTTTTTGTATTTTTAGTAGAGATGGGGTTTCACCATGTTGGCCAGGCTGGTCTTTAACTCTTGATCTCAAGATCCGACCTCAGCCTCCCAAAGTGCTAGGATTACAGGCGTGAGCCATGGTGCCCAGCCACCCTCTTTTATCTTCCAAAAGAGATAGTGGAGAATTGGTATTATTTCTTAAATAACTATTTAAATAACATTTAAATAATTCAAATATTTAAATAACTATTTAAATATATCAATATTTAAAATTATACTATTTTCTATTTAGAATATTTTAAAATTATTAAAGTAAATTGTTTAAAAATTTAAAAAATTCCTTAAATATTTGGTAGAATTTAACAGTGAAACCATCTGGTCCTGAAGTTTTCATTGTTGGGGGATTTTAAATTACATATTCAATTTCCTTAGGAGGTATAGGACTATTCAGGTTATCTATTTTTTCTTAAGTGAGTTTTGGCAGTCTGAATCTTTCAAAGAATTGGTCTATTTCACCTAAGTTATTGAATTTATGGGCAACTTTATGCCCATAAATTCAATTACTTAGGGGTCTATAGCCAGGCGCAGTGACTCACGCCTGTAATCCCAGCACTTTCGGAGGCCAAGGGGGACGGATCACGCGGTCAGGAGATCAAGACCATCCTGGCTAACCTGGTGAAACCCCGTCTCCACTAAAAATACAAAAAATTAGCTGGACGTGATGGTGGGCGCCTGTAGTCCCAGCTACTCGGGAGGCTGAGGCAGGAGAATGGTGTGAACCTGGGAGGCGGAGCTTGCAGTGAGCCGAGATGGTGCCACTGCACTCCAGCCTGGGTGACAGAGCAAGACTCCGTCTCAAAAAAAATAAATAAATAAAAAATAAAAAATAACTTAGGGGTCTGTAGTGATGTCCCTCTTTCATCCCTGATACTGATAATCTGTGCCATCTTTCTTTTTATTCTGTTAGTCTGGCTAGAGGTTTATCAATTTCACTGATTTTTTTTCAAAGAACCAGCTTTTGGTTTCATTGCTTTTTTTCAACTGTTTTCTATTTCATGGATTTCTGCTCCTCTCTTTATTTCCTTCTGCTTGCTTTAGGCTCTCCAAAGACCTTAAAGGATATCTGTTTTATTTATTATAGCACCCCACAGATTTACTGATATTCCCATTTTATAGATGAGGAAGCTAAGGATCAGAAAGTGGTTAAGTAACTTGCCCAATGTCCCAAACTACTAAATGGTGGAGCCAGAACTCAAACCCAGGACTGTCTGACTGCAGAGTCTGTGCTTCTAACTACTGAGTGACATTGCCTCCTAGCCACATAACTCCCAGGCCAGGTCCTTCTACTACAGCAGATGCCTCACCAAACACTGCCAAGGTAAGCAATTTCTCAGCTTACCTTGGGCACTCGGTACCTCCTGCCTTCCCTCCCAGGGACCATCAACTTTCCCCATGGTCCAACTGCCATTCCCTCAATTCCCTTGAACAAAAACCAAAGTGGGCTGCCTTGTACAGGGATCAAGCCTTCAGAATTGCCTTCATACGTACCTTGGACTTGGCTGAACTACAGGTGGTAGAATCTGTTGGTGAAAGACAGAAAAAAAAATGAAAGTTGCATCAGGAAAAAAGAAAGCTGAGTCTTATGCACACAATTCCCTCTCCTCAAAGGCTTCAGAAACCAGGGAATTCTGAAACATGAGATCTCCCCAGGCCCTAGGAGTATGATGGACATCTGATGTCCATCTATGGGAGAGGGATGGAGGAGAAAATGATGTTAACTGCCACTTCCTCTAGAGGCAGGAAGTGACATCAGGCTGCCAGCCACTGGCCCCTCATTTACCGATGGCTAAGGGCAAGGGGGCATTGTCTTTGAGCCTGGTTCCTCTCCCCTTCCCCGCCCGTCCCTGTTACTCTGAAGCACTGGAGAGAAAATGCCAAATATCAGGTGCAGTCCATGGAAACCACCACAGTGAAACACAGCAAATCACAGATGCTCTGGAGAAATGGAGACCACACAGTGCACAGAGAGGTGGGTGCCCTACATCCACCCCCGAGCACACAACAGAGAAGAGGGACCACATGAATAATGGATAAAAGGGCAAAAATGAAGTGGGTGGGACGCAGGAGGTGGAGTGGGCTGGTGATTAGAGCCTTGATAGGTTCCACCTCCGGACCTGGGGTCACCCTGCCTCATGGGCAGGGTCCCCAGTTATCACCCAGTTATGAAGGAGACCAAAAGCATGATTTCTATGGGACTTGGGTCCCACTCCCTTAATATCACTGGGGTGGAGAAGGAACCAGAAACACGTCCTGGTGGGTCCCCTCCAAGGCTAAAGAAGGAGCAGGTTGGTCCAAGGGCCTCCTGGGGTCCCACAGGGTAGTGGGCAGGTGCGGTTAATCCACACTCTCTGGCAGGCAAGTTAGACGCCCCCCTCTCCGGACCCCTCCCCCTGCACAAGGTGAGAAAAGCAAGATGGGCGACCACACACGACACACAGGGCGCGGGGGGCGGCGGGTGATTAGAAGAGACATGGGGTCCCTCTCTGCCGTCCCACCCCCATGTCTTCTGGCCCCTCCTGAGCCTGCCTCTGGTGACTAGGGAGCTCCTGTGTGCCTCTGTCAGAGACGAACAGAAATGCTAAAACTAAAGGGAGGGACAACCATGGCGGGGGGAGGAGTCAGTGGCTGCAGCCACAAAGGGAGTGGCCCTCATCTGTCTCTGAGCATGTAAATCATCTGTCCTCTGCCATGAGAGGGCCACAGGCCCTGCAAACAGGACTTAGGGCCCCGGTTTCTTAAGCAGGAAGAGGCGGCCCATTGGGGTGACTGAGGCAGGAGTTAGAGATAAAGAGAAGCTTCTGGGCGTGGCATCGCTGGTCTCCAGAGAGTGTCGGTCCCCAGCCTGGATGACTAGCAGTGGTGAGACTCGGCAAAGAGAGGCCGCAGGGTCTGTGGCACTGCAGGAGGGCAGCAATTCGATGCCCAGGTGTCCAGGCAACGGGGAGGGCCCTGGGCCCAGTGAGTGCCTCCTTCCTCCTGAGAAGGGGCTTTAGAATGGGAGGGGCATGGACTGCTGGGGTAAGTGGATAACAGGCAGGGGTAACTGGCATGTCAGCGTGGGGTCCTCACAGTCCGGGACATTCTGCCTGCCGCTGTGCCCACCCAGCCTTCTTATAATCACCCGCCACTGTTAGTGACCGAGGCCGCGACACCGCACTGTACCCTTTAAATCTCCAACAGGTCCGCTGGAGGAGGGGAGGGGGAGGAGAAGAGAAGGGGGTGGGAGGAGAGCACGGGGAGAAGAGGAGGGAGAGGCGGGGGTGCAAGGAGAAAAGGAAGAAAAATTAAAAAGAGGAACATGCCCAGAAGGACACAGCCAGCCCATGAGAAATTAAAGGCTGAGGAAAGAAACCAGTGAGAGAGGGCGAACAAAGCTCCGACCCTGCCCGGGGCGGGGCAGCTGCGCAGACAGGAGGTGGGCACGGGGCAAGCTGGACTTCCCTAGGGAGGGAGAAGGCCCCCAACAGCCCCATCTCCATGGTGGCCGGCAGGGGAGGGCCCCGCTGGGGTGGCACAGGGAAGCTGGGCATCTGGCCAGGCACCTGGGACCCTCAGGAATGCAGTGTCCAACCTCCCGCCTCCCCACTCCCAGGCCCCTGCGCTCACCTGACCCCGGGTCGCCAGGGGGCACTGTCCTGCCAATGTTGGGCAGGAGGTACTCAATGTTGGGCACTGCCTGAGGCTCCTTGTCGCCCACAGGGGTCTGCGAACAGGAGGAGGGGTCAGCTGGCATGCCCTCAGATGCTGGGCTGCCAACCCCCCAGAGGGGGGTGCCCTGATGACAGAGCCCATGTCTCCTCCATCAGACCGGGCTCACTGGGGCAGGGACCGTCTCCCTCATCAGCCGGGCGCTCTTGAGGATGATTCCTACATGTCCCCTATTAGACAGTTTTGTGCCTTCCTCAACACCTGGGAACCGCGAAGGCCAGAGCGGCCCCTTCAGCTAGGGGCAGGAGCTGTGTCTCCCGCACCAGACTGGAACTCCTCCAACCTAAGTCCTTCTCAGTAGCCTGGAGGGCAGGAGCTGCCTTTACTCCTGAACTGGGTTCCCTCTGAGCAAGGCCTATATCTCCCCCATTTCGACTGGGGATTCCTGAAGGCAAGCTTTGTGCTTCTCTATCAGACTAGGGGCTCCTGAGGAGAGGGTCTGTGTTTCCTCCACCAGACTTGAGGGAAGCCTCAAGGACAGACACCTTCCCCGGCTTAAGTCCCGCTGCCTGCCCCACCCCCAAGGACTGGGGCTCACCCCAGACCAGCCCCCATGCCAGCCCAGCCCGCGGCATCACTTACTCTCTCTCCCTTGTCCTCTTCGTCACTGAAGAACCAGTCTGACTGCAGAGAAGACAAAAGGAAGGGATGAAATCAGCATGGGAAAGAAGAGTCTCTTCCACCTGCTCATTCCAGAGGACCCGCTCAGGTGGCAAGGGGCGCCTCTCTCTCAACAAACCCCAGGCTGGCGGGGCTGCAAAAGAGGGCTCAGAGGGAGCTTGACGGACCCTAAAACCTGACTCCACAGACTATGAAAAACCCTGGGGGAGAGAAAAGGTGGGACCCCAGTGTGGGAGGAGACACGGCAGGGAGTGGGAGCATTCACCTCAGACAGGAGATAGGCTTAGGGAGAGCTTCGCTTTTACTTGCTTTTCTCTAAACACTGTCCTGGGCACACCCCTGTGGTATACTCCCCACAGCGAGCCGGGGGGCAGGGAGGCACCAGTGCCATTAGTGTTGGCCAGGTCCATGGCTGTGACAGCCGAGTGTGCCCCACGCCACCTGCCACCCATGGGTGCCACACTGACAACAGGGGTGTCACGTACTCAGCCCAGAAAAGGAAATGACAGGAGAAAGGCGTTGGAGGTTTCCTGAGGGGCAGGAGGCGAGAGCTTTCTCATAAAGGCCAAACAAGAGAGAAAATAAAGACCCCCACAGTTTAATATATTTTGTAAAATTTGAGAATCTTGAAGATAAAATTCTAAGTTTTCTGAAAAAAAAAATCCAGATTGCTTATAAATGAACACGTATCACAGGTACTTGGAACTTTCAGCAGCAAAACACAAGAAGACAAGAAAGTAAGTTTTGACGTGTTGAAGGAACCTAGAATTTTATACCCTGCTAAACTCTCATTTAAATCTGAGTGTAAAATAAAGCTATTCTTTTTTTTTTTTTTCCAACAGAATCTCACTCTGTCACCCAGGCTGGAGTGCAGTGGTGCAATCTTGGCTCACTGCAACCTCTGCCTCCTGTGTTCAAGTGATTCTCTGGCTTCAGCCTCCCAAGTAGCTGGGATTACAGGTGCACGCCATCACGCCTGGATAATTTTTGTATTTTTAGTAGAGATGGGGTTTCGTCATGTTGGCCAGACTGGTCTCAACTCCTGACCTCAAGTGATCCGCCCACCTCCACCTCCCAAAGTGCTGGGATTACAGGCATACCACAGATTGTTTTAATCACCCCTTAAGTGAACCTCCTGCTCTCTGGAGCCACCACACCTGGCCTTGAAATAAAGCTATCCTGAGACATCAGAAAATTTACTACACAAAGACTCTCTTAACTGAATACTTGAGCAAGTAAAGAGATGACCTTCGGCAAGCTCCAAGAAATAACTAAGGCACTTTTGGCTTTTATTGTATTTATGTATTTATTTTTGAGATAGGGTCTCTCGCTGTTATCCAGGTTGGAATGCTGTGGCCTGATCCTAGCTCACTGTACCCTTGAACTCCTGGGCTCAAGAGATTCTCCCACCTCAGCCTCCTGAATAGCTGGGACTACAGGCATGTGCCACCTTGCACAGCTAATTAAAAAAAAAAAAATTGTAGATTTTGGGATTACAAGCATGAGCCACTGCACCCTACCACTTTTGGCTTTTAGATGTGGTGGAAGGAAGACACAGAAACTGATAAGCATTAGAAATTGATAGTGACAGGCCCGGTGCAGTGACTCACATCTGTAATCCCAGCACTTTGGGAGGCTGAGGCGGGCGGATCACCTGAGGTCAGGAGTTTGAGACCAACCTGGCCAATATGGTGAAACCCCATCTCTACTAAAAATATAAAAATTAGCTGGGCATGGTTGTGCGCACCTGTAATCCCAGCTACTCAGGAGGGTGAGGTGGGGGAATTGCTTGAACCCGGGAGGCAGAGGTTGCAGTGAGCTGAGGTCGCACCACTGTACTCCAGCCTGGACAACAAGAGTGAAACTCCATCTCAAAAAAAATAAATGAATAAAAATTAAGGCAATTACCCTTTACCCCCCTCAACACCTATGAAAGAAGAGGAACAGGCAATTTATAATCTCATTATGTAGACTTAAAACACACAAAGAATATTATATATATTTAAGGGTAGCCATGCATTTACAATAAGTGGAAGGTGTCCTGGAAGGACACATATTAGCCTATTAAGAGTGGGCACCTAGGGGAATGAAGAGGGGAAACAAGGGGACTTGCCTGAGCATACGCCATGAGCCTCAGTTATTATCGCTCATGATCTGACATGTGATTAACTCAAACAGCACAGGAAGGCCAGAAGGGAAAGAAGAAAGAGATAGAAGAGAAGACAGCAAAGGAAGATAAGAAAAATGCAAGCTCTGGCCGGGCACAGTGGCTCACACCTATAGTCCCAGCACTTTGGGAGGCTGAGGCAGGTGCATCAGCTGAGGTCAGGAGTTCAAGACCAGCCTGGCCAACAGGGTGAAACCCCAGCTCTACTAAAAATACAAAAATTAGCCCGGCATGGTGGCATGCACCCATAATCCCAGCTACTTGGGGGTGCTGAGGTGGGAGGATCACTTGAGCCCAGGAGCTGGAGGCTGCAGTGAGTGGAGACCGCGCCGTTGCACTCCAGCCTGGGCGACAGAGTGAGACTCTGTCTCAAAAAAAAAAAAAAAAAAAAAGAAAAAGAAAAATGGAAGCTCTGGAGTCAGTCATCTTGGTTCAAGTTCACCTTAGCCAAGTTACTTTCCCTCTGTAAGTCTATTTACTTATCTCTAAAATGGGCATGATGTGAGTACCTCCTTCTAGGCCTGAGGAGGATTGAGATGAAATACTGTATGGAAAACGTCGAGTGCAGCACATTGTTAATGTATAATAGATGTCAGCTACTGCTATTCAAAAGTGTGGCTTCCAGAGACAGGCTGACCAGGGGAAGCCTGAGGATCGGCCCAAAGAAGCCAGCCGTTAATGCAGGTTGGAAGGTGCCCAGAAGTACTCTGCAAGCCACAGCGTCTACAGGAAGCGCCCGGGTGGCCACGGCTCTCAAGAGGAATCCACACTAGTTCCTGCCACCCTGTTTCTGCACGTGCTGTTCTTTCCGCCTGGGATGCCCTTTCTCCCTGCTCTGCCTGGCTAAGTTCTCATCATGGTCCTCTAAGGCAGTTCAAGAACTCCATGACTACGACCCCAGCCCTGCACCCAGGGCCGGGGTGGGTCCTTCTGTGGGGCTTCCTTGGGCATAGCCCAGAGCACAAAGAGACGCAGCTCTTACTTTGATAAACATTATTAAAAGAATAAATGAATGAGAAGCATCATTTTTTTAATGGATTTTTGTGTGTGTGTGTGTGTGTCAGGGTCTCACTCTGTCACCCAGGCTGGAGTGCAGTTTCGCAATCTCGGCTCACTGCAGCCTCCCACCTCAGCCCCCCAAGTAGTTGAGACCACAGACACGCACCACCACACCCGCTGGCAATATTCCTTCTGAGCAGGCTCCCATTCACCTCCGTGTTCCCAGCACGGGGATCTGTCTCTGGCGTGGAATAATGACCACGACGAAGAGGATGACAGTCCGTTCTCACACGACACTTAGGACCTGCCAGGCACCGCCGCGAGTGCTTTAGCAGACATTCACAACGATGTGAGGTAAACAGTATTGTCATCTCTGCTTTACAGGTGTGGAGACTGAGGCACAGCAGGTAAGGAACTTGTCCAAGGCCACACAGCACATAGGAGCAGGCTGGCCCCAGAGCCACTGCCGTCAATCCCCCCACCCCAGTGGGCACTTGGCAATGTCTGGAGACATTTTCGATTGTGACAACTAGAGTGATATTCCCAGCATCCAGCAGGTAGAAGCCAGCGATGCTGCTAAATGTCCTGTAACACACAGAACAGCCTCCCACAAGAAAGACTTATCTGGACCCCAGCGCTCACTAGTGCTGAGGCTGAGAAACATTAGGTATCGCTGCCTTTGCTGAGTGAGTCCCTGAGCAAATGCCCTGGGTGATCTTTGTTTGGGTTCCATTTGACTTCGTAAACATAGGTAGGGGCTCCTGGCAACTTGCCCGCTGCAAGATCAGACACCCAGGTTTGCTCTCCTCTCTGCTCTGCCATTATCTTGCTGCGTGGCCCTGGGCAAGTCGCTGTTCCTCTTTACCCCTCAGTTGCCACGCTCTTTCCGACCTGAAGACTGGTCTGGGTACCCCAAGTGACAGCAGCACTGCCCTGGCTATGGAGCCTCCAGGCTAGACAGAGCTGGCACGCTTGGGTGGGCAGGCTTTCAGGGCTTGCAGAGTGGGTGGCTCATTCCCTCGACAATCATCCAGGGCTGGTTACGTTCAGATGCCAAGGAGGCAGAGAAGGGAAGGACACTAGCTCAGTTAGCTCTCGGGAATGAATCTCTGAGTAGAAAAGCCCAGCCTGGCTGGGCGTGATGGCTCACACCTGTAATCCCAGCACTTTGGGAGGCCGAGATGGGAGGATCGCTTGAGTCCAGGAGTTCAAGACTAGCCCTGGCAACATAGTAAGACCTCATCTCTACAAAAGAATACAAAAATTAGCCAGGTGGTGTGGTGGTGGCATCTCTAGTCCCAGCTACTCAGGAGGCTGAGATGGCAGGATCGCCTGAGCCTGGAAGTGGGCCGTATCTGCCCACTGCACTCCAGTGTGGGCGACAGACTGAGACTCTATCAAAAAAAAAACAAAAAAACAAAAAAAAAGCGAAAAGAGAGAGAGAGAAAGAGAAAGAAAAGCCCAGCCTGACGTAACCTCAATTAGCAATTTACTCAGTCATTTATACTCCACAAACACTGAGTAGCCACTGTGTGCCAGTAGTGTCAGTGCTAAATGAGACAAACTCCACCTTCTCCACCCTGCCCAGAGCAGGGACTCCCCCTTGGGGCTTTGGCCTCCTTCCTCCCTGAAGGCTGCAGTTCCTGACACCTCAGCTGACCTCAGACCTTGGGCTTCCAGGGACTTCTCCAGGAGCACAGGGCCAGACACCCATTCTTCCCTGCTGCTGCCCCCAAAACACACCCTCACGGGAGGTTCCGGGGCTCCCTGGTGCCCTGGAGAGCTAAGCTTTCCCAAGGCCTCATCAGGATCCCCGACGCTGCAGGGCAGCCCTGGCCTCCCAGACAGCTCTGGAGTGGTGTTCCCAGTGTCCGGATGCAGCAGGCTGTGATCTTCCCTCCTGTGGCTCGGAGCCCTGAGCATGCAGTGAAGGAGGGAGATGGGCAAGCAAGGCTGTTAACATGGCTCAGCTGCTCACCACCTCGCCTCCTTACCCTGGCCCCCTCCCTCCGTCCCAAGCCAGCTCAAGGAGGGACCCAGGAGTCTGGCCTTTGGGTTGATAGCAGGAGGAAAGCACAGGCTTTGGTTAGTCAGATCTGGCTTGAAATCTTGGGCTGCCACTTATTAGCTGTGTGACCATG
Source organism: Homo sapiens (assembly GCF_000001405.40). Classification (NCBI taxonomy): domain Eukaryota; kingdom Metazoa; phylum Chordata; class Mammalia; order Primates; family Hominidae; genus Homo; species Homo sapiens. The sequence continues at coordinate 2,527,788 of NT_187614.1, read as the reverse complement.
AGCAAGTTGCTTTGCCTCTCTGAGCCTGTTTCCTCCTCTGTAAAATGGGGGTGATAGGGCCCAGCTTTCCTTCCCTAAAGTGTCTAGGGGGCTTGGGACTGAGGCTTCCCTTCCTCTGACCAGCTGCCAGTCTTATTTCCCCTGGCAGGAGGGGCTCTGTTCTCATCCTTTGTGGGCTGTAACAAGAATTGGAAATGGAAAATCTACGATTCATAATGATATCCGTGTGCACACCAGAAGGCGGCAGTGCTGCCTTAGGGTTGGGCTCTCGAAAACCAAGGCCTTCTGCGCCCTCTGCTGGCCACTCTGGGTTCTCCTCCGCCCATGCACAGTAACAAGAACCTACAGGACCAGGGCTGTTGGCATCCAGGAAGCCATGAGAAGGGAGGTGGCCAGCCCAGTACATGCCAAGCACTGGTGCAGGATCCTGCCTCAGGCCAAGGCCCTGTGCCCTGCCCCATCCACCCCTTGTTACCAGGAACATCACCACTATCTCCCCAAAACCTCAGTGGGGCCAGCAGGGAAAGTCACTAGAGCCGGGGCCTCCTGATATCAGGCCAGACCTTGGCCCCCGTCTGCTCGTGTCTGCCAGGACACCTCTCCAGGGGCCAACTTCTGAAGCTGCCCCTTCCGCCCTCCACCAGTAGCACCTTCCCTGCCCTTCCTCCTCTTCTACCTTTCCCAGGCATCTCGGAAGCTCGGGGGCCTCTTGACTCTCCTGCTGGGGACACAACATCCCAGGGCAGCAGGGATTCCAGGATCCATTCCTGCCTTGCCTTGAAATGCAGCCCATGGCTTTGGAGGAGTATATACCACCCTAGCAGCATGCTCTAAAGCTGCCGAGCCCTTCCTGGGGCACACTCCGCCAGGCGGAGCAAGAGCGAGGGGCTCAGAGGAACATGGCCTGGGCCCCAGGGGCTGCCGGGCGCCCCCCGGAACAGGGGCTTACGTGCTGGATCAGTGTCTCCACGATCTTGTAGCGGTCAGGCATGTGGGTCACCATGTCTGTCATGTTGTCCTCAGACGTCCTCACCAGTGTCGGCCCAAAGACCAGGGCCAGGTTCCGGGGTTCCATCTGGGCAGCAGGGAAAGCAGGTCACTGTCAACATCCTGACCTCAGTCCTCCCTCACTCTGGCACCTGAGGCCTCTGTCCCCAACTACATCCTCACCAGTCCCCAGCTTAGAGGGTGGACACCCCCTTGTATGGGCATGGAGATGCTTGATGAGTAGAGCACAGACCAGATTTCAGCCCCTTTCATCCCCAGGCCCAGCAGCCATGAGCAGTGCCCAACCTGCACACCTATACAAGGCAGCCCTGAGTGGTCAGTGCCAGCAGTGGGAGACCCTGCAGTAGGAAACATGTTGGAGGTCCCAGGGGTTATTTTAGGCCTGGGAAATAATCCGATCACTTCCAGGTGCCTGTAATCCCAGCTACTCGGGAGGCTGAGGCAGGAGCATCGCTTGAACCCGGGAGGCGAAGGTTGCAGTAAGCCGAGATCGTGCCAAGGCACTGCAGCCTGAGCGGCAGAGTGAGACTTCGTCTCAAAACAAACAAACAAACAAACAAAACACAAAAAATCCTATCACTCCCCTCATTTTCCCCACTGCAGAACCAGAAGGCATAAGGGGTTTGATGAGGAAAATGCAATGCGAGGGACTTGAGCTAAGTCGGAGGATGGCAATGCATCGGATACGGGGGGCCGGGGTTCCCTGCCTCTGGAAAGCCCTCAGAAACTCAGGAGATGGCTCTCTGGGGGAAAGCACTGACCAGCATGTAGGAGCGGGGTGGGGACGGAGCAGTCATAGGAGGAGGGCGTGCCTAGAGGGGCCTGAGTTACTGGACCTGCTGGAGCTCAGTGCGTGCTGAGGGCCCTCACACAGTAAGTCCGTGCTTGCCTCCCCCAGACTCCATGCGGGACTCCTACCCACCTTGTTTTTCTCAGAGTGGTCAGCGATGGTCTTGAGATGGCCCACAAGGAATTTGAGCGTTTCATAGTAGTGTCCTGGGAGATCCCGGATCTGAGCAGGAGAGAGGAGGGGCATGGGGACAGGCTGTAAGGGCCTGCCCCTGTCCCCCGTCATCACCATGCCCCAAAGATCTCCCACTACCATGCCTCAGGGAGTCTGGAACCTATCCTCTAACCCCCCGTTCTCTTGTATGGACGGGGAAACTGAGGCCCTGAGTGGAGCGGGGCTTCTCCAAGGCCACAGGGGTCGTGGGCAGCACCGGACTCCCTGCCTCCTGGGACAGAGGTGCTCAGGCAGCTGCCCCACCTCGTGTCTGACAGCACCTCTCTCTCCTTACCAGCTTCCGCAGCGTCCTCATTCGCTCCCGTGCGTCCTCAATGCGGTTGGCCTCGATGAAGTCGTTGTATTTGTCTAGAACACAGCGGAGACTCTTTAGAGAGGTGGGGGCAGCGCCTTCCCCTGTTCTCCCGGCCAAGGGCCCTGCTGGGAGGGCTGTGTTTTGAACTCCTCCAGTTCGGGGGCTCCAGCGTGGGCGACAGCCTCTTGTGTATGTGAACACACCCACCACAGCTGCACTCACCACAGCTGCACTCACCACAGCTACACTCGGGTGTGCACCTGACCTGGGGTAGCCCAGCTGTGTTCATTTGGGAGGCAATACCATCTGAGCTGCATGCTGATCCCAGAAAAGGGGTCCCTGCCCCCGTCTCCAGGACATGGACACCAAGGTTCAGCAGGTCAGAAGAGAAGGGCACCTGGAGAGGAGGAGGGGCTTCAGACAGCCTCCACCAAGGATTACCCCAACTCCCTTCAGAACAAGTCCATGGGGACCTTTAAAAAATGGAACATGATAAGCCTATTCTGAAATTCATCTGGATGAGCTAACGCACAAAGACAGCCAGGAATAGTTTTTAAAGAAAGAGTAACGCGGGAGGATCTGCCCTACCAGGGACTGAAACATCCCGAATGGATGGCACAACTGAAGCCGGCTGGCACGGCAGAAAAGGCAGAGCAATGTTAAGGCTAGAAAGGGGGGAAGCGGGCCATATGGATATTTATTATATGATAAAGGCAGCACTTCCAATCGGGGGGAAGGATGGGGGCCTCAACAGATGTCCCCGGGACAAATGGCTACCATCGGGGGCGGGGGGATCATTTCTAGCTCACAATACACAAATGCAATCACACGGCAGAGCCAACTGTGAAAATTATAAAAGCACTGGGGAAAAAGTAAGAAAATATTTTTATAATCCTAAGGCCATCCTAAACATGAGATGCAGAATCCATGAAGAAAAGATGAACAGCTTTGGTCACATTTTAAACAATTGTTTTCGGCCAGGCACAGTGGCTCACATCTGTAATCCCAGCACTTTGGAAGGCTGAGGCGCATCAGCTGATCACTTGAGATCAGGAGTTCAAGACCAGCCTGGCCAATGTGGCAAAACCTCATCTTTACTAAAAATATAAAAATTAACTGGGCATGGTGGTAGGCGCCTGTAATCCCAGCTACTTGGGAGGCTGAGACAGGAGAATGGCTTGAACCCGGGAGGCGGAGGTTGCAGTGAGCCGAGATCGTAACACTGCACTCCAGCCTGGATGACAGGGTGAGACTCAGTCTCAAGAAAATAAATAAAATTAAATAAAAATAAAATTAAAAATTGTTAGGCAGGGCGCGGTGGCTCACGCCTGTAATCCCAGCACTTTGGGAGGCCAAGGAGGGTGAATCACCTGAGGTCAGGAGTTCAAGACCAGCCTGGCCAACGTGGTGAAACCCCGTCTCTACCAAAAATACAAAAATTAGCTGGGCATGATGGTGGGCACCTGTAATCCCAGCTGTTCGGGAGACTGAGGCAGGAGAATCGCTTGAACCCAGGAGGCAGAGGTTGCAGTGAGCCAAGATCACACCATTGCACTCCAGCTTGGGCGACAAGAGTGAAACTCTGTCTCAAAAAACAAAACAAAACAACAACAACAAAAAATTTGTTTTCAGTTTCTATACTGCAAAGTGAAAGGCAAATGGCAGGCCAAAGCAAATATTTGCAAAAACTAACAAAGGGTTAATAGCTGTAAAACACAAAGAGCTTTTCTCCCGCAAATCAACATAAGAAAAAGATAAACAACGCAACAGAAAAATGGGCACATGGTCTGATCGAGCAATTACAGAGAAAATAGAAACAGCCAATATGCTAATGAAAAAAGATTTAATCTCCCTAGTAATGAGGGCAATGAAAATAAAAACAATAATGAGATACCATTTCCCTTATCTGATTAGCAAAAGTTTAAAATGTTAATAATATTTAATGCTGTCTGGGTGAGGTGGCTCAAGCCTAAAATCCCAGCACTTTGAAAGGCCGAGGCGCGATGATCACTTTAGACCAGGAGTTGAAGACCAGTCTGAGCAATGTAGTGAGACCCTGCCTCTACCAAAAAAAATTTTTTTTTAATTAGCTGGGTGTGGTGGCACAAACCTGTAGTCCCAACTACTCAGGAGGCTGAGATGGGAGGATCACTTGAGCCCAGGAGGTTGAGGCTGCAGTGAGCCATGATTGCGCCACTGCATTCCAGTCTGGGCAACAGAGCAAGATTCTGTGTCAAATAATAGTATTTTTATTTTTATTTTATTGTATTATTTATTTATTTATTTATTTTGAGATGGAGTCTTGCTCTGTCACCCAGGCTGAAGTGCAGTGGTGCGATCTTGGCTCACTGCAACCTCTGCCTCCTGGGATCAAGCAATTCTCCTGTCTCGGCCTCCCTAGCAGCTGGGACTACAGGCACCCGCCACCACATCCAGCTAATTTTTGTATTTTTAGTAGAGACGGGGTTTCACCACAGTCAGGCTGGTCTTGAACTCCTGACCTCAGGTGATCCACCCGCCTCAGCCTTCCAAAGTGCTGGGATCACAGGCATAAGCCACCATGCCTGGCCTTCAAGTAACAATAATAGTTATAATATCCAATGCTGTTGGGGATGTGGAGAGACAGACTCCTACATTTTAGTGGGAGTCTAAACCAGGGCCTCTTTCTCAGAGTGCAATTGACACTGGTCTCAGAAAGGTTCACCGGGACTTTGACCCAGCAATTCTACATCTAAGAATCTCCTTAGAGAGCACAGATCCAGGCGTGCAAGGACTTATTCAAGGAAAGCCATTGCAACAGGTTGTGTAATAGCAAACATTTGAAGACAACCTAAATATCCATCAATAGAGGAGTACTTAAAGAAATTGTAGTCTATTCAAACCATGAAATTCTATGTGGCTGATTTAAAAGAAGAATGAGGTAGAGCTCTCTGCACTGACACGAATGAATCTCAGAATTACAACTCTGCTTTTGTTAAAAACAACTCAACCAGCGGTGTGCTGGAGCCCGCTCACACCAGCTCCTGAGAGCGACTGTGTGCCTCTCTTCCCAATTCCATGTTGGTGACATCATGTTGGTGGCTTGAAATAAACCATGGTAGGAGTATTTACGCCATGGAAGCTGGAAAACGCTAGGCATTAGGGCTTTTTTCCCCCAGAGACAGATGTTAAACATCTGCCAGCACACCCCTGAACCCACCCAAATCCAAACCCCACGCAGGCACGTGTGTATCTCTGCCATGCATATAAGAGGGCCAGGAGAGAAACACAACAGATTGTGAATAAGCAGTTCAGCAAACGGCCAAAGCCCGTCGGTGCCCGACGCCTGGGGTGGAATCCTGGCTCTGCCATTTACAACCTGTGCGACCTTGGGCAAGGCATTAAACTTCTCTGAGCCTTGGTTTCCTAATCTGTAGAGGGAAGACAATAGCACCTTCCTCATGGAGTTGCTGTAGGGAGTTGTGCTTGGCACACTCTAATGCTCAGAAAGTGTTAGCCACAACCTCCCGTGAAAGGGAGCAGGACATTCACAGGGTCCTGTGCTGTTTTCTTCATTCACATCTGTACAATCTATGTTTTTTAAATAAGCTTTTGTGTTAAAAAAAAAAAAAAAAAAAAGCCAGCGTGGTGGCTCATGCCTGTAATCCCAGCATTTTGTGAGGCTGGGGCAGGCAGGAGGATTGATTGAGCCCAGGAGTGCAACACCAGTCTGAGCAACATAGTGAGAAACTCCCCCCATCTCTGAAAAAAAACTTTTAAATTAGCTGGGTGTGGTGGTGTTCACCTGCTGTCTCAGCTACTCAGGAGGCTGAGGTGGGAGGATCGCTTGAGCCCAGTAGCTTGAGGCTGCAATGAGCCGTGATTGCGCCACTGCACTCCAGCCTGGGCAACAGAGCAAGACTGTCTCAAAAAAAAAAAAAAAGAGTAAAACCAACAAACCAAATGCAAAAGTAGTGGTCAGGGTGAGGCACGGACTGGTGTCCCCTCCCCGCCCCACTTCCACCTCCTACTCACCATCAGTGAAAAGAGGCTCGGGCAGCTTTCGGAAGAAGGACTTGAGCAGGCTGCTGATCACATTGAGGTCTTGCCAGCGCTGGGGGAGGGGTCAGATGTCAGGCACAGGCAGGCCCAGCCCGATGCCCATGCCTCCACGATCATTCACCCCAGAGCCCAATCAAGCCCACCAGGCCCTCCCTGGGACCTACTTAGACCAAGCTCTCTACTCATCAGGATGGTGGCAGCAGAACTGAGTCCCCAGAGAGGTCCTGTGCCCACACTCACACTTGGCCCCAGCCCCTCCCTGCTCCTGCCAGTGCGTGGGCTCCAACACCTCCCCATGCACAGAAAGTCCCAGGCACTGTGGGGAGACAGTGAGTGGCAGCTGCTGCCTCCACTGGGCACAGTTTAAGCATCCGTGACACAGCAGTCATTCGTGCCGGCTCCTTCCTGTCTCAGGTCCTCTGCATGTGCTGGTTTCCTCAACCAGAACTTTCCTCCCCGCCTCCACACAACTGGCTCCTCATCCCCGCCTAAAAGTCGCTCTTCAAAGAGGCCTTCTCTGACCCTCATAGCTAAAGCAGCCACCTTCACCACTGCCCTGTCACCTGCACCCCAGCCCTGACTTTGTTTCCTTCCTGGCGCTTAACCCAATTTGTCATTATTTTCTGCTTTTGTTTCCGTGTTCATGCCTGTCTCCCTGCAGGACTGTAAGCTCCAGGAGGAGACAGGATCCCGTCTGTCTCATTTCCCACTGTGCTCCTATCACCTAGCAAGGACAGTTAACCTGGTACTTACATGGCCCTAAATCAGTAGTTCTAACAGAAGGAGGCAATTTTGTCCCCCAAACTCCCACTCCACCCACAGAGGACATTTGACAATGTCTGGAGCCATTTTGATTTTCCCAACTGGGAGGTGCCACTTGCATCTAGTGGATCGAGGCCAGGGATGATGTCAAATTCCCTCCAGTGCACAGGACAACCCCACACAACAAATAATTGTTCTTCCCAAAATGTCCACTGAGATTGAGAAACCCTACTCTAAAATAAATGGTTGTCGAGTACAAGAACTAACGGCCGGGTCGTTGTCCCTTCTGTCCTCCAGGGGGCACCATCACCCCACATTGCAACCAAGTTGGGCACAGCCGCCTCGCTGGGAATGGCTCAGAATAACTCAGGCCCAGAAAGCGACCTAATACCCCCAACAAAGAGACACAGTACAGCAGTACACACACTCATTACAATGGATCCACAGCTTAATGCCAGACAATCCCATAAACAATACACTCCCCACAGGCTCACCAGGGGTTAGATTCATCCCCCACTACACTTACTCCCAGCACGACCCACAACAAATGACACAATGATATCCAAGACAAAACAACACACCCAATATACCTCGTATGCCCCCAGCTGGCCCTGGCTTGGACCAGCTGCCTGCCAGCATGGCCCCCTCATCTCACACACACCCAGTGCGGCTCCTGCCCACCCGACTCCGTTACCTCCTGGCCCTCAGGTGTGAGCTCCTCTCATCTCCCAGCTGCCAAACCCAATGCCCTGGCCAGTGCTTCCTGGTTCCTCCAGAGTGAAGTGTCTGCCCTCACCCCAGCCTCACTGGCGGCCCTCTCCTTCTGTCCCACTCAGAGCGTGGCCCCTGCTGTTCTGCGGCCCACCCTTGGTCATCCCATGCCTCAGCTGCAGCAGGACCCATGCCACTCTCTAGTCCAGGCTCAATATAGCGCCTGTTTATGCCCTCACCCCATGCAAGGGACTTTCCACACCCCAAATCCAATGGAGCCACTCCCTGAGACGGCCCCTCCCTTCCGCCTCTCCTCACGCTGCCCCACTCCCTGGTTTCTGCCAAGGGAAGATACCACCAGCCCCAGCTCAAACATGCGGCTCTTCCTCGCCCCTCCTTCCTCCCTCTCATGCAGACAACTCTTAGGGTTGCTCCCATCCTCCCCCTTCCCCTGAGACCACCAAGTCCTCCCGACACTTAGCGCTTCCATAGATCAGTGACTTCTCCCCAGACCCCTGCCCTCCGCATTCGTATCCAATGGACATGAGCAGGAGCATTACTGTTTCTTGAACTTTGTTCTCACGATGCCTCCCCAGCTTAAGAACCATCAGAAGCTCCCTACTGTCCATCAGATCAAGGTCGAAGTCTTCAGTGAAGCCATCAAATGCCTTCTCTGTCCCCCTGGGGCCTCACCCTCCCCACCTCCAAGCCCAGGAGGTAGATCCACTCTCTGTCCTAACCCTCAAGCCCTCCCCGGCCCTTGCTGGGGTTTTGGAAAATGCCATCGTCTCACACCCCGAAAGGCTTCCCGTCCACCTGCCCCCTCCTATTCATTCCTCCAATACTCAAACCCTCCAGCCACCACCTGCTCCAGCCTGAGCACCCTCTCCTTCCTCATCACAGTGTGGTCCCTGATGAGAGATCATCTTTTTCTCTTGTCCACAATTTCACACACACTTGTCTCAGCTCCTCATTCTCCAAGGACAGGAAGACTTGTGTATTCCATGAGCCTTCACGTGTGTGATTCGTGGGACATCACTGCCCACGTTCACGGTTTTCCAAAATATCTTTTTTATCAGAGCCCCTTTGGGCAAATAAAATTGTACATGAAAACCCAGTACAACAGACAGGGCAAAGCAGGGTTGCTCTAGCAAGGACAGGGGGTCCTGACCTGCCCCTGGCCTCCCAAGGCCCCTCTGGGGAACCCTAGGACTCTGGGGAACACCCTTTGAGAATCGCCGGCCTTGCTGGAAACACTTAAGTGTGATTGCAGATCCCTTCACAGGCTGGTCTCATCTCGCCTGATCAGCCACTTCTCTTTCCATGTTGCAGCCACCCAAATTGCTGGCCATTCTAGAAAACATCATATATTCCCCTTTTTCTAAGCCGGCGGTTTGTAAACCATGGTCTGTAGGCAATATCTAGCCACAGCCTGCTTTTGGATGGCCCTTGAGCTAAGTATGGTTTTTACGTTGTTAAAGGATTAGGAAGAGAAGGAGGAGGAAGAGAAGGGGGGAACGCAACAGAGCAAACTACAGCAGAAAATATTTACCCTCTGCCTTCTACAGAGAAAGCTGGTTGACTCCTGGCACACTTTCCGCGTCTACACCATTGAGCAGGCCATTCTGCTGCCTGGAATGCCCTCACCTGGCTTTCACCGGCCTTTGGTGAACTCTACTCATCCTAAACACTCGGACAAAACTGCCATCTGTGAGCCTCTGCCTCAGAGCTCCCCAGGCCATGACTGCATTTACTTGGTCAGCTTCAGCCTGGGGTGATGCCCATCCCCGGGCTGGCCAGCGGGGGCAGGTCCCATCTTGCCCATCTTGGTGTTCTGGACCAATGCCGGGCATGTCATAGGGCACAATGCATGCAACACAATAGACCACAGAACTCTCCAAGCGGAGCACCACCCACACACCATCTCAGCCCCTCTTCCACAGACCCCCCAGCTTCACCCACCTCATCCTGCAGGTTGATGTCACCAGGCCCGCGGTTGAGCTGCTCCTGTAGGCTGGACACCACTGCATTGTTGCCGGGCACTCGGTAAATGCCTGTGGACTCCAGCCCTCGTGCCTCCACAATGCGACAGCATGCAGCCACGATTAAGGGGACGCGCTGGGGACACATGGGAGGGGTGTTAGGGGGGACAGGGGCCAGAGGAGCTGGGGAGGCCAAGAAGGGGACAATGCAAGGCCCAGAGCTGCTGCCAGGAACCCTTGGGGGGAACAAAAGGCCCTTGCTGCCTCCAGTCTGGGAGCTAAAAATGACACCAAAGCCTCGCCATGGTCTGAGAAGGAGCCGGGCTCAGCCTCAGCCCTGCTGCTCCCTCCCTGGGAGGCCCGGGGCAGGCGGGGGCCTTCCCCTCTCTGGGCTGTTTTCCCAGCTGTGTTTGTACAATGAGGTGGAGAGCTGGTTCCATGTCCCTTGCTGCTCTGACCCTCTGTGCCTCGGTCTCCCCCTGCTGGGCCTGCTCTGGCGTGTGGCAGAGACTCACCTGGTTCTCCGTGGCTGGCTGGCACTCCTCCAGCCTGACCCCAAACGCCCTCGGAGCGGCCTTCTTATTTTTCTTGATGATGTTGATGCCCCAGGGGGTTTTGGGGGCTGCAGCACTGTCATCTGAAGTGGGGGAGACAGAGCCAGAGTGAGCTGGGGTATCCAGGAGGGTCACACACATTCACTGCCACATTCACACATTTGGACGTATGGGGATTCCATCAGAGAAGAAACCAGATGCCCAGGGCTGATGGGACATTGTATGGCAAGAGAGAAGGCCTGAAGGGGAGGATGCTTACCCCAAAGGAGAGGCCCAGAGCAATGCAAGGACTTCCGTGTGGCTCGTGGGCCAAAACTACAAGGCGGAAGCCATAGAACTTTGTTTCTTTAGAGATAGAGTCTCTGTCGCTCAGGCTGTAGTGCAGTGGTATGATCATAGCTCAATGCAGCCTCAAATTCCTGGGCTCAAGCAATCTTCCCTCCCCAGCCTCCCGAGTGGCTGGGACTATAAGCTCATACCACCACACCTGGCTAATTAAAAAAAATTTTTTTTGCCAAGCACAGTGGCTTATGCTTGTAATCCCAGCACTTTGGGAAGCTGAGGCCGGCAGGACCACATGAGGCCAGGAGTTCGAGACCAGCTGGCCAACATGGCAAAACCCTGTCTCTACTAAACATACAAAAATTAGCCGGGCGTGGGCCGGGCGCGGTGGCTTACGCCTGTAATCCCAGCACTATGGGAGGCCGAGGCGGGCGGATCACGAGGTCAGGAGATCGAGACCATCCTGGCTAACACGGTGAAACCCTGTCTCTGCTAAAAATACAAAAAAATTAGCCAGGCGTGGTGGTGGGCGCCTGTAGTCCCAGCTACTCGGGAGGCTGAGGCAGGAGAATGGCGTGAACCCAGGAGGCGGAGCTTGCAGTGAGCCGACATCACACCACTGCACTCCAGCCTGGGCAACAGAGCGAGACTCCGTCTCAAAAAAAAATAAAAAAAAAAAATTAGCCGGGCGTGGTGGCACATGCCTGTAATCCCAGTTACTAGCGGGGCTGAGGCACAAGAATCGCTTGAACCTAAGAGGTGGAGGTTGCAATGAGCTGAGATCACTCCAGCCTGAGTGACAGAATGAGACTCTGTCTCTAAATAAATAAATAATATATAAAAAAAATATTTTGTAGGGATAGGACCTTTCTATGTTACCCAGGCTGGTCTCAAACTCCTGGCCTCAAGCAATCCTCCAGCCTCAGCCTCCCAAAATGATGCTGGGATTATAGGTGTCAGCCACCATGTCTGCTGGCCCAAGGGAACAACTTTCTTTCTTTTTTTTTTTTTTTTTTTTTGAGACAGGGTCTCACTCTGTCACCCAGGCTGGAGTGCAGTGGTGTGATCTCGGCTCACTGCAACCTCCACCTCCCAGGCTCAAGTGATTCTCGTGTCTCAGCCTCCCAAGTAGTTGGGATTACAGGCGCACACCACCACGCCCGGGTACTTTTATTGTATTTTTTTTTTTGAGATGGAGTCTCGCTCTGTCACCCAGGCTAGAGTGCAGTGGCGCGATCTTGGCTCAATGCAAGCTCCGCCTCCCAGGTTCATGCCATTCTCCTGCCTCAGCCTCCTGAGTAGCTGGGACTACAGGTGCCTGCCACCACACCCGGCTAATTTTTTGTATTTTTTAGTAGAGACGGGGTTTCACCGTGTTAGCCAGGATGGTCTCGATCTCCTGACCTCGTGATCCGCCCACCTCGGCCTCCCAAAGTGCTGGGATTACAGGCGTGAGCCATCGCGCCCGGCCTTTTGTATTTTTAGTAGAGTTGGGGTTTCACCATGTTGGTCAGGCTGGTCTTGAACTCCTGACCTCAGGTGATCTGCCCTGCCTTGGCCTCCCAAAGTGCTGGGATTACACGTGTGAGCCACCTTGCCCAGCCAGGTAAGAACTTTCTAACAGCCAAAGGTGAGTGAAATGGGAAAGGTTGCTCTTGGAAAGGGTGGGCCTCTCATCCCTGCAGAGACACCAGCAAAGATTAGAGGACCACCCAGCAGGGATGTCAGGGACGGGAATCAGGCTCCAGGCCCTTCCACCCCGAGACCCTGAGAGCCCCTAGACCCTCACAGGCATGCACACGCAGACAGACATACCGGTAGCCCTGGCACACAGTCAGGCACACATGAGCAGACACAGCCCAACACACACACGCGTGCCCTCCCCTCCCCATGCCCCCTGCCCCCACACACCACCCTGTCTCAGTGGCCACCTTCCTACCCTTGCTCCCTGCGGGCAGGTCCTGAGTCCTGAGGCCACGTGCCGCACTCTGCTTGAGGAACTCAGACTTGAGGCCCCCCAGGCCGCGAGAGCCTTTGGGGGAGGAATCAGCTTTGGGCCCAGAGCTATGGCTGTGTAGGAAAAAGGGGGAGAGGAGAGGTCTTCATTTGGGGTGGCCAAGCAGGCCACCCACCCTGGCCTCCCGCCCCTCGGGACCTCCCCTCCACCCTGAGGCAATGCCTCCATGCCTAACTGCAGCCTGGAGACCCTGGATACCCCTTCCCCCAGCAGAGGGCAGCCCTGGAGGTGGGCCAGGAAGACATCCTTTGCCTTCAGCCCCCTACCACCCCCACAGAGGAGACTGCTCCACGAGGGCTGGGCCTCACCTCACTTTGCGATAATCGTTAAGCTTCTTGCTGATCAGAGCTTGGTTGGCACAGCCGGGGTCCTGAAGCAGGAGAGGAGAGAGCGGATCATGTCAGTGCCCACAGCCAGCCCACCCCAGGGCTCATCCCTAGCCCTGCTTCCCCTCTTGTCCACCTGCCAGGTGGACAGCCCAGACCCTGGAGTGAGAAAGACCAGGCCTGGACTCCCCAGCACCCTCTCACCAGCTGAGGCCTTGGGGAAGCCTCTTAGCCTCTCTGAGCCTCAGTCTCCTCGGTAATAAACATGGGGGGCTAACAGGGAAGGCTCAGGGCCGGGTGCAGAATCATGCAGCACTCGCCACCGTCCTGGCAGACACTGAGCAGGCATGGAGGAGGTGCCCCAGGAGGGACTGCTACTGCCATAGTGATGGTGACTTGGGATCCCCTGACTAAGCCTTGTTGGGGACAGCCAAGAGAGGCCCCCAGAGGAGGAGGCCCAAATTCCAGGTGCCTTCCTCCCTGCAGTGGGGAAAGCTGTTCCCGGGAGAGCAGAGCCTGGTCAGTAAGAGGATGTGACCTCAGCAAGAGGCCATGCACTAGCACCCCCTCCCACGGCCACAGCAGGCCCAGGCCCACTGCCCTCTTGGCAGAGACCCCAGGCCTGGGACGCCCACATGACTTTGTGTGGGTGTCTCAAGGCACTTCTGTGTAGGTTCCTGGCCAAAGAAGTAAACAGGGAGGAATCCCTACCTAGGCCCCTGGAGTGTAGCTATGGCTGACCACAATGGGCACCATTAAAAAAAATTCTTCGGCTGGGCACAGTAGCTCACACCTGTAATCCCAGCACTTTGGGAGGCTGAGGCGGGAGGATCACGAGGTCAGGAGATCAAGACCATCCTGGCTAACACAGTGAAACCCCATCTCTACTAAAAAAAAATTAGCCGGGCATGGTGGCATGCGCCTATAGTCCCAGCTACTCGGGAGGCTAAGGCAGGAGAATCACTTGAACCTGGGAGGCGGAGGTTGCAGTGAGCTGAGATCGCGCCACTGCACTCCAGCCTGGGCAACAGAGCGAGACTCTGCCTCAAAAAAAAAAAAAAATTATCCCAAAATCCCTGCCGAGGCCCTTGGCTCCACCCCTGCCCACCTGTGGCCAAAGGCCAAGCCTCTCGGCCTCCTCACAAGGTCAATGTGCTCATCCTTCTGCAGACAGGCCAGCCCAGTGCAGTTCTGGTGCGGGGACACTCATGCCCTAACACACTCCATAGGAGGCCCCTGCCTTCCTCGCCTGCTGAGAAAAGCTGAGACTGGCCTGGAGCTGACCACTCCACACCGGAGCCTGCTCAAGGCGATCCTAACACAGTCACAATCATCCCTGTCATCATTAGGGTCAGGATGGTGACTGCCGGTCCCCGCACCTGAGGACGCCAGGTCCCCCGTGAGCCCTGCCTGTGCACCCTCCTCACCCCGAAACCTTGGGGGACACAATCACGAGGTGCACTCCTGTCAGCCCCCCTTTCTAGCAGAGGGAAGTGAGGCTCAGAGCGGGCATCCCAGGTCCACAGCCGGTGAGAGGCCACCCCGCCCGCCCTCTGTGGCTGCCGGGCTGGCCGGGCCCTCACCTCGCCCTCGGCCCTGCTGTTCTCCCGGATCGCTCTGATCCAGCCCAGCATGTCATCCCGGTCCTCAGCCTGAAAGAGATATTCACAGAAGTCAGCGGTGGTCAGCCGGAACACGTGCCTCCTCTTGGTCTCGCTGTAGGAGATGTCCACGAGGCAGGAGCCGATGCAGACGGGCGCCGCCTCGTCCTCACCTGCGCCGGCCGCCGCAGCCCCCGCCGCCGCCGGCCCGGGCTCCCGCCGCTCCTTGCTCAGCGAGAGCGAGCGCGCCCGCAGCGCGGCGTACACCCGCTTCCACTGGCGCAGGCCGCTGCCCGCTTTCTGCAGGGAGACACGGGGTTGGGGGAGACAGGAATGGTGAGAGGCCAGTTTTGCCCACTGCTCTCAGAGTAGCAGACAGAGGACAGCCAGGGGATGGACCCCACGCTGCCTACCAGGAGCCCCCTGCTCCACCCGGCTAGACCTGGGCAGCCTCCTGCCCACAGCCCACCAATGCCTTCTCAGCCCCTTGCCTGCCTAGACACCCCTACCCATCATCCTAAAGCCCCCCAGCAGACCCCAACCCTCTCCCCCTCTAAACACCAGCATCAACACTCACCGAGCGGTGGCAATGCTCAGACACCCAGCATGGCCCTCCATACATGAAATCCTGGGGATGCCATTCCCAGCCCACGCCCCTCCCCAGGCTGCCCCTCATCCCAGCAAACCTGCTCAGAAGCCGTCCGCACTCTTAGAGGGTTGTTCTCCCCACTTTCCTGCCGCCCACCCAAGACTCCACTTGCCCAGAAGCTCCTTCTCAGGGACACCCAGAACCGCCATGTGGCCAAAGCCAGTGGCTGCTTCTCCCCAACTTGCCTTAACCCCTCAGCGGCATCTGACACAGCCAGCCCCTCCTTCCCTCTCCAGACCCTATCTCGGCACCTGAGACCCCACGTTCCCAGCTTTCTTCCTAATGCCACTGGCTCCTTCCTAGTCTTCTCTACTTGCCCTCCCCCACCCTCTACACCTGTAGTTAAACAGCCAGGAGACTAGTCCCCACGGGACATTTGTGTGGAGGGAGCTGGAGGGTGTGCTATGGCATCTGAGGGATGCGGCTAAACATTGCACAATGCACAGGACAGCCTCCCCCAACAAGGAATTATCTGGCCCAAAATGTCAGCAGAGCTGAGGGTAAGAGACCCCGCCCTAAAGGAGGCGGAGCTCCAGAACTTTGTCCTGACTCTCCTCTCCTCTCCTCTCCCTGCACACCTCCCTCAAGGATGTCACCTCTGCCGTGCCTTTAAACTAGGTCCATCTGCTGATGGCCATTCCCAAGCCCAGCGTCTCTCCCAGCCACAGCCCGGCACCCCCACCCTGCTCAGTGGCTTCATTTGCAGGTCCCATGGGCACTTTGCACAATACTTGCCAGGCCATGTGATTTCTTACCATCAAACCCCTTCTCCACTCTCCACCCCCATCTTTTCCAGCCCAGTCAATCCATCCAGTTGCCCAGAAACCTGGGAGCTGCCCTTGACTCCTCCCTTTTCCTCGCCCTTGACATCCCATCCATCAGGAAGTCACAACTATTCTGCCTCCAAAACATCCCGTCTCTGTCTTTCCTGCCACCACCCGGTCCACGCCATCAACGCCTCTTGCTTAGAGGATGCACAGACCTTCCCAGTCTCTACTCTCGCTCCTGCAACCATTCTCCAGCAGCAGCTGCAGCGATCATGTTAGAATGAAAAGGAGATCACATCTCTCCCCTGCTCAGCATCCTCTCAAGGGATCCCATCGCCCTCAGAATCAAATCTAAGGTCTCCTGTGGTCTGTCCCTGCCTTTCTCCAAATTCATCTTCACACCTTTCTCACTATGTCAAGCCAGGGGGCCCTTGCAGGTGAGCGAGCCAAGCCTTTCCTTTCTCAGGGCCTCTCCGCTTGCTGTTCCTTTTGCCTAAGCCCCCTCCCTCACTTCTATATGTGGCTGCTTCCTTCTTCCCCTTCAGATCTGAGCTCCAGCATCACCAACGTCACCTCCTCAGTGAGGCCTTCTCTGGCCATATTTTTCCCTCAATGCAGCTCCCGCTTCTGATCAGCTTGATCCTTTCCAAGAACTTACTGCAGCCTCAGGCTGTCCTGGGGACAGGGAGCTTGTCCGTCCTCTCATTTCCATATCCCAGGGCCTACAGCAGCAGCATGCAAGGGCTCATCAATATTTGTTGAATAAATGAATTAATGATCCTTGGAGCACCCTGAGGGCAGGAGCTCCATCTCCCATCAGACCAAGAGCTCCTCTCTGCTGGCTGGTGGCTCCACATCCAGCACAGGCCTCAGCTCTCCGAACAAACCAGACAAAGAGACCCCGTGGCTGGCAGATGGGCACAGCCCACATCTGGCCTCCCATCGTGTGGATCCTGAGCTGTGAGCCCTGCTCATCACAGAACTGCTGGATGGGGACAGGGACATTCAGAGCAGGAGACAGCAGAGCCCTCCAGGGAGAATTTTAATGTGACAGTGAGGTGGTGACAAGGGCACCTCTCTGAGGCTAAACCAGAGGCATAACCTAGGACAAGTCAACCGCACTCCCAGGCCTCAGTGTCTCCGGCTGGTAAATGAGTGAGAGAGTTGGTCACCAAGGCTGCATGCAGCTCCCATGCTGGGGCTGAGGCTGCGGGGACAAGTCACTGTCCCTTTCCCTCCTCTGCCTGACAGTCCGTGTCTCTGAAAGAGGCTGGGGCTGGGAGGGAGCACAGAGAGGGTGCCCACGGCCTGGGTGGACCAAGGGCCTGAGGCTGACTTGAAGACTCTCCTCTAACGTCCAGGCCACGGCACCAAGAGAACAAGTGATATCGGGTTTTGGCCAGCAAGGGAGTGGAGGCCTGGTCCTCCAGAACTGGCCAGTGAGCAGGAAGGGGACAGCTCCTGTCCCTGAACTGGGCTCAGGGCCCCCAGGAGCTGAGGGTCAGGCTCCCCGGCAGGGGGAGCCAGCCACCCTCACAAGGACCCTTCATGTGGCTCACACGTTAGACTGGAAGGGCTGGCCCACACGTGGCTCTCCTCGCACAGTGCACATGGCTGGTCCCTCCTTGCCTCATGGCTCCCACCCCATGGGTCACTGCCAACTTGCTGGCTCTTTTTGGTCTCTGTCAGCCTCCCCGGCCCCCCCACTTCTCTCAAGGCTCAGCCGGGTCTCTTGCCTTCTTCCTTCAAGCCCCTGCACAGAGGCACAGGTAACTCGTCGGTGCTGACAGACAAAGGCCATCCCCAGGTGGGCCTCCCTCTAGTGCCACGCCCTCAGAGCCTCTGTCCCCAGGACACCTCCACTGGGGTCTGTCCCAGGGCCCTCAGACTCACATAGCCCCAGTGGAGCCACTTGGCTTCCTCTCCCCAAACCTGTTCCTCCAGTATGCCATGGCCCAGGGAGGGTCCCACCACCCACCACCCTCCCTCAGCCCAAGCCAGGAATCCAGGAACCTTATCGCCTCCTCCTCCTTCCATACCTCCCAGCAGCCGGCAAGCCCTGGCCCTCCTTCCCCTGGAATCTCTCTCTAAAGTGTCTGCTCCACCCGGCCTCACACCACTGCCTTGGGTCAGGGCCCCCAGCCTCACTCACCTGGACAAGGGCAATGGGATTGGCTCCTCCTGTCACAGACATAACCCCAGTCTCCTGCCATCCCCAGCCCACATTTAAAACCCTGGACAGAGCTGGGCACGGTGGCTCACGCCTGTAATCCAAGCACTTTGGGAGGCCAAGGCAGGCAGATCACTTGAGGTCAGGAGTTCAAGACCAGCCTGGCCAACATAGTGAAACCCAGTCTCTACTAAAACTACAAAAATTAGCTGGGTGTGGTAGCAGGCGCCTGTAGTCCTAGCTACTCAGGAGGCTGAGGCTCGAGAATTGCTTGAACCTGGGGGGCGGAGGTTGCAGTGAGCTGAGATCGTACCACTGTACTCCAGCCTGGGCAACAGAGTGAAACTCCGTCTCAAAAATAGATAAAATAAAATAAAATAATAAAACCCTGGACAGGCTCTTCCTGGGTATCAAGGCCCCACACTCTGGGCAGGCACCCAATTCCCCAGCTCATCTTCCACCTCTCGCCCTGGCTCCCAGCACCCCTCTCCCCAGGACCCTCTAAGGAGACATCTTCCCTGTCAGGCCCCTCCACTGTCTCCCAGTTTTGTGGCTTCTCACCCTTTCGTGTCTCAGCCTCTGGATACCTCCCTACCCACGCCCACCCGCCCCCGCACCCCGGCATCACGGCAGTCTGTGCACTTGGAACCATGACGCCACATGCGTTCTCTCTGCTCAACAGGAGCGACAGGAGCCCCAGGAGGGCAGGGCTGCCCTGGCTCCCTTACCACTAACTCCCCAGAACCTCCACGGAGGCTCCCGAGCAGGGCGGCCTTAGTCATTCTCCACAGAGGAGCGCCAGTCCCGCCTCGACTTCACCCTCACTTAATCCACAGCAGCCCTTGGGGTAGGATAACATTGTTCCCATCGTACAGATCAGAAAGTGAGGCTCAGGGAAGGTAAGTGGGGTGCCCAAAGCCACGTGCTTGATATGTGGCCGGATAGGAACTCAAAGTCTGTCTGCTTCAAAGCTTATGTTCTTTCCAGGGACCCCCAAGACCCCAGAAGGCAGGGTAGAAAATTCAAATAGCAGTAAGCGGGCTGGGCACGGTGGCTCACGCCTGTAATCCCAGCACTTTGGGAGGCCGAGGCAGACACATAATTTGAGGTCAGGAGTTCGAGACCAGCCTGACCAACATGGTGAAACTCCGTCTCTACTAAAAAAATACAAAAAAAAAAAAAAAAAAAATTAGCCGGGTTTGGTGGTGAGTGCCTGTAGTCCCAGCTACCCAGGAGGCTGAGGCTGGAGAATTGCTTGAACCCAGGAGGTGGAGGTTGTAGTGAGCCGAGATCACGCCACTGCACTCCAGCCTGGGCAACAGAGCGAGACTCCGTCTCAAAAAAAGAAAACAAATAGCAGTAAGCAGAAGTACAGCAGCTTCAAGTGCCGGGCACTGGGTAAACCCTTTACTTAGATCATCTCATTTAATCCTTAGCAATAGGCTTATGAGCTAGGGATTACTGTTAGCTCCATTTACAGGAGAGGACACTGAGTCATGGCCAGGTGAGTCACCCAGGCTCTCAGAGCAATGGGTGATGCAGTCAAGAGTCAAACCCGGGTTCATCCTAATCGCCAGGAGGGAAGGCAGTGGTCTCTCCTCCCACTTCTCCAGCCCACAGCGCAGCCTGGGGCCAGGATTTGCACCCCATGGATCCAGGGGCCCTGCCCTTCTCCTCTCAGAGTCCTGCTGGTTCCCTCCCAGGCCCTCCCCAACTACTCCCCGAAGCCCCCTTCGCCTCTCATCTGGATCTCCACGGTGGCTCCTAATTGGTCTTCTTGCCTCCAGCATGGCCCCTCCCTAACTCACTCCCAGGGAGCCAAATGAATATTTTAAAGCTGTAACTCCCTTGGCAAGAGCCCCCGAGAGCTTTTGGTTGCCCTTAGGATGAACACTAAGCCCTTTGCTGGCTTGCCTGCGTCTTCTTGGGCCTTAGCTCTCCTACGGAAATCACCCCGGCCTTGCTCCTTGTTTTCCATGAGCCCCAGCGGCCATCTTCAGGATGGCCTGTCAAGCCAGGGCCCGTGTGGGATGGTTTTGCCAGAATATTCCAAGCATGACTCGATCAGATCCATCCCACAGCAAAATCCACCTCTCTTGTTAACTTCTTTTACATAAGTTCTTTAAATCCCCCTGCCAGGAAGTTCTTCCTAGCATCTAACCTCCATCCTTCATGCAACAACCTACACTGGTTCTCTCTGGCTCCAGAGGCTGTCAGGGTAGGCCTAGGAGAGGCTGGAGGGTTCTGCTGGAGCCAGCTTCCACCTCATTCCTCCACCCATCTTACCTTCCCCTTCTTGGTGAGAATCTGCTTATAATACAACCAGCCTTCTCTCCTGATATCGCTGAAGGTCGCATCTGAGAGGTCAGAGGTTGAGTGTCGCTTAGAAGGAGCGTCAGCATCTTCAGAGGTGCCCCAGCTATCCAAGGACTGCAGGGAGACAACAGAGGACAATTTAGGGTGGCTCCCACAATGCCAGCATCTCAGGAACCCCATGGACCACTTGTGGCCGCACAGGCCTGATATATGTCTGTGCTACACCCCGATGTGCTGTGCGACCTCATGGGCATTGCTTGTCCTCTCTGGACCACTTGTGTTGAGGTCATGAGACGTACATAAAGGAGAAGCCAGAAAGGAGGAAAGGCTACGACCTGTCAGCAGACCACACGCCTCACCACACTACAGGAGCCAATTCGGAGCCTCCCATAACTTTATAGACTTAGAAGAATCAAGGAAATGGAGGAAGTGATCGTGTCAACGAGGAGTTAAATAAACAGGGGAAGTGGGAACATCAACAAAGGCTGAGTGAGTGGAGCAGGTAGTCATGTCCACGAGGAGTTAAACAGAGGAAGTGACAGTCTCAACAGGACTCCAGCCAGAGGGCGCAAGTCAAGGGAGAGTTAAGTAAGCAGAAAAAGTGATAAGAAATAAGCTAGGTGCCAATATCACCAGGGTGTTCAACCAACCAATGAGACAGAGCGCTTGACATCAAGATGGCTTTTCCAGTCCATCTATAATCAAAAACAGCCAGGGAAAGGTGGGGCGGGCACGCTGGCTCATGCCTGTAATCCCAGCACTTTGGGAAGCTGAGACAGGTGGATCACTTGAGGTCAGGAGTTCAAGATCAGCCTGGCCAACATGGTGAAACCCCATCTCTACTAAAAACACAAAAATTAGCCAGGTGTGGTGGCGCATGCCTGTAATCCCAGCTACTCAGGAGGCTGAGGCACGAGAATCGGTTGAACCCAGGAGGTGGAGGTTGCAGTGAGCTGAGATCGTGCCACTGCACTCCAGCCTGGGCAATAGAGTGAGACTCCATCTCAAAAAAAAAAAAAGAAAGAAAAATCATGCATGAAAAATATATATATGATTTTAAAAACAAAAATATGTCCAGGTGTGATGGCTTATGCCTGTAATCCCAGCATTTTGGGAGACCGAAGCAAGAAAATCATTTGAGGCCAGGTGCGGTGGCTCACGCCTGTAATCCCAACACTTTGGGAGGCCGAGGTGGGTGGATCACCTGACGTCAGGAGTTCGAGACCAGTCTGGCCAACATGGTGAAACCCAGTCTCTATTAAAAATACAAAAATTACCCAGGCGTGGTGGCACACGCCTGTAATCCCAGCTGCTCGGGAGGCTGAGGCAGGAGAATAGCTTGAACCCAGAAGGTGGAGGTTGCAGTGAGCCAAGATCATGCCACTGCACTCCAGACTGGGCAATGGAGTGAGACTCTGTCTCAAAACAAACAAACAGCCAGGGCTATCACAGGCCTGATCCTGCCTCCCCAGGTCCTGAGGCTGGGAACTCTACCTGTCCACCAGTCTCAACCCTGTGTCCCGGCCACACCTTTCCAGTGTCCACCCCGACCCCATCCCATGAAGACAAGACGCGATGCAAATACTGACTGAGGGTAGTGAAGGAAACAAATGAAGCCCCAAATATAAGTTCAGGGAGCTTCTATTCTAGCTGGGGAGCCAGGCAGGGAGGAAGGGAAACACCAATTGTGCATGAGGCGTGCTGAGGAGGAAAACATAGAGTAGCGAAGGGAGGCGTGAAATGTCAGGAGCGGAGGCTGGAATTTCAGGGAAGACCTAAAAAGCCGCGAAGACAGGGGAGAAGTGAGTCATGTGGCTATGGGGGATGGGTCTGGAAAGAGGCAGTCCAGACGAGGGCCCATGGGCGGGGCTGCATGGTGTCATTCAGGGATGTCGGGGCCCACAGCAGAGGGCGGGTCCCGCGGTGGACACGAGGGTGAGGGGTGCAGGGAGGAGGAGGAAGGCAGGAGCTGGAGCAGGAACCCCCATGCCGAGGCTGTGGCCCCACCTCCCTGACACCCTCTCTCCCCACACCCTCGCTCCTGCGCACGCACACACACTTGCAGCTCTCACCCCGTCGGTGAAGAAGCTCCGGAGCATCCGCAGGCTGGGTATGCGGTTTGGCAGGCGCCTGGAAAGCGAGGGTCGAGGGTGAGGGATGTGGGCAGCAAAGCTGGGACCTCACTATCTCGTCACCCACCAAACCCCAAGCCCAGAAGCCTTCCAGCGGGGGAGGCACACTGTCCCATGCATAGAGGACCCCCAGGGCCAAGAGCCCTGCCCCAGAGCAGCTGGCCACGGTGGCTGTGGCCACCCCACCCCGTGTCCGGACAGGGCCTCACCGCAGAACCCGGCCCTCGTCGCGGAAGGTGTTGAGTCCATCATCGCAGGACTTGGAGCGCTCCGTGGTGATGGCCAGCAGGTAGGAGGAGCGGCGGCCAGCCTTGATGCTGCCTGCAAAGCCGCCCACATCGGGCCTCAGGGTCAGCGGGGCAGCAGGTCAGGGGCTTCCCAGAGCCCTCCCTTCTGGGCAGGGGCAGGAGGTGACTCTCCCAAGGGGCCGCAGGAGAAGCGGAAACCAGAGGAAGAGGCCAGACATCAAGCAGCAGGCCCAACAGAGACCCCTGGGACTGGGCAGCGAGGGAGAGGGTGGGGCTGGGGGTGTGGGGAGTGCTCACTGCAGTCCTGCGAGTAATGGCGTCCGAGGGTGAAAGTGAAGGTCGGGGAAGATGGGCTGGTGCCCAGGACAGGGGCTGAGTTCATGGCACTGGAGACCACAGCAGAGGCAGGGACGTGCTTGGCTTGGAGGTCAATGCTGGGGCTGGTGGGCTCATCTATGCATGTGGAAGGAGAAAGGTGTGAAGGCAGCAGACAGCGGAGCCTGCCTGCCTCCACCCTAGCCTTGCCAGCCCCCGTGCCACTCGCCTCCAGGCTCAGACACATCCCAAAGGGTCCTGCTGGCAACATGCCCACTGTCAAGCATGACTGGCCCACTGTCCAGACTGTGGCCATGGAATCCTTACCCTCAGGAGTGGGGCTGAGCCACCCTCCTTAGACCGGGCTCCAGAGGACAGAGCCAATATTCCCCCATCAGACTGGGAGCCTGCTGAGGGCAGGGACGGTGTCTCCCTCATCAGACTGAGGGCACTCAGAGAGAATGAATTATGTCTCCCCTCTCAGACCAAGAGCCTCCTGAGGGCAGGGGCAGTGTCTTCCCCATCAGACTGAGAGCTTCCTAAGGGCAAAAGCTCCCCCATCAGCTGGGGCTCCTCAAGGGCAGAGATGACATCTCCCCCTCAAACAGACTGCGCTGTGGAAGAAGAGACTGCCTCTCCCGGCCACAGCCTAGAGCCTTCCTTACTAGCAGAAGGGGCTGTGTCTCTGCTCCACCGAAGGCTGGCTGGGGGAGCCAGGGCTGTGTCTTCCCCCTGCCCCAGGCCTCCTCCCTCTCACTGTCTGGTAGGGTGAGCTCATCTCCCATCTACCACCATCCCTCTCCATTACCCTGCATCTTGCTCTTTCTCCCCAGCCCCGTCTATCCTGCTCCCTCTTGGACACCTCATATTCAACAGTCCTGAACTTTGTCCCCCTCTCACTCCCAACACGGGGGTGAGGCACCACCCCCAAGCC
This sequence comes from Homo sapiens, assembly GCF_000001405.40. Classification (NCBI taxonomy): domain Eukaryota; kingdom Metazoa; phylum Chordata; class Mammalia; order Primates; family Hominidae; genus Homo; species Homo sapiens. The sequence continues at coordinate 2,503,654 of NT_187614.1, read as the reverse complement.
CGGCCAGAAACCTGGGCATCACCCAGCCACTCTACTCTCTTGCCTCTCCCTCTCCTGCATCCAGTCGAAGGCAAGGCAAGCCTTAGAGGGTTCCCTCTGCTCTCAAAAGCCAACCCCAGTGACTAATGAGACCCTTGGGCCTGAAAGGGTCCTCACAACCTGGAAGGGGGTCCTGCCTCTCTCCCTTCAGGGTCTTTGCATATTCTATTCCCTCTCCTTGAATATTCTTCCCCTGATAAACTCCTTCTCATCCTTCAAGTCTTAGCCCAAATGTTCTTTCTCCAAGATTCTCACCATAGCCCTTCTCTGAGCCCTTCTCCTCAAGCTCCCTGTCCCACGACACGCCCATCCCAATGGATTGTCCCTGCATGTCCAACACCCTCTGCTGGGCCATCCAGTCCAGGAGAGCATGGAGCCATGCACAGGGCCTGACACAAATATCTGTTGAGTCGATGGAGGGATGGAGGGTGGATGGAAAGGACAAAGAGGGAAAGATACAAAGGGAAGATGGAAGGAAGAATGGGAGAATGGAAGGAAGAGTCAAAGGAAAGAAAGATGGATGAATGGGTGGAAGAAAGGATGGAACAAATGAATGAACAAAAGAAGGAGGGAGAGAGGAAGGAAAGAAGGAAGAATAGATGGATGGATAGATGGATGAATGGATGGAACAAATGAATGAACAAAGGAGGGAGAGAGGAAGGAAAGAAGGAAGGAAGAACAGATGATGGATGGATGGATGGATGGGGAGAGGGAAAAAAGAAAGAGTGCATGGAAAGATGCTGAAAGGATAAATGAATGAGAGGTAGGATGGAAGAAAGGATGACAGAGAACAGAAAGAAAGATGGAAGAACAGATGGATGGATGGATGAACAGATGAATGAATTGACAGAGAAACAAGATGATCCCACCAGCACCCAGCCGAATTCTGCCCATGGCAGACAGGCAGATGGGGTACAGCAGGACACAGACAGCCGACAGCTAAGTCCTCCAGGACAGCCACATGTACCATCACTCACCAATAAAGGGGATGGAAGCCAGAGAGTCTTCGGTGGTGGCCAAAGGGGCCACCTTCCTGCCCAGGCGTTCCCCTCGCCCACTGGCCTCTGGCTCTGGGGACTCGTCACCAAATCCAAGGTTCATCTGTCTTGCGGGGGTCAGCTGAACCTTGCGGCCCGTCGGGGGCTTCTGCCTCAGGACCACCTCATCGCCGCGATCCTCCGCAGGAGGCTCCAGGGCCCGGGTGCTGGGTTCCGGCCGTACAACCCTGGGTGGCTCGGAGGCCTCTGGTGGGAATGACGCAGGGGACTGGGCCAGGTTGAAGGTAGGCAGCCCCCCAAAGGGTGAGTCCCGGAAGGAGAGCGCATGGAGGAGGCCGGTCCGGCGCTGGAATGATGGGCTGTAGCTCCGGTAGCCGATGTACCCGAGGTCATCCAGGCCCTGCAGGCCAGACGGGGGTGGGGCCTGGGGCCCTGGCAGGTCCCGAGTTGGGCAGGCGGGGGTGCGGGCAGACGAACGCTGGGAAGCCCAGCCACACCGCTCAAAGCGGGGTGACACCAGTGCCCCTGGCCCCAGTGCCTCGGCAGAACGGGTGGCCCGGCTCAAGTAGTCATCTGAGCGAGCTCGGTGCCAGCCCTCCTGGCCCAGCTGGCTCAAAGCATCCTGGGAGGTGGAGCAGGGCCACGGGCGGGGGGCAGCCACCTCCTCCAACCGGTCCTGGGAGGCGCTGCGGGCCCGGGGGGCCATGGCTGGGCACCGTCTCTCCCCCGCCCGGCGGGGTACCTGGTTTGACAGCCAGTGTGACAAGGCCTGCTGGCACTCCAGTCTGCTGGGGGGCACCCGGCTGCCAGGCTCTGGGAAGGCACGGGGCGTCCGGGGCTCCGAGGAGAGGTGGGGGAAGGCACCAGGGCTGGGGCGGGGCTGGCTCATCCCCAAGGAAGAGTTGTCCAGGTGGGCACGGGCAGCAGGTGGCACACGGAGCCCCGGGTCACTCCAGGCAGCAGGACTCCGGGGGTCACTGGGCAGTGCTGAGGTGGGCTCAGGCACCATAGTGGCCCTGGTGGAGGCCCGGGCAGGAGGGGCGTAGGTCTTGCGGGGGTAGCAGATCGGCGGTGGCTCTGGGATGCTGCGGGCCTCTCCAGAATACGGCTCGTTCCCTTTCAGGTAGGCATCCTGGGAGTAGGCCTGGCCAGAGACACAGAGACAGGTAAGCAGGGCCAGACAAGTCCCACAGGGTAGGGGAACGGCAGCCCGAGGAGGTCAAGGAGCCCAGGAGGGAAATGAAGGGAGAGGACCAAGCGGTGGGGGGAACGAGGGAGAGGCATAAGTGGGTGGGGGTGGAAGGGCAGGTCCAGGGAGAGAACAAAGAAGAAGCAAGAAGCCTTTGAGACGCAGGCAAACTCCAGCAAAAGTGGGATTTCGCTAAGACTGTGACAAGGACTGCCCTAGCCACAAACATTCCAGCATCTGTTTCCTGGGGTCCTCCCCCAGTCCTGGCCTCCACCGCCTGCCTGCCCCCTTATGTCCACCAATGCCCAAAGCTCCTCGGGTGGAGCCGGAAAACCCCACCGAGACCAGTCAAGGTGGCAGATGAGAGAAGAAAGCCGGCTAGGGGTGTGTCTGGGTGGGGCAGAGGCTGGCAGAGCCCAGCTGTCCCTCCATCCCCGGGAATGGGGAGCTGGCTCCTGAGCCACAGGGGTGAGAAGGAGTTTGCCCACCTCCTGCCAGGCTTGAAGGAGGGGACTTGAGCCACCTTCTGCCACCCCTGGGCCTGGAATTTGGCACTGGGAGCTGAGGCTGACGCTGCATTGCTAAGGAGTGACAGGGCCAGCGCCCAGGCCCAGCCAAAAAAGGAGTCAGCTCCCAGGGACAGCGGCCTTGTGGCCTGGGCCCAGCCTGGCCCCTGCTGAGCTGCCCAGGAGCCTAACTCAAGGCAAAGAACCAAAGGGTGGGAGGGTGAAACCAAACACACACACACACCACACTACGAGGAGACACTGGAAGATACACACCCAGAGACACACACACACACAGTAAAACACAATGAAACACACACAAATAACTACACCTCCAGTCCCAGGCACAAACATCATGTGATGAGGACAAGCTAAACCACACCCCCGCACACTCAGCCCCCTCCAGCTGGCACAGGGCCGGCACACACATACCTCTCCCTCCTGCCATCCCGCCGTCTCCCCAGGCTCCCGGCATCATCACGGCGGCGGCAGCATCCCAGCCCGCCTCCGCCCACCCCCAGCTCCGGCTAACCCCCCCACTGACCACTGTGTTGCCCTGGCCAGGGCCTCCGGTCCCCCTCCGTCTGCCCTCCCTGCGGCTCCCCCTCACCCCCACCCGACTCTCTCTCGGCTGGCTGGCGGGAGGAGGAGGGAGGAGAGGATGGGTGTGGAGGGGCCTCGCCGCGTCGGTGGTGGCGTCAGCAGCTGCCGAGGCCCGATTGGCCTCCAGCCTTGGCTTCCAACCACAGGAATGCCTGGGCCCCACCCTCCGGCTGGCAGAGATGCGGGGGCCAGTGGAGGCCCCCAGATGCTGTCATCTGGCGCTGCCAGCCCACCCCAGCCTGGGCAGCAGAACTTGAGGCTACTGCCCTTCCCACTCCTTGCCCCTGCCAACTGGAGAGAGTGGGGGACACCCTAGGGTCCCACCCTGTCACTCCCCCATAGCTGGCCTCGCCTCAGCCTGGGGGAGCTGTACAGGCAGGGCCTTGAGACTTGGGGTAAGCAGTCCACCTCAGATCCCCCCCTCCTTCCTCCCTCTCCCCAGGAAGAGCAAGGGGACAATCGAGGTCAGGGGTGGAGGTTTCCAGAAGGGCATCATGCCAGGCATGGCACTGTGATTACAGTGATTAGGAGAGTGCGTCCAAGGCAGAAGCCAGCACAGCGGCTCCCAGGGCCTCCCCAGGGACAGTGACCTCAGGGGCAAGTAAGCCGCCATCTGGCTGGGACCCATGAGACCAGGGAGGTGGGCACTGGGCAAAGCGGACCGCCGGGGCTCCAGGCACAAAGAGGCAGTGTGTGAGTGTGAGTGTGTGTGTGTGTGTGTGGAAGGGTATGCTTGGGAGTGCAGGGCCTGCTTCGTGCAGTGTCTGGGCCACGCTCTCTGTGTGGCAGGCTGGATGCTGTCTTCTAGGTATGCTGAGGTGTCGAATGTATAAATTTGGAGTCCTGTGACACGGGTGGGCGCACGTGCTGAGATGGGCAGGAGGATGCCGCGGTGTTTGCGAGCATACATGTTGTGATAGTGCGGCGTGGGTGTGTAGTTGTGGAGGTCCGAGTGTGCAAGGTACTATGCTGTTTGTACTGCAGGGAGCCAAGGGGCTGGTGAGTGTGTCGTGTTTTAATGTTTGTGGGTGTGTGTTGTGGTGCACTTCGCTGTATGAGGGTGAACTGTGGCAGTGGGTGCTTGTGTGGTTGTCTGTATTGCGGCACGTGCCTGGTGCTGCATGTGTGTTGTGGTGTGCTTCGTGCTATACAGAGGGTGGGACTGTGGGGCTGTGCTGTGTGGCTGTGTACTGCTCGGGTACTGTGTGGTGCACATGACGGTGGGTGGGGTGCAGTGTGCTGAGCAGTGTTCGATGTGTGCTCGGTGCCTGTGTGGACACACCCACCAGAGACACCCTCACTCAGGGCCAGACAGGGAGGGGGTGCAGGGAAGAGGCATCTCTCCTAGGAGCTGACAAGAACGTGCCAGGCTGGCAGAGCCTGCTGGGCCACCCTCCTTCCAGATACCCTGGCAGGAATCCTGCCTGCCAAGGCCAGGTCTCCCGCTCCCCCAGCACAGAGCAGCTCCGAATGAAGCAACAACCAGCCCCAGCCCAGGGAGGGGCCTGGCATCCCCAACTGGGCAATGTCGGCCTGTGCCCTCCAAACACTTCCTTCTCTGCCTCCCAGGGGAGCCGGTGCTGCCCCAGGGCTCAGGGGTCTCCTCTCAGGCCACAGGGGCTGGACTCACCAGCTGGAGGATGTCCTCGTCCTTGGGCATGATAGACAGCTCCAGAGTGTCATCACTACAGAGACAGGCAGAACGTCAGGCTGGGTCAAGGAACAGGGTCCAGGAGGAAGGGATCCTGGTCTCCAGGGCATCCCCAGGGCAAAGGGGAGGGGAGATAATATGGGACGAGGGGTCAGGGACACTCACCTATTCTGGATCAGAGCTATGACCTGAGAGTAGGTCTTCCCAATGACGCTTTCCCCATTCACCTTTACCAGCCGGTCTCCTGGGGACAAGGAGCGCATGAGTGGTGACCAAAGGGCATCAAAGGCCCCATCTGAGAACCCCTGTACCAGGCATGGCTAACACTGTGGGGACAGGAGCCTCCCCAACACCTGGATCTGAGAATAAAATCCTAGCCAGAAGGTAGAAAGTAGAGCCCAGGTAACTGGGCCAGCTCACCTGTGCGAAGCCCCGCCCTATGGGCAGGGCCGTCTTCCTTCACATTCTTGACAAAGATGGTGTCCATGGGCTCCAGGCGGTACCGGGGGGAGGGTCCTAGTGGGCATCAGCCAGGTTAGCTGGGGGTGGCTGGGGAAGGTCACACCCATGCACAGCTACACACACAGGGGACACACACTCAGAGAATGATTGCACTCGTCCGGTCACAAACATGCACAGGCTCAAACATCCACGAGGACACTGGACAGGTCCATGGAGGCACAGAACCCAACAGGAGGACACAGACCTGGGAGAAAGAAAACCTATGGGGACATACAAAGAGTCACTCCGTAAACACCTCCTGTGTCCTCTTCATGTGCTAAAAACTACACTAAAAAGGATGAACAGGCCAGGCACGGTAGCTCACGCCTGTAATCCCAGTACTTTGGGAGGCCAAGGCGGGTGGATCACTTGAGGTCAGGAGTTCGAGACCAGCCTGGCCAATATGGTGAATCTCTGTCTCTACTAAAAATACAAAAATTAGCTGTGTGTGGTGGCACGCATGCCTGTAATCCCAGCTACTCAGGAGGCTGAGGCAGGAGAAACACTTGAACCTGGGAGGCAGAGGTTGTGGTAAGCCGGGATTGTGCCACTGCACTCCAGCCTGGGTGACAAAGTAAGACACTGTCTCAAAAAAAAAAAAAAAAAAAAAAGGCCGGGTGCGGTGGTTCACGCCTGTAATCCCAGCACTTTGGGAGGCCGAGACAGATCATGAGGTCAGGAGTTCAAGACCAGCCTGGCCAACATGGTGAAACCCTGTCTCTACTAAAAAATAAAAAAATTAGCCGGGCGCGGTGGCGGGCACCTGTAATCCCAGCTACTCAGGAGGCTGAGGCAGAAGAATTGCTTGAACCCGGGAGGTGGAGGTTGCAGTGAGCCCGGATAGCACCACTGCACTCCAGCCTGGGTGACAGAGCAAGACTCCATCTCAAAAGAAAAAAAAAGGATGAACAAGCACAGCCCTTGTCCTTCCAGAGCTCCCTGTCCAGTGGGGGAGGCAGATTCTCACACACACATGTGCAGCACACACAAGTCACGAGACAGAGGAAAGGGCGCCATACAAGAGGCCATAACAGTTCTGAAGACATGTGGCAGAGTCAGACGCCCTCCTCACAGGGATGCCCACTCCCGCAGACCCAGCAAGACACCTAATACTCACATCCCCCACCTCCTCCCTTCCCCAGGCTCAGGGACTCCAAGCAGAGGTCCGAGGCCCCTAGGGTGGGCACAAATCGCATTGCACCCCAACAAAGTTTCTCTGCTCCTAAGTGCTGCTAACTCTAAGCTAACAGAGAAATGGGCCGCTCTAGGTCAGCGGGCTCCTCCCTCATCACGGCCTCTGGATGGGGATGCAGGAGTGTCCTATGGCTGCCCAGCGAAAGCCCCAGTGGCAGAGCAGGAAGGCTGCCAGAGAAGGCACTCTGCCTTGAATAACCTGGGGGCCTGGGTGTCCACCAGGGGCCTCTGGGGAGCAAGAGCCACAGCAAGGGGAGTCAGGCTCACATCATATGAGAGAAAGACCTTGGGGGATCCCTGACTTCCACCAGGACTCCACTGTCTCCGCCTCCAAGGACAGCCTTTGCTCAGCGCTCCCACCACCAGCCCCCAGGCCCTGCAGCCCTGCCCTGCCTTGTTCTAGGCTGGGAGCAGCTTGAGGGCAGGGGCCAGGTGGCAGACACCCATCTGCGCCCCAGAGTGCCGCCCACAGTGTGCCGAGCTCAGCAAACTTCTGTGGAGGAAATGCCCAAGGGAGACAAATGTGCGAAAAGAAAGGGGGAGGACAGAGAGAGTGAGGAGGAGGTGCCCAGAGGGGGCCAGACCAGGGGCACAGACAGGAGCAAAGGCAGGAACAGGAGTCAAGGGAGGGGGGCACAGAAAAGGACAGGCAGTCTTAGGGGAGGACAGGGAGAGACAGGAGCTGGAAGAGGAGTCCTGTGCAGGTCCAGCGCCCGCCAGTCCTCCCTTACCTCCTCCACGGCCTCCATTCTCTTCCTCCTGCAGGGAACAGAGGAGTGGGTGTGGGCGTCAGTCCAGCCCTCAGCAGCCAGGGGTGGCCCAGCTCCAGTGGGCAGGGCCCCTTCAGGTTCCCGCCACCCCTTATCTCCTCCCAAGTAGCCCAGCAGGGGAGGGTGCGGGAGGGGTGTCCGAGGGGCACCAAGTCCGAGGCCAAGTTCCCCAGTGACATGTGCTCCCATCGCCTCAACACCCTAACCATCAGGGAACCCGCAATCCAACAAGTGACCCAAGACCCCTTCCCTGGGGGAGCTCCCAGCCCAACAAGGGAGGCATCACACAGGCTCACACACACAGAAGACGCGGGCAGTCACAGATAGGCACGTGACAAGCGCAAACTACAGCTATCAGCTCCAGGGAATACCAAGGGGAGGACTGATTAGAGTCCTCCTGGGGAGGGGACTCAAAAGACATCTGAGGGTGGCGGGTAGAAGGCACTGTGGACAAGGGAGGCGGGGTGTGCAGACGCTGGCTGGCAGGGATAAGCGCTCACAGCACACCAGGGGCTGAATCGCTGAGTTAAAGGAGAAAGTCAACAACAGCAAGTGACAATACTCAGGCTAAAGCACTCAGGCTTACAGGACAGAAAGAGGGAGCCAATGGAAGTTCTTCTGTGAGAGAGAGTGGAGGTGAAAATGAGAGTTAGGGGAGAGGATTCTGGCACCTGGGTGCAGGGTGTCAAGGGGACCCACTGGGAGGCCTCTGGGATCACCTGGTAGGTGATGGCACTAGACTTTGTGGGGGAATGAGGAAGGAGGGCATGGAGGTCAGAGGAACAGGCTAAGTCAGCTGGATGTGGCATTTTAGAGCTGGATCAGACCTTCAGCGTCATCTCTTCTAACCCTCTCCACACATGTACCCATTGTATAGCTCGCAGGGTATGGTGTGTTCAAGGCCACTCAGAGACTCAGTGGCAGAGCCAGGGCTGGAACCCAGGCCTCTGTGGCACCCCAATGAGGACAGGGTGGGTCACAGGAAAGCTGCTGGGCCCTTCTGGGGAGCAAGCACTCTGCCCCCGTCCTCCTGTGTGGGGTGCACTCCGGCTGATGCAAGCTGACAGCACTGCGAGAGAGTGGCAGAGGCAGACAGATGCATTTGGACGGCTGAGCTCCCTGCAGGCTGCCAGGTGGCAGCATGAAGGACGGGAGAACACAGCCTCCTCCTGCCTCCAGGCCAAAGGCCCCTCCCAGCCCTGGGCAGGTTCTGGAAAGGAGAGGCAGCCTGTCCCTGGCTTGCCTGGCCCTAGGTCTTCCAGCCCTAGACTCTATGCTGTCACGCTTCAGCAGGGTCTCCTGAGAGAAGATGCTGGGGGCAGCAGGAGGGGCATTCTGGGGAAAGAGTGAAGGAAGTACTGGGGGTTCCGGAGAACTAAGGGGCTGGTGTCCTTGGGCATGAAGTAGGGGTCTGTGCCCCCTCCACACTCCATCAGCCCCCACTTATGTTCTTCAGCACAGCTGTAGCCAATGAGAACAGTTATGCAGGAGCCCCAGAGCTTCCGGCATGCATGTGAGAGCTGCACAGTTACATGTACACATGACATGTATTTGCAGACACTATATGCACACAGAGAGATACACACATGCATGTCCATGGCCAGCACGCGATGCACACAGAGAGACATGTGAGCACACGAACACAGACAGTGAAGTCCCCTGTTTGGTTCTCTGATAGGTGGGACCAAGGGGGAGTCCCCCAATAGCTGTACAGGCAGATCCCGGTCCTAGGGAAAGTGGATAGAGGGGTTCATTCACTGCAAAATCAGTGTCTCCTCCCTGCTGGAAAAGAAGTGGTGATGGGAGCAGAGCCCTAGTCGGGGGCTTTGGTTGCTCCCTGGGGCCCCTTCTGTCTTCTTCCCACACTTCTGCTTCGCTGTCAGGGACCCCTCCCCCTAGCTCACAGCCTTGGATTGGGGTCAGGACCCCTGGTTCCTGGACTCAGAGAACACAACGTTTACATTAGGGCAGGAGGGACTCTGAGGGGTCAAGTTGATAAATGTCCTCAGGTTCCAGCAGGAGAAATGGAGCCCAGAGATGGGGAGGCAGCCCCAAATTCACAATGAGTGAGGAGTTGTCCCAGGACCGGAACTCTGGGCTCCTGTGTCCCAGCCTGGGTCTGTTTCCAGCGCACTGAGCTGTGGCCAGCAGGGGCCAGGGGCGTGCTGGGAGGGCTCCCACAGGTGGGCTAGGCCCCTGAGAGCTCACGCTGGAGAGGGGAGGAGCAACCCCAGCTCAGAAGCAGCCGGTAGATCAGGGGTCCCAGGAACTCCCAGACAACTGTTCACCTGCCAGAGACAAGCGTCTGGGGGTGTGAGGTGAGCATCCTGGCTGCCCACCTGCAAGGTCCTTGCCCTGCACCAGCCACCCCTCCCTGTCTCCTGAGAAGCCCCAGGCCACAGTGATTCAAGTGTTTGTCCACGGTCACACAGTACAAATAACCCAGCCAAGGCTGGCACTGCCTCCCTGCAGTCCTCCTCCCCAGGCCACAGCAGAAGGGAGTCAGGCCGGACCCCAGGAAGGACTGCCTCTCTGAGAGGGTGAAAGGACCATGAAGGGGACTGGCACAAAAGAGTCTCCCTCCCTCATGAAAGCTTCCCCAGACCAGGGCAGCGGCGAGCCGGGCATACCTTCAGGCTGCAGTGCACGGCCGACTCGGGTGGGTACACGATGAAGTGGCGCAGAGTGAAGCCAAAGCCGTCCTGGGGACTTTTGTACAGCAGCAGCGTCCTCGGCCCCTGCCAGGGGAAGGGGCGCCTAGGAGAGCACCCATCTCTTGGGCCCAGTGGCAGCTGTGGGAGACAGAGAGGCCAGGCTGAGCGCCCGTGTGGCTGACACTTCTGGCTGTTTGCACCACCTCCTGCAGCCCACAGGACCGGAGGGGCACCAGAAGGGGTCTTTCGCCCTAGGGTTGCCAGGCATCCTCCCTGCCCATGACCTCCTCCTCACCCCTTCCTTACTCTCCCACCTTCATCAGCCCAATAGCTTTTTCCTTCTTTCCTTTCCCCTCAGTCCCCTCATAATGTCTTTGCCCTTGGGAAAATAACTCACTGAAGCAAGTTCATTCAGTTCAGTTCAGCTGAGTTCAGCAAATGTTCACTGAGCACCTACTATGTGCAGGACCCTGGATACAGCCTTCCTGCCCAGGAAGTGCCTGTCGTTGTCTTAGCTCATGCACAATCTCACACACACACATGCACACATATATGCACTCCCAGATAGACACATACTTATGCAGACACAGCCCCAGCCACATACACTCATGTAGACGGAACATACCACAAACATACAGACAAGCATGTGCAAATATGCAGACACACAGATACACACACACAAATGAGTACACATGTGCACACTTTTGTAGACACATAGATATGCACAGAGTTGCACAGAATCAAAGTCCTGCACACACAATGCACATACAGACGCATGCGCATGCATCACAGACATGCAGATACACACATGCACAGCAGACCGGCACACACGCATCCTTCAAGAACAGCAGCAGGAACACAGGGGGAACCAAGAAACAAGAGGGAGCGGACTGGACATCAGACACCTGAAGGGACTTCCTGAGGCTCCAGAGCCCAGCCCAGAGGCCTGGCTGGTTCACCAGAAAGGCTTGGGGTGGCTGGGCGCGGTGGCTCACACCTGTAATCCCAGCACTTTGGGAGGCCAAGGCGGGTGGAGACCAGCCTTTGCCAACATGGTAAAATCCTGTCTCTACCTGTAATCCCAGCACTTTGGGAGACCAAGGCGAGTTCGAGACCAGCCTGGCCAACATGGTGAAACCCTGTCTCTACCAAAAATACAAAAATTAGCCGGGCATGGTGGCTGGCGCCTGTAATCCCAGCTACTCAAGAGGCTGAGGCAGGAGAATCGCTTGAACCCAGGAGGGAGAAGTTGCAGTGAACTGAGAGCGCACCATTGCACTCCAGCCTAGTGACAGAGCGAGACTTCGTCTCAAAAAAAAAAAAGGCTGGAGGTTTCAGAGACACTAAAGCCTCCTGTCAGACCTCCCAAAATTCTCAGGATTCTCCAAGATGATGTGGCAGAGGGTATCTGAAGACAAGAGTTTGGAGGGGGCACACAGGTCTGTTTCTGGGGCAAGAAGAAAAACAGTGCCTGAGACAGGGCTCCCTTTGGGACACAGAGAGGGAAGGTGGGTGACAGGAGGGTGTCAGATAGAGGGTGCTCACGGAGCCCAACTGGGGAAGATGGGAGCCACGGAGAAGCTGCCTGGCTTTGAAAAGCCAAGAGGACCCCTAGAGGACTCTTAAATCCATAACATCATGTGGCCTAACCTCTATGTTGCCCCTAGTCCAAGCCCCTCAGAGGGCAAAAAGCCCTCACCACCAACACTCCTTACTCCCCTCAACTCCTCCTCGGCACCAGGCAGGAAGCATCAGCTGACAGGAGAAAGGCTGAGGGGCTGGGTGTGGAGGAAGAAGCTCATCAGTTCTGGAGTGAGGAGCTCCCGCTTCACTAGCAACATCCCCTTTTGTCCCCTTCTCGTAGCTGGAGAAAGCTCAAATGTCCTGATGCCAATAAGTTCATTCATGGACCATCCACCCTCCTGTCCACACACCCAGTGGAGGGAGACAGCTGCCCTCTGCTAAGGATTTCCGCATGGGGGAGAGCCTGGCTGCTGTCGAGCAGGTCTGGGGAAGAGGCTAGATCCTCCCATCTCAGAAGATTAAAGAAAAATGTGACAGAGACAATAGGCTATAGGCTTGCTTCATACAGCCCCAGGGGACAGAGCCAGGTGGAATATACAAGAGGCTGAGTGGAGCTCCAGGCAAGGGAGACAGACCGTTCTAGACTGTTCTACTCCTATACGGTCTGGAAAACTACCCAGATGAGGCTATGAGTGCCCCCTACCAGACAGGGGCCACGTAAAAGCTGGAAGACCCCCAGTCCAGGAGGTCTCAGCAGGGGTTTTGACATCAGGGGTAGTCCAGCATCTTCCACCTGTAGCTTTAGCCCAGTCTCTCCCACGGTGCCCTGCACCCCCATGGGGGCCTGGGGAGCCCAGAGGAGAAAATTCTCTGGGAATTCTGCTGAGGTCTGAAATCCCCCGGATTTCCCATCTCTGCTGACCTGGCAAGGAACTGATCAGGGAGCGAAAAGGGTCTGGGGGTCCCCTCACCAACTGCCCTCTCCTACCAGAAGCCCCTGCTCCTCCCCAGTGTGGGCTGCCCCCTGCCTGTCCCCCACCCAGGCTCAGAGCTGAGGCTGTTTGCAGGGCCCATTGTTTTGCTGCTGTCCTGGATTAAGGTTCAAGCCACCAGCTGCCCCAGTGACGAGAAGTGGCTGGGACAGGTCCCCGCACGCCCCCCGCCCCTCCCCCAGCACACATCCTGCCTGGAGCTGCCAGCTGCCTGGGGGGGCTGCTCCCTGGGAGGGCCTGCATGGAATCCAGGGTAGGAGGCATGCCTTCCTCTCCGGGTCCCCTCCTCACCAAGCACTACCAGCATTCCCTCCCTTATCTCTACCTCTCCCTTTCCTCTGTTCCTTCCTTCCAGTCCCCTTCCTCCCACCTCTTCCAACTAGGCTCTTGAGAATGTCAGCTACCACACAGCCACAGCTACCACACACCTGCTTGAAGAGGAGACACCAGGACACCCATCAAAAGCCAGAGCTGGCATCTCCCCTGTGGGAAGTTCTTCCTTGTTTAACCTCAATCCTTCATGCTATAATACATGCATGTTTCCTCTCCTCCCCTGTGACCTGGGACAGAACTGAGTCTTGTTCTCATCTTGAGGTGGGGGAAGTGATAGGTGCAAAAACCACAGAAGGAGCCATTGATAACAACTAGAAAGGTGCACAGCTCACACACACAGCTCTGCCTCTCTGACTTAGGCACAGAGACAAGGGGACTGAGAGGGAGTTGCTCAGGGGACACAGGGACATTGCTGATTAAATTCTCCTGGCCTGGATCTATTTCCAAACACTCCCACCCTCATGTCAGGAAAGAAAGAGACGTCCAAAAATACCAGCTGATGGTGACAGCAGGGCAGACGGCCTTAGGCCACAAATTAGGCAGAGGTGGACACGTGGTGGGTTGGCAGCACCAGAAACTAGAACCCAGGAGCCCTGCTCCTCCCCCCGGGAGCATAAAGAGGTCATTGCAGGGAGCACAGTGTTCAGGCCGGGCATGGCGCCCACTGTGACTCACACCCTACCAGCCTGGTCCATCCCGGACATCAGAAACACGGCAGTCCCCCAGCCCAGCCCTGTCAGCCCTGAGAGCACTCACTACCTGCAGTGGCCCGTCTGCCACTCAGCCTCCTCTGCCCACTAGGAAACCCTCGTGTGCCGTGTCCAGGTCCCCTACCAGGGGTGGGGTGGGTCGTGGGCCCTGCTCCATTCAGTGGTGCCTCTGCCTGCCTCGGAACTCGGGGTCCCTGCCCACCCATACCCTCTGGGATTCCTAGAAGCCCCAGCGTCTCTTCAAACGCTCTGGTCCCTTCCATCCTTCCACTGCCTGGAAACCGAGAGGGCTGAGCCCCGTGGAGGCCTCGACCCAGACTGGGGGTTGTCATCCCAGAAGCCCTGGCAGAGCTCCAAGCCACAAATCCTGCCACCCTCAGCCCCATCTCTCAAGTGCCTCACTCACTCCCCGTTCCAGGGGCATCAGTCCTGGAATGCAGGGCGCACACAGCTCAAAGGCCGCAGGGAGTTGGTGACCCAGTCCCACTCAGACCCCGACAAGGCCTGCCCCGGCCCCGGCCCCGGCCCCGCGGCTCTCACCCTGGCCCGGCGCGGCCCGGGCGCGCGGCGGTCGCTGTGGCTGAGGCAGGGCAGCCAGAGGCAGCGCGGTTCCGGGGCGCTGCAGTCCACGCCGACGGCGCGCTCCCAGCGCCAGCCCCCGGCCCCCGCGCGCTCCACGCGCCACACGGCGCTGCCCACCAGCTCCGCGGCCGGCGGGGGCTCCCGGGCCCGGCCACTGCCCCGGCCCCAGTACGCCCCAGGCCGGGCTTCCGGAGACGCGCGCGCCGCGCGGGGGCCCGGGGCCGCTGCTAGGCGCCCGGCAGACGGCGTCCTCGACCCCCCGGGCGGCCGGCGGGCCCCGGGGGTCCCCGCCCGCCCCCCGGAGCCGCGGGCCCGGGGCCCGGGGGCCCCGAAGGGACGGACGGCCCGCGCGGACGGCGGCAGGACGGCTGGATTGGCTCCGCGCCTCCTGCGCCTCCCGGCTGAAGGCGCCCGAGCCCCGACACGCCCGCGAGTCTCGCAGGGCTGACGCCTCCCCCTCCGGGGCGGCCCCTGTCCGCGGCCGCCCAGATCTCACACTCACACCCCACACGCCAGGGCACTACACAGTCCCCCGCACGACCACACCCTCGCACCCTCACACGCAGACGGCAGCCCTGGACCCAGACACGCACTCTCCCCCGGCCCGCACACCTTGCACCCTTCCAGCGCGCGCGCGCACACACACACACACACACACACACACACACACACACACGCACGCATACGCGCGCGCATCAGCCCCATCCACCCAGAGAAACAGCCACACATGCTCCAGGTGTCCCTCACTCTGCTGCACACCCTACCCACTCTGTACAGACCCGCACCACACACATCCACCTGCCCACACACACTCACCCTATGTGGACATACCCCAGAAACACACTATCCCCCCCACACACACAGGACACTCTTCCACATCGTATACACACACCTCAGACATCCGCCCAAGTGTATACGGTCCACATACTCAGAGAGATGCATGTGCAAGCACACCAGACCCACATTTACCCACCCACGCACTCCACACATACCCCACAGGGACCCCCACAACATGGCAGATGCCACGCACACACTGCACAGCTCAGGCACTCCAGGCATGGATGCCACAGCCCCTCGAGTGCTACACACACTGCCCTGCACAGAGTGACAGCCACACACTCTTAAGCGCAGATGGAGTCCCCAACACCCCTGTGGGAACCACCCTCCTTCCCAGGACTCCCTACCCATTAGCTCTACCTAGAGGGTCACTACAAGCTGACAATCATTCAAAGCTGCCCCCTCTCCCACCCCCTGGCATGTGAGCCAGATGGGAAGCGCCATGTTGTGCTAGCCCCTGCCCTGCTCGCCTTCCTGGCTCTTGCTCTTCCCAGGCCCCATCCGGATGGGGCTAGCAGAGGCCTTGGCTAGTGGATGTGTAATCACCATCACCATTTCTAGCCCACTTGACTGTTCACCAACAATATCACCACAGCCACTTACTGTGGCCCGGGGCCATTTCTATGGCCTCATTTGTAGAGAAGGAAACTGAGGTCCAAGAGGACCCAGCTTGTTATGGCAGCACCGGGACTCCAACCCCAGGGCCTCTCATCCCAACTTCTATCCTACACCAAAATCCTAGCCAGCAGCCAGGAAAGCGGGGCAGCTCCAGCCCAACCCCACTCCTGAATCTAGGAGGAGTCCAGGAGGAAGCGTCATAAGGGTTGGGCCTTTTTGAGGCAGCTACCAGAAGGGAGCACCAAGCAGATGCAGCTCCCCTTCCCTCCCATTCCACCATCCACTGTCCCCAGCAAGAACCTGCGGGAGGGTGGCCCAATGGGGAGGTAGGAAATCCAGCAAGGGGGTTGGGGGGGAGATGGAGGGACAGAGATGGGGAGGGGCCTGGGGGCAGAGGGAGGGGAAGGCAGCAGACAACAAAGTGTCAGAAGGTGGAGAAGCAAAGGGACGGGAAGGGAGCCTAGGGGACGGAGGTGGGAGGGGAGGGGGAAGGGAGCAGAGCGGACCACGAGGGAGGTCGGGATCAAGGGAGGGAGGAGGAAGAGAGAGGAAGGGTGAGGGTGAGGCGTGTGGGGGCGGCTGCCTGTGTCAGCCAGGGAGCTGGTTTTGTTCTCCTGTTTCCTGTTTGCTGGGCTCCCCCTCCGTGCAAGAGCTGGACCCCCCACCCCCACCCTGGCGGAAGCCAGATGGGAAGAGTGAGGCTGCCACGAGCTGAGTCAGGAGAGCTTAGGGGGAGAGCGGGAAAGGACTGCAGCCGGGGAGAGCAGGACGCGCCATCTCCATTGGCACCCTCTCCCGCCCCACTTCCATCGCTAGAAAACTAAGGATTCGGTGTTGGGACCACTCCTGCCCTGACCTGCCCTGTGACTCCGTCATACTCTCCAAAGGCCAGACCCTCCTAGACCAGCTGGAACCACCATCAAGATGTCCCCAGCCATGTCAGACTCTGGGGCCCCAGGCGGAGGGCAACCAGATGTCTTCAGCTCCAAGTCTGGCCTCTCCTCCCAGCAAGCAGCCAGTAAGTCCTTTCAGGTGCCTAACTTGCATTCCTCTTGCTGCTAGTCCAGTCCCTGGTTCTAAGGAAATGGAATGACTCTCCCCTCTCATCCCCCATGGAGCCTCTGATGGCCAACAGGTGCTGCTGTGTGCCCAGATCAAGAATCCACCTCTGCGGAATTCAAAACCGCTGAGGGTTCTGGGACAGCAGGGAGGAGAGAGGTGGAGACGCAACATGGGTTTTCTGTGTTCAGACTGCAGAGACCTTGGAAAGGATCAACCATATACAATGTCCATTTCCTGCCCTCTAACCTGGCAGGGGAGCAAGGCCCAGCCAAGGAGGTAACAGATTCCTCCAACACAAACCACACCTTCCTTCCCCACCCCCACCACCTCCACACCCAGCTGCCTCTGTGGGGACTTCAGGGGGAGAGTGCACACAGTGGGGCCTCAAAGGTTATGTAGCTTGAATAAATGATCCTCCAGGCCTGGGGAGCCTCTCCGCTCCCTCCCCCATTTCCTCTGGGAAAGGAATGTGGGGTGGGCCCCAGAGGGTGGTGGCGGAGGGGGCCCAGGGCTGGGAAATACCAGGCGTAGCTGAGATTCTATTCCAAGCCTTCCTGCCTAGCATGAGTCCTCCCCCCACGCCCTGCCCAGCTTCCTCCCCCTGCATCAGAAATTACCCTGCTGAGCTGCCCCTTCCATCCCCCTCTAGTTTGACCAGCTTGCAAAATCCATTCAACCTCATCTTCCTGAGGGTCCCTGGGGAGGGGCTTGAAGGCTGCATCCCCAAAGGGAGGGCATCCAGTCTTCCCTCCTTCCAAGAGATCATTGTCTTTTACCATTTGAAAGCACTTTCACTTGTTCTCATTTGACACCCTAAGAATCAGATAACCAGAGATTTTTTTGATACCCGTTTTTCAGTTACAGAAACTGAGGCTTGGCCAGGCGTGGTGGCTCACACCTGCAATCTCAGCACTGGGAGGCCAAGGTGGGCAGATCGCTTGAGCCCAGGAGTTTGAGACCAGCCCGAGGAACATGGCGAAACCCCATCTCTACAAAAAATACAGAAATTAGCCAAGTGTGGTGGCACGTGTCTGTAGTTTCAGCTACTCAGGAGGCTTAGGTGGGAGGATCACCTGAGCCTGGGAGGTAGAGGTTGCAATGAGCAGAGATTGCTCTCCAGCCAGGGAGACAGAGTGAGACCCTGTCCCAAAATAAATAAATAAATAAGAATAAAATTTAAAAAAGAAACTGAGGCTCAAAGAGAACAAGTGACTAGTTCAAGGACTCATTTTCACTAAGCTGGGACCAGATCCCAGGGTTCTAACCGCTTACCAGATCCTTTTCCATTACCCTCTTGTTTAACCACATCTTGAGTACCTGCTGTGGGCCAGGAGCTGAGATACTTTGGAGAGTCTTTCAGGAATATTGTCCCAGCTCCTGAAACCTTTAGGGATCCCCAAGTTCTAGACTCTGGCCAAAGCCGGCTGCCTTCACCCCCACCAAGGGAGACCCCCACAAACCAAGGGAGCCCTGCTCTCAGGTGCACAGGGCCTCTTCTCTCTGGGAGGTGACAGTTTTTTGAGGGTGGGGCCAGACACCTCCCAGGCTATCCCTCACAGGAGAGGATGGTCTGGACTGGAGGAGTAGAAGCAAGTAGGCACTGGGGAAGGGGAGGAGAGCGTCCTGAGTCCCAAGGGTCAGAGATAGGAGCAAGAAGGAAACTGACGTGTTGCAGGGCGTGTGGTTAAGGAAGTGAGAGAGGGGCTCAGGGTCGATTCTGCCTGCTTTTCCTTCCTCCAGCTTGCTCAGCACTCTTCCCAGAATGTGGGCCCCAAACTGCCAGGTGACAAACAATGCCCCCACCCCAAGAGAGTCATCCAGCATGTTTGAAGCTCCATCTGGTCCTGTACACCAGTTGCACACCACCAAACGCAGACCCATGACCACTCCACAACCTCGCACACAGACAGGGCAAATCCCACCACAGATCCGTGCATCCCAGGCATGCAGGCAATGCGATACTGACACATGCCCGCCCCGCCCACGCCTGGGCCTCTGAACCCTGCTCCAGTCTCCTCAGTCAAGGGCGGCGGCCCCCTCAGGCCTCTTCCACCCTTTTGCCCCATTCAGATGCCTGGTTCCCAGCATTGCTTGGGTAGAGACTCCCGCCTGACAAGCCCCAGCAGGCCAAGTTGATGAGCCGGCCAAGCAAGCCTGTGTCTCCGCAGCGCCCTCCATGTACACATAACCCCCATCACCGGGAACCTGGGCACCCCGCACTGGCACTATGTCTGGCCCACGGGTAGGGGATGGTTCCCAGGGTCTCCCCAGACCCAGTGCTCTTCCCCTGTAGGGCCACTCTTGCCCAGGGTTAGGATGGACTGTGCTCCCTCTCCCTCAAACTAGGCCAGAGCCACGGAAGCCTGGGAAGGGAGATGAGGAAGCACTTGTCACTCCAGACATCCCACCACCATCAGGGAGGTGGGCTGAGATAATGCCAAATGCACAAAATCCTCAAAATCTGTCTGGGCATGATGATTCATGCCTATAATCCCAGCACTCTGGGAGGCCAAGGCAGGAGGATCGCTTGAGCCCAGAAGTTCAAGACCAGCCTGGGCAACACAGCGAAACCCCGTCTCTACAAAAAATATAAAAATTAGCCAGGTGTGGTAGTGCATGCCTGTGGTCTCAACTACTCAGGAGGCTGAGGTGGGGAGGATCACCTGAACCCAGGGAGGTCAAGGCTGCAGTGTGAGACCCGGTCTCAAAAAAAAAAAAAAAAAGGCTGGGCAACTTGGCAAGACCCCATCTCTACAAAAAATTTAAAAATTAATCGGGGATGGTGGCGTGCACCTCTGGTCCCAGCTATTCAGGAGGCTAAGGTGGGAAGATCACTTGAGCCCAGGAAGTCAAGGGTGCAGTGAGCTGTGTTCGCGCCACTGCACTCCAGCCTGGGTGACGGACCAAGACCCTGTCTCAAAAAAAAAAAAAAAAAAAAAACTCCCCAAGTTCTTTCAGTGGCAGCACAGCTCAGGGGCTGACACACGGGATCTGGAGTCCTCTGGAGGCTGAGTCAGAGCCCTATCTCTACCACTTTCTAGATATGAGACTTTGGGTGAGTTACTTAACCTCTTTAAGCCTTGGTTCCTCATCAATAAAATGGTAATGACATGTATTTCCACCTCAAAGGTTGTTGGGAGGATTAAGTAAATTAAAGAAAGTCTTAGCACAGGCTCAGAGCACATAGTAGGGATTTAATAAATGCAGGCTGTTTCGACGGCTTTTTGGATAGTCATCACAGTCACACTGACATTCAGACATGCAGACACTCAGCCATGGATACACAAAGACACGGTGACACATGTGGACGCTCATAGACCCAGGCAAGCTCATCCTTCCCGGCATCACCCCCACCTCCCACTGCCAGCCTCAGGTTCCTACAGGCTCTTGACGTGCCCCAGTTCCTCCCAAGCAGGGAGGATTCAGTAGGATCTCCCACTTCCTTGGCTGAACTTTGGCAAGCCCAGAGCACTACCTTATGGGCCCTCTGGGAGTAGGGAAGGGGTGGGCAACATGAGACCCCAGGATGGGGCCTCTCCCAGCAGGCAAGGAGCATGGCAAAGGTGCCAGGCTGGCAGGGTCTCCAGTGCCAGAGGAGGGCCAGTTCCTCCCTCAGGGACAACAGAGGAAGGGGAAACTAAAGAGGAGCCTCTTTCCTCTTGGTGGGAAATGAGCACTTACAGAAAAGGGTGCGTCTAGCCAGCCACAAAGTAAACACCAGGGCCATTGCCCAGGCAACAGCAGGCTGGCATTGGGACAGGGCTTACCACAACCCCTCCGTACCCCTGATTTACCCACTCAGCAGCCCTTGGCTGTCTCTGGGGTCTCCATTCTGGTCTCTAGGCCTGTCTGCAGACTCCTCAAAGGGAAGAAGCTATGCCTCCTCCATCAGACTGTGTGCTCCTTGAAAACAAGGGATTTTTGCCCCACATCAGTCTAGGGTCTCCCAAAAGGCATGGCCTGTGTCTTTCCCCTCAGATTGGAGGATGCCCAAGGGCCTGGCCTGAGTCTCCCCCTTAGACTGAGAGCTCCCTAAGGACAATGGCTGCTGGGTTTTCAGAATGGATTTGCCCTCCTAGAGAGCTTTGTGCATAGCGGGCTCTCAAAAATTATTTCTTTTTTTTTTTTTTTTTTTTTTTTTTTTCAGACGGAGTCTCTGTTGCCCAGGCTGGAGTGAAGTGGCGAGATCTCGGCTCACTGCAACCTCCACCTCCTGTGTTCAAGTGATTCTCCTGCCTCAGCCTCCCGAGTAGCTGGGATTACAGGCACGTGCCACCACGCCCGGCTAAATTTTGTATTTTCAGTGGAGATGGGGTTTCACCATGTTGGCCAGGCTAATCTCGAACTCCTGACCTCAAATGATCCACCCGCCTCGGCCTCCCGAAGTGCTGGGATTACAGGCATGAGCCACCATGCCCAGCTCAAAAATTATTTCTTAATGGTGAGGATGTGGAGAAATTGGATTGCTGTGGGAATGTAAAATGGTGTGTCTGTGGCCAGGCACAGTGGCTCATACCTGTAATCCCAGTGTTTGGGAGGCCAGGAGTGCAAGACCAGCCTGGGAAACATATAGAGACCCCATCTTTATAAAAAATGCAAAATTGGCCAAACGTGATGGCACACACTTGTAGTCCCAGCTACTTGGGAGGCTGAGGTGGGAGGATCCCTTGAACCCAGGAGTTGGAGGCTGCAGTGAGCTATGATGCTATGATCACACTACTGCTCTTCAGCCTGGGCCACAGAGGAAGACTCCCTCTCTAAAAAAGCAATAAAAAATAAATAAATAAAATGGTGGAGTTGCTATGGAAATCAGTATGGCAGTTTCTCAAAAAATTAAACATGGACAGGAGGCTAAGGCAGGAGAATCGCTTGAACCAGGGAGGCGGAGGTTGCAGTGAGCCAAGAGCGCGCCGTTGCACTCCAGCCTGGGCAACAAAAGTGAAACTCCGTCTCAAAAAAAAAAAAAAAAAAATTAAACACAGAATTACCATATGATCCAGTAATTCCACTTCTGGGTATATATCCACAACAACTGAAAGCAGGGATTAGAAGAAATGTTTGTACACCCATGTTTGTAGCAGTGTTATTCACAACAGCCAAGAAATGGAAGCAACCCAAGTGTCCATCTACGGATGAATGGACAAATAAAATGAGGTATATCTATACAATGAAATTGTCTGTATTATTGTATTACATATAATCCATCCATGATATGAATAATAATAATTGTATTATTTAGCCTTTTAAAATAAGTGAAGGCCAGGCGGGGTGGCTTACACCTGTAATCCCAGCACTTTGGGAGGCTGAGGTGGGAGGATTACTTGAACCCAGGAGTTCTAGACCAGCCCGGGCAACATGGTGAAACAACATCTCTCCCAAAAAAAAAAAAAAAAAAAAAAATTAGCCAGGTGTGGTGGCACATACATGTAGTCCCAGCTGCTTGGGAGGCTAAGGTGGGAGGATGGCTTGAGCACAGGAGATGGAGGTTACAATGAGCTGAAATCGCGCCACTACACCTCAGCCTAGGGGAGCCAGACCTTGTCTCAAAAAAAAAAAAAAAGAAAGATATTTGACACATGCTACAATGTGGATGAACCTTGAAGACATTATGCTAAGTGAAAGGATTAATATTGGCTGGGCTTGGTGGCTCACATCTGTAATCCCAGCACCTGTATTCCCAGCACTTTGGGAGGCTGAGGTGGGAGAATCACTTGAGGTCAGGAGTCCAGGGCCAGCCTGGACGACACGGTGAAACCCTGTCTCTACAAAAAATAAAAAAATAGCAGAGCGTGGTAGCATGCACCTATAATCCCAGCTCCTCAGGAAGCTGAGATGGGAGGATCCCTTGAGCCCAGGGCGTCAAGGCTGCAGTGAGCCGTGATCACACCACTGCACTCCAGCCTGGGTGACAAAGCAAGACCCTGTCTCAAAAAAAAAAAAAGGAATGAATGAATAAATATTATATTATTCCACTTACGGTGATAGTGGAATATCACCACTTATGGTGATAACACAATAATATGGATGTACTTAATGCCACTTTACAGTTAAAAATGGTTAAAATTATAAATTTTGTTTTATATATATATATTTTTTCAGATGGAGTTTCGCTCTTGTTGCTCAGGCTGGAGTGTGGAGTGCAATGGCGTGCTCTCAGCTCACTGCAACCTCTGCCTCCCCGGTTCAAGCGATTCTCCTGCCTCAGCCTCCTGAGTAGCTGGGACTACAGATGCGAGCCACCATGCCCAGCTATCTTTTTTTTTTTTTTTTTTTTTTTAAGTAGAGACAGGGTTTCACTGTGTTAGCCAGGATGGTCTCGATCTCCTGATCTCGTGATCTGCCCACCTCGGCTTCCCAAAGTGCTGGGATTACAGGCGTGAGCCACAGCACCCGGCCGTATTATATATTTTGTGATTTTTTTAAAAAGGCCAAGTCAGAAATCAAACACACACACAAAATAAAAGGCCAGGCACGGTGGCTCAGGCCTGTAATCCCAGCACTTTGGAAGGCCGAGGCAGTTGGATCACCTGAGGTCAGGAGTTTGAGACCAGCCTTGCCAACATGGTGAAACCCCATCTCTACTAAAAATACAAAAATTAGCTGGGCGTGATGTCAGGTGCCTGTAATCCCAGCTACTCTGGAGGCTGAGGTAGGAGAATTGCTTGAACCCAGGAGGTGGAGGTTGCAGTGAGCCGAGATCACGCCATTGCACTCCAGCCTGGACGGCAAGAGCAAAACTCTGTCTCAAAAAAAAAAAAAATGTTGAAAGATGAAACAAATGAACAGGTCTCTCCTTGGTGCCCAGGAGAAGTCTCTGCCCACAGAGGTTGCCCAGGAGCTGGGCACCTCCTGCCTGGAAGACCTTTCCCTGCCGTCCCTTCTCCACTGCACCTCCTCAGAGTCTCTACTGTCATCTTTGGAGCCCTAGAGGTCCCCGCACAGGGGGATCGCCCAGCCTGAACCTGGCACGCATCAGGTCCTTGGCGTTGATGGGGGCCTGCCATCCACAGAGGCTGCCATCCCCAGTCATGCACAAACTCTTCCAAGGCTGCCGGCAGGAACTTGGAAGAGTTTTCTTGGCAGAAACCTGGCTCAGTGTGGGGGCCCTCAAACCCACCAAGCACACACATGCCCATTCCAACGCGCCACACGCTCACACCCACCTGTAACATACACACAAGGGTGTGCCCACAGAGACACCGCCGCGTCCTCTCAGGCACTCCTGGAAATGAGCCCGCACAATGAAGGGTGCACATCTCGGCTGCCTGGCAGGCAGGTCCCGTGGCCAGCAGAGCCCCCTGCTGGCCCAGCGCTGGCATGCCTCGTCTCCTTGACAACCCAGAGCGAGCAGAAGGGTCCTCATTCCCTCAACCTCGCTCCCCAGGCCCCTCAGCTCCAACCTGCCCTGGGATCTTCCCCTCCCCATCTCCTACAAAGGAGAAGAATCTCCTGCAGAAGGACAGAGCAACTGTGGAATCTCGGGGTCTCCCTTTGGTCAAGGAGAGAGGCCAGAGCCCCTTTTCAGACTAGACTGGAGCAGTCATTCCTAGAGGCAGGGGAATGCCTGCAATGACTCTTCTCTAAGGTCAGCAGATCCATCCCCTGGTCTCACGCTGGACAGTGCATTTCAGAGGAGACTAGGGGAAAGCTCTAGGTGTGACTCCGCCTGCCCCCCGCCCCCCAGGAGTGCTTCCTGTTGTCTGACAGCCTGGGCAGAGGTAACAGGTGCACACACTGGTTTCCTTCAGGCAAGAGCTGGGTCCCAGTCAAGCTAAGACCATGTCCCCTCCCAGGGCAGGTCTCAGCAGATTCCGAAAGTCTCCCGGGGGCACATGGGGCTCCCTTCAGGGAGAGGCTGTCAGCCCCACCCCTGAAACCACCCACCCCCTCACCCCAGCCCTGCCCATCCCTCCCGGTTACCCCTGCCTTCCCCTTCACACATGTGGCCCTGCCTATGAACTGAACCACTCCCTAATCCAGTCTGTGATGCCCAGAGGCAGCTGGACAGGTGGCAGGGACAGTGGCTCTGCAGGGACAAACAGCCTCCCCTGGGTCACTACCATGAGGGAGCCCCCTGGGCTGGGCTCTCTGGTCAGAAGAAGACAGATGGCATCATCCTCACTCCAGATCCTCCTCCCGCCTCCCCCTGCCAGTTTGCCTGGCCCCACATTTGGGGACAGGATAACAGCCACACAGTCAAGAATACTTGCTGAGTGCTTACTATGCCCCAGGCAGCTGCTGTTAGATGCGCTAACTCATTTAACCAACCTCTGGAAATGAAGGTAGCACCCAGCACCCACCACCTGCAACTCCTGGCTCTCCACCGGGTTGGGTGCTAGGCAGGGAATGCTGGGTGACCTGCAGGGGCACCGAGGCTTGGGGACAGGGAGGATGGTGAGAAAGTGACCACTGTCCTGGCATCAAGAAGGCTAACACAGAGAAAAGGCCACACTTGCCATTGGTACTGGCCCTGGCCCTTTTCTGGCTGTGTGACCTCAAGATCATCACTCAAGGTCACTCAAGTTTCCTTATTTCTTCAGCTATAAAATAAAGACAGAGATAGCAGCCTGAAAAAGTTGCTGAGAACCAAGAATCAGGTATTATGGCCCCAGCGCTCCATCCCCCCATCGGAGTAGACTCTGCTTCCTAGATGTCTCTGGAGTCTGCTCACTTCATTACACCATTGCCCTGCTCCAAGCGGCAGTCACCTCTCTGGCATCTGACAGTCCAGATTGATTATTTTAATATTATGACCACCAGGCCCTGTGGGACGCGCCTTGGCCCCCACACTCACCACACCCTCTTCCTCTGTGCTCTGGCCACCCTGGCCTCCTTCCACCTCCTGTGAGGACCAGGCACCCTTCCAGCCTCGGGTCCTTTGCACATGCTGTTTCTGGAATGCAACCCATGCCCTGATTCACTCCTACCCACCCTGTTGCTCTTAACAAAAATGTCACTTCCCCAGGCACACCTCCTCTGGCCCCAGACCAGGTCAGTTACCTGTGCACCCTCTTGTCAGTGTCTACTTATTTATGAGCTTATTTTGACCAACATCTCCCCACAGGGCTGTAGGTCCTGGAAGGCAAGGACCATGTCTGCTTTGCTGGTGGTCAAATCCCTGGTTCCTGGCCCAGGGTGGGTGCTCTGCACACTGTTTCTAAATGTTGGAGAATGAATGAGCCTTTCCTCAGAGAGTTAGAGGTAACCAGAACCCTGTCCCCAGGAGGGGTCTGGCAGAGGCAGGGGCTTTTTATATCCCCACCCCTTCCTCAGAGGGAACCAGATCCAGAAGTCGGGGGTGCTGGAATAAGGAAGAAAGGGGGGCCGGGCGTGGTGGCTCATGCCTGTAATCACAGAACTTGGGGAGACAGAGGCAGGAGGATCCCTTGAGCCCAGGAGTTTGAGACCAGCCTGGTCAACATAGTAAGACCCCATCTCCACAAAAATAATAGTAAAAATTAGCCAGGTGCCGTGGGGCACGCCTGTAGTCCCAGCTACTTGGGAGGCTGAGGTGGGAGGATTGCTTGAGCCAAGAGTTCAAGGCTGCAGTGAGCCATGGTTGTGCCACTGTACTCCAGCCTGGGCGACAGAGCCAGATCCAGGCTCAAAAAAAAGGAGTGGGGGAGAAAGGGGTGGGGAAAAAGGGGGGAGCTGCTTCAATCCTCTTTGCATCTCTGTGCCCTCACCCCAGCTGGCCACACTCCAGCCACGAGCCCTCCTCGTGGGTTCTGCAACGTGCCAAGCCCTTGTCCTGAGACTCAGAGCCTGCTCCCCACATCCAAGTTCCCCTCTCCCTGGACTATAATACAGTGCCTGCCTGCCCCCTCCCCGTCCCCTTCTTCCCTTGACTCAACCCTTACCCTCCAGGTCTCAGCTTGACTTTCTGAAACGCTTGTTTAACTTAGCAAGCTAAGGAATCTGCCATGGTGCCACAGCTAATGTCAGCTCAGGATTGAAGCTGTGGGCAGAGCCCAGACTCTCGGCCACCTCATTATACGCCTCATCACTACTGGTTTCTCCCTCCAGTCCCCGCCCTCTCTGGGGCCTCAGTTTCCTTATGTGGGCTCTTCCATGATGAGGGACTTGGACATCTGTAGATTTCAGGAAGATTGGTTGAGAGGAAGAAGGTGGGGGAAGAGGTTAAGGGAGGAGGGGAAGGGGGAAAGAGAGAAGAGAGGAGGGAGGGGAGGACAACAGAGGGGTGGCTGCCTTGGGCCAGCCAGACATGAGAAACGCCAAGTATGTGAAGTACGCCAGCCCTGAGCTATGAATAGTGCGCCAGGCTGGCAGCCCAGGTGGGCCTTTCTGCCCCTCCCACGGGAGCTCTGCACAGGGGGCCTGAAATGGGGAATGGGGCATGGGCTGGGGAAGCACACTTGGGGACAGAGCAAGGGGTGTTGTCATGCAAGTGAGATGCAAATACACAGCAGCAGGCAGGTCTGATTGGTGGATCCCTGTGGGGCTGGGAGCATAGGCCGAATGGTCACTCAGCAAAAGGCAGTGCCCAACCTGCAGCACAACCCAGGGCCTCTGCCCACCTGCGCTGTGGCCACTGCAGCTGCATTTCCCAGGCTTGGAGGTTCCTTCTGGTCACCCGTGGCCAAAATCCCACTGACGCTGTGCAGCCTCTGGAGGCCTCTAAAGGTCGTGGTAAGGCTCTGCCTGCCCTGGACACCATCTCTGACCACCCCAGCACCAGGTCAGCCTCTCCTTGGAGCTCACAGGTCTGACAGACAGCTGGGCACCTGGAAATTACGACATCCCCAGTCCCGGCCTCTAGATCCCTCTCCTCATCAGTGATCCCGGTGGGACACACACTGGGCTTAGAGGCTGGAGGCCCAGTCCACGGCCCCTGTCCGGCCACTTGTGTGCCCCCAAAGAAAGCAGTCACCTTCAGAGCCGGTTCCTCTTTCTTTCATTCTAGGACTGTTCACTGGGTGCCACCAAGGGCCTGGCACCGGGCTAGGGGGGCCAGTGACACAAGGGAAGACGAGTCAGAGGCCAGGTTTCAGGTCCCAACTGCATGACCTTGGTCAAGTCCTTTCCCTCTCCAAGCCTCAGTCTCCTCAGCTGTAAACTGGGTCCTGGAGAGGACTCAGCATTGAGTGCCTGGCATGTAGAAGTTGCTCAACAAATCAGTCCCGTAGTCTGAGGATTTTCAAAAACTAACAAAAGCAGTCCCTGGTTTTATAAAACCAAAGACATAGACATGCAACAAATAAAGGTGCTGTAGGGCATAGTGTTTAAAAGTTCCTAAGCAGAGCCTGGGCATAGTGCCTCATGCCTGTAATCCCAGCACTTTGGGAGGCCGAGTTCGGAGGATCACTTGAAGCCAGGAGTTAGACACCAGCTTGGCCAACATGGTGAAACCTTGTCTCTACCAAAAATACAAAAATTAGCCAGATGCAGTGGTGCGTGCCTATAGTTCCAGCTACTCGGGAGGCTGAGGCAGGAGAATCGCTTGAACCCAGGAGGAGGTTGCAGTGAGCAGAGATCACGCCATTGCACTCCAGCCTGGGTGACAGAGCAAGACTGTCTAAAAAAAAAAGTTCCGACTGGGCTCGGTAGCTCAAGCCTGTAATCCCAGCACTCTAGGAGGCCGAGGCAGGCCGATCACCTAAGGTCAGGAGTTAGACCAGCCTGGTCAACACGATGAGACCCCATCTCTACTAAAAATACAAAAATTAGCCGGGCAGGAGAATCGCTTGAACCTGTGAGTTGGAGGTTGAAGTGAGCCAAGATCGCGCCACCGCACTCCAGCCTGGGTGACAGAGCAAGACTTGGTCTCAAAAAAAAAAAAAAAGTTCCTAAGCAGGATTCAGAGGAAGCTGGATTGAATCCTGACTCAGGCCCACTTCCTAGCTGTATGTCACTGGACAAATTACTAACCTCCCTAAGCTTCTGTTTCCACAGTTATTAAATAGAGATAATCCATCGCCCATGGGATTGTTGTGCAGATTAAAGAGACGGTGTGTGTAAAGTGCTCAGCACAGCAGTGTCTGGCCCTGAGGCCCGCAATACAAGTTTGCTATAACCAATACTCCCATTGTTATTATTATTGGTGGGCAATGCAGTGTCAAGTGCTATGGGAACACTCAATTCATCAGTCAGCAGCGTTCACTCAACAGGGCCTGGCCTAGAAGCTGGATATAGAGCAGTGAACAAGACAAAGTCCCTACCCTCACGGGGCACAAGGTCTAGCGCACAGAGGAGGAAGTCGCCATATATTTGAGTGGTGGAGGGAGGCTTTACGGAAGATATTTGAACTGGGCATTGAAAGAGGAATAGGAGTTGGAGAAATGGAAAAGGCAGAGAAGGCCCTTCTAGACAAGGGAAAGAGACGGTACAGCAAGTTTCTGGAAAGGGGAAGAGGGTGACATACTCCCACTCTTTTTTTTTTTTTTAGACAGAGTCTCACTCTTGTCACCCAGGCTGGAGTGCTATGGTGCGATCTCGGCTCACTGCAACCTCCACCTCCCGGGTTCAAGTGATTCTCCTGCCTCAGCCTCCCAAGTAGCTGGGATTTACAGGTGCCCGCCACTACACCCAGCTAATTTTTGTATTTTTATGTATGTATGTATCTATTTATTTATTTTGAGATGGAGTTTCGCTCTATTTGCCCAGGCTGGAGTGCAAAGGTGCAATCTAGGCTCACCACAACCTCTGCCTCCCAGGTTCAAGCGATTCTCCTGCCTCAGCCTTCCTGAGTAGCTGGGATTACAGGTATGTGCCACCACTCCCAGCTAATTTTGTATTTTTAGTAGAGACGGGGTTTCTCCATGTTGGTCAGGCTGGTCTCAAACTCCCGACCTCAGATGATCCGCCCACCTCAGCCTCCCAAAGTGCTGGGATTACAGGTGTGAGCCACCACGCCCAGCCAACATACTCCACTCTTATCCTACCCTTCCAACTGTACCTCCAGTTTCAGCTCCCATCTCCTTTCACCTGGTCTGCTGCCTCCACTGCCCGAGACCCTTGTGTGGCTCCAAAGTAGCTATGGGAGCAAGTTCCTCAGTATGGCATGAGGGATACGACCTGATGGGGGAGGGAAGGGGCGGGATCTGGTCTCATTGGCCTTGCCAACCTGACCTCCTCCCTCTATTCTGGGCCTTGTATTCATCAATCCCTTAAGAGGCCAAGCTGGTTCATGCCTCCTTGCCTGTGCTAATGCTTGGTCCCTCTGCCTGGCACACCCTTCTCTCCCTTCTCCTCCATCCCTTTCTTGCCCCAACAAACATCTTTTTTTTTTTTTTTTTTTTTTGAGACGGAGTCTCACTCTGTCACCAGGCTGGAGTGTGCAGTGGCATGATCTTGGCTCGCTGCAACTTCCACCTCCCAGGTTCAAGTGATTCTCCTGCCTCAGCCCCCCAAGTAGCTGGGACTAAAGGCGCATGCCACCACGCCCAGCTAATTTTTGTATTTTTAGTAGAGATGGGGTTTCACCATGTTGGCCAGGACGGTCTCGATCTCTTGCCCTCGTGATTTGCCCACCTTGGCCCCCAAAAGTGCTGGGATGACAGGCGTGAGCCACCGTGCCTGGCCCTAGCAAACATCTTTCAAGCTTTGGCAAGCCTCATCTCCCCACAGTGAAGCCTTCTTCCCCTGAGAGCTGGACCATCTTTGGAGGAGGCAGGGGCTCAGCCATGTTTATTGACAGAACCCTGGGGTCCCCCACGCCACTCACGAGCAAATCCAGACTCCACACTGAATCACAGAAGACACAGAGAAGCAGAACTTAATCTACATCTCTCTGCACCCACCACCCATTACATCTGCCCTCCCCCCCCTTCGTTATGCCAACCTTTGCTTGGATTTCAGGGCTCAGCTGTGGAAAAGAGGGTCTAACTTCCCTGGGTGAGGGGTGTCCTCCCAGGCTCCTTGTTGTCAGAGAATACAGCAGTCACCACAATGACAGACCTAGGATTCTGAAAGACCCAGCTTTAATATTTTTTGGGGGGGGTAGGGGTGGGTAGGGTCTTGCTCTGTTGTCCAGGCTGGAGTGCAGCAGTGCAATCATAGCTCACTGTAGCCTCAAACTCCTGAGTCCAAGCAATATTCCCAGCTCAGCCTCCCGAGTAGCTGGGACTACAGGTGTGCACCACCACACCTGGCTAATTTTTTAGAGACAGGGTCTTGCTATGTTGCCCATGTTGGTCTCAAATTGATCTTTGGTTCATGCCTGTAATCCCAATACTTTGGGAGACCAAGGCAGGAGGATCACTTGAGCTCAGGAGTTCAAGACCAGCCTAGGCAATATAGGGAGACCCCCATCGCTACAAAAAAATTAGCCAAGCATGGTGGTGTGTGCCTGATTGTGCCACTGCACTCCAGCCTGGGTGACAGAGCAAAACCCTCTCTCAAAAAAAAAAAAAAATCCTGGCGTCAAGCAATCCTCCTGTCGAAGCTTCCCAAGTCTCTGGGATTACAGATGTGAGCCACCATGCCTGGCCCAGCTTGAAATTTGATGCTTGGTGACCTTGAGTGAAGTTATTTGCCCACTCCAGGTCTCAGTCGTTGCATCTGTAATTATACACCCCCTTTATGACGGCACTTGAAAATCGATCAAAAAGGATTTCACTATAGAATCCTCAGGTTAATGATAGATTTGGAAACAGATGAGAGAAAGGAGATTAATCATATCACCAACTGGTTTTTAACCAATCCCTGTGGCAATTCTACCCAGCTTCCGGCTTCCAGTTTTAAACTCCCGTTATCGCCTTTGTGACCACACTCACTTTCCAACGATTACCATGGTGAAGACATTGGCTTGTGTAGGCTGCAGGTCCATCACCCCAGTCAGACTGGGCCGTTTTTACATTAATATTTTTGGCAGGGGGCCCCTGAGGGGTGTTCTGGACTGATCGATGGGCTGGATGCAAATCTTAGAACTCATGGTTCTACAGTCTTTGTGGAGACTTTTTGTCTGGCTTTTGGGCGGTAGGAAAAGCAGACAAGGAGGCCCTTGAGAGCAGGGTTGTTTCTCATTCATCCAGGTCCCAAGAGAGAGCCTGGAACGCAGAGCATGAGCAACCAGTGATCACCACTGACAGTGGGTTCGATTCGGCTCCAGCCCACTGGCGGACTTTCCCAAGCCCTGGGCCTCCCATGCTGGGATCAGGGCCTTCTCCTGCCCCCGGCTGAAATTACGGAGAGGGCAGGAGGGGCACTCTCCTCAGCGTTTTTTTTGGGGGGGTAGGGGTAGCTGAGGGGAATATCCTCAGCATCCCCAGACCACATCCCGTCTCTCAGATAAGGCTTTCCCTAGCACTGGGGGTACCTAGGCCTCTGGGCCACTGGAGAAGAAAAAGCTCCCAGTGGGGAAGGAAGAGGGGCTGTTTCTCCCTCATGTTGGCAACCCCAGCCTGGTTGTGTGGTCCCCATTTTCTGCCTCCTACCCTCTCCTCTTGCAAACATCCCCCCGACCATCTCCTGGGCTCTGGACCCAACCTCAGCTGTCCCCCTCGCCTTCCTTGAAACGTCTAGGTGCTGTGTGGGAGGGGCACAGTGCCAAGGCTTCATTAGAGCTAATGAAGCTCAGCTCTGTGATGCCAGTGCAAGATAACAGTGCGCAGACAGCCTCCATTGCAGCCTGGGGCCTCCGCCCCCTCCTCCACCTCTCTTGGGGAGGAGCCCAGGGCCACACCTCCAGAAGAGGAAAGGGAGATTTATAAGAATCTTCCCAGGCCAGGCACGGTGGCTCACGCCTGTAATCCCAACACTTTGGAAGGCTGAGGCGGGCGGATCACCTGAGGTCAGGAGTTTGAGACCAGCCTGACCAACATGGTGAACGCCCATCTCTACTAAAAATACAAAAAAATTAGCCGGGCATGGTAGAGGGCGCCTGTAATCCCAACTACTCGGGAGGCAGAGGCAGGAGAATCTCTTGAACCCGGGAGAGGTTGCAGTGAGCCGAGATCGCGCCATTGCACCCCAGCCTGGGTGACAAAGCGAGACTCTGTCTCGAAAACAACAACAACAAAAAATTTTCCCCAGTACAGAGACTGCCGTGAGGCCAAGGAGAGATCGGGTTCCAGGGCAAGAAGTACAAACAGCATCAGATTCGGGGGCAAGGTTCTCCCTTGGGCTGCCAAAGGCTCCCCTGTGCATTGCTCAGTCCAAAAGCCTGGGGTGCCCCTTTCTACTTGGACCTTGGGAACTCACCAGCAGGAACCACTCCTTCCTCTCCCTCTTTTCATGGAATCACCGCAGGTCAGAGCTGAAGGGACTCTGGGCACTTCTCTACAACCCTCTTATGACAACTCAACAACCTGAGGCCCCTTCCTCCTCCCACTTGGCATCCATCCTCTCAAGCAATCCTCCTGTCTCAGCCTCCCGAGTAGCTGAGACTACAGGTGTGAGCCACCATAGTCCCTACAGTTCCAACCACACAGGGCTGGCTTCCTTCCACTCTTGCTGGTCCCT
The DNA here is from genome assembly GCF_000001405.40 of Homo sapiens. Lineage (NCBI taxonomy): Eukaryota > Metazoa > Chordata > Mammalia > Primates > Hominidae > Homo > Homo sapiens. Next base: position 2,470,469 of record NT_187614.1, on the reverse strand, counting down.
TCCTCTCTGCTCTATCCCCTTGGCCTGTCCCTTCTCTAGGCCTCAGTTTCCCCATGAGGCAAATGGAGAGACAGGGAAGGAGGGTGGCCTCTGATATTCCTCCAGCTGAAGCAAAGGAAGATGTCCCCTCTCTGGGTAGCTTTCCTCCTCCTTCTGTCCCTTTTCAGGAACAATACAGAGTTCCTCCACCTTGAGCATAAGGGAGACTCTATGCGGGAGGTGGGGGTGTCCCCTCCAGCCTCTCCTTCCAGCCTTCGGGGGCTCTCAGAAGCAGGAAAAGCTCTGGATTGCCCAGGTCCCCACCTCTCCCTCCTCCCAAGAGCTCTGAGTCTGGCGTCCACACCCGATTCTTTCCAAGCTCTCACACTTTTGGGGAAATTAAAAAGGAAGAAGCAGCTGTTGATACAGGAGCACAGAGCCAGACAGAAGTCAGATAGGAGACAGAAACACTCTCGGGCCAGAATGAACTCGGCCCCTGCCTAGGTGCACCCCCACTTGGGGCTAAGGCCCCTTGCGTGGTTGTCCTCCCACATGGCTCCCACGCGGTCTCCCAGCCCACCACATTCCTCCGGCCCACACACCTCCGACCAACCTCCACACCCCAAGAGGCCAAGGCCGGGTCTGTTTCTATCCCTCAGGCCTCGGCCCTTGGGTCTCAGTCATCCCCACGCCCCGCCCCATGCTGTCTCTCCTCCCAGGGATTCAGGCCGAGCTTTGAAAGGGTCACTTCAAAGAGGACCTGCCTTCCGAGGGCCTAGCCAGACCCAGGGCCAGCTCCTCGGCCAGATTCCCAGCGGTTGGGGACAAAGGCCCCACTGTTCCCCGACCCCCGGACGCCCCCAAATGCACTGGGCATAAGAAGTCTTTCTTTCCCCAGTTCCGCTCCTTACGGGCCCGGGCTCCTTGCCACCGGGAGTAGCCCTGGCTCCTCCTCCAGGAGAAGCTGGGGGGTTGGCGGGACAGGGAATTACTAGTTTCCCCACTGCCACCACCATACACCCAAACCCCTTGGGCACCCAGGATGATGACAAAATCCAGCCAGGCGCGGTGGCTCACGCTTGTAATCCCAGCACTTCGGGAGGCCAAGGCAAGTGGATCACCTGAGGTCAGGAGTTCGAGACCAGCCTGGCCAACATGCCAGCCAACATGCCGAAACCTTGTCTCTAAAAAAATAAAAAAAATTAGCCAGGTGTAGTGGCACACCTGTAATCCCAGCAGCCCAGGAGACTGAGGCACGAGGATGATGACGCAACCCCGGGGCCAACCTCAGGACCAGTGGCCCAGGCTCCTCTCTGTCCCTCGGCCACCAAGCCCTTCCTGGGCCTAGAATACAATCCCACATTTTCCCACCTATCAGAACCATACCCACCCTTGCAGGCCTCCTCCAGGCAGCCTCTCAGGACTACCTATCCTCTGGGGAGCCTCACAGTCCAAACCATAGCAGCCAACCCCTGATGTTCCCAGAGGCTGGGGACATCTCTGCCTGCTCTCCTCAATGCCCCACAGTAGGAAGTAGGATTCACCTGCTCCTCTAATTTCCTATCATATAGTGCTGATCCCAAGGCAGGGCCCTTAAAGTTTCCTGTGCCAAGCCTTTGCTGAATTCTCTCTAGTGCACATCATTCTCCAGCCTGTGCTTGCCCAGACCTCACTGCACCTCCAGTGATGGGGGCCTCATTACCTCCAGAGGCAGGTCACTTTCTCTTTAGATTGCTCTGACCATAAAGGTCAGTACTTTTTACTGAGGCAAAAGTGCATTGTTCTCATTTCTATCCATTGATTTTTTTTAATAATAGTTGCTACCAATAATTGAGATTACTAAATCTCAGCCACTTTACCAATACTACCTCATTTAGCCCTCTCTGTAATTTTGAGGGATTATTTCAGGGATAAGAAAACCAGCCAGGTGTGGTGGCTCACACCTGTAATCCCCGCACTTTGGGAGGCCAAAGTGGGAGGATCACTTGAGTCCAGGAATTTTGAGACCAGCCTGGGCAACATGGCAAAACCCTGTCTCTATAAAAAATACAAAATGGAAAAATTAGCTGGGCATGGTGGCATGCACCTGTAGTCTCAACTACTCAGGAGGCTGAGGAGGGAGGCTCACTTGATCCCAGGAGTTCAAGGCTGCAGTGTACCAAGCTCACACCACTGCACTTCAGCCTGAGCAACAGAACAAGACCCTGCCTCAAAAGAATAAAAGAAAGCCGAGGCTAAAACAATGAAGTAACTTGTCCAAGGGCACACAGTGAACAAGGAGTACATCTAAAATTTGGACCTCAGCAGGCTGAAGGCAGGCAGAGCTTTTTTGTTTCGTTTGGTTTGGTTTTTTGAGACAGGGTCTCATTATGTTGCCCAGGCTGGAGTGCAGTGGTGCAATCACAGCTCACTGCAGACTCGAACCCCCCAGCTCAAGTGATTTTCCCACTTCCACCACCCGAGTAGCTGGGACTACATGCCCAGCTAATTTTTTTTTTTTTTAAGACTACATTTTGCTCTTGTCACTCAGACTAGAATGCAATGGCGTGATCTTGGCTCATTGCAATCTCCCTCTCCCAGGTTCAAGCGATTCTCCTGCCTCAGGCTCCCAAGTAGCTGGGACTACAGGTGTGTGTCACTTCACCCAGCTAATTTTGTAATTTTAGTAGGGACAGTGTTTCACCATGTTGGCCAGGCTGGTCTCAAACTCCTGACCTCAGGTGATCCACCCGCCTTGGCCTCCCAAAGTGCTGGGATTACAGGTGTCAGCCACTGCTCCTGGCCCCAGCTAATTTTTAAAATTTTTCTGTAGGTATTGGGTCTCCTTGTGTCACCCAGGCTGGTCTCAAACTCCTGAGTCCAAGTGATCCTCCTACCTTGGCCTCCCAAAGTGCTGGGATTACAGGTGTGAGCCACTGTACCCGGCCTGTGTCAGTTTCTTAATCTGTCAAGTGGGGTGATGGTAATATACCAACATAGTGGTAAGCACTATGGAAGAAGTTGCTATTATCATTTTTCTCGGCCTCAAATAACTCCTACCTGGTAGGGTAGACGGATATGAGATGGAACATCACAGTGTCAGGGGTAGAGCTGGGCATGGGGCGCCCTGGGGGGCCACAGGCGGGGCTGTTCCCTGGTTTGTACTTCACAAACATTTATGGAGAACTGCTCTGTGCCAGGCTCTGTGCTGGCCACTGGGGACACAGAGATGAACAGGATACATTGTCCACTCATCCCTGCAGCTCCCTGCCCTCCCCTCTCCCTCTTGGAGCCCAGTCCATGAACCCTGCACTGAGGGGGGCCACGAAGGACAGAACCAACCACAGAGGGAAAGGCATGGCCTGGGAGCTGGGAGTCAGAAGATGGGTCCTTGTCTGCCGAGGCTGAGGGACCTTGGGCACTCCCCAGTCTGTTTCCCCACTGTAGCGTAACAGAGTTGGACACGATCACCCCTTTGGTCCTCACCCACTCTGACAGGTGGTAAATACACCCCAACCCAAAAGGGCTTTAAAATCTCCCCAAAGTCCAGCCCCAAGGCCATCTCAGCCTGATGTCCCACTGAGGCAATGGGGGAGGAGACACCCACCTGGCACAGATTGGTACTGCCCTGCTGACAAACTGGCACAATTTCACAAGAAACAGGGGGGCCTGGATCTGAAGGCGGGTTGTTTGAAGCGGGTGGAGGGTGCTAGGGGAAAGGCAGCACCAGCTCCCACAGGCCCTATTCATGTCTCTCTCCCGAGATGGTGAGAGCAGGATCATTAAAACCAGGCTTTGTCCAAATCCCTGACCAAGCCAATATCTTACCTTTGAACCCCTGCAGCCAACAGAGCAGGGCTTCATGCCCCTTTGGAAGGAAAACACCAGTGAACCGAGCCCTGGCCCAGTGCTATGGGCTAGCATGGGGCAGGGTGGGAAAGATTGGAGGAGTAAAGAAATAGAACAAAAGACAAGCAACTAAGCTGCAATCCAGCCAGAAGCTGACCTTGATCTTGGGCTGTGTAGAAAATGGACACGGATTTGGGGTGGGAGTGACAGCGGGACATAGCAGGTCCTGAGAAGCCAGATAGTGAGGGTGAGAGCCAGACTCTAGAGCCAGACTGCCACATTCCTACCCTGGCTCCACAGTGCACTGGGGGTGTGATTTGGGCTGCAATATTGGCTATGCCTCAGTGTCCTCAACTGTAAAATGGGGATAATAATGGTATCTACCTCTTAGTGGTATTGTGAGGATCAAATGAGGTAGTTTTTATAAATACTGGCCAGGAGTTTTTGCTGTCTGTGTATTAACTATGAGCTATACTGTGAAAGCAACTCCCCTTCCTTAAAAACACATTTTTTGTTTCCAGGCACCAGTGCTCATTTGAATATATTTGCTGGAATATTTGATATCTCCAATGACCATCTCCAGGTTTCTACATTGGAATCCAACTTCACAAGAATCCACTTGACCCACTATACTGGAGGAAACTTCCCTGCATGGCTAGCCTGGGATGCTGTGGGTCACAAGCCCCTCCCTAGAAGTTCTCCTGAGTATCTAACTGCAGTCCCTCACACTGTAACTTCTTCCACGCTGCTGCTTTGTAGTCTCTCTTTTAACCTTACACATCAAGAAGTCCTTCTGAGTATCCCTGCAATGTAGGATGAAGCAATCCACTACCCACTCCTGCACTGCTCTGCTCAGAACCAGCACCCTCCCTCACCCCCACTCCCATCCATGCCAAGAATGCTGCACTTCTTCCCCGTGAGCCAGGGTCAGCCCGAGGAGAGGGGCACAAGCACAGGGCCTCTTCCCCCCACCCAGTCCTTCTCTGCTTGGGCTGGGATCCACACAAGCCTGACCTATTCCCGTAGTCAGACACCTTCCTAACAGCTTTCCTCCCCAAGCTTCATCTTGTGCCCTGACTACCCTCAAGTGTCCTGGGTTCTTGCCTGGGCACTGTCACTACATAGGCTCAGACCCTCTCTGTGAAATGGGACACCAACACCTACCCTGCCCACTCCCATTCTTCCTGTTTATTATTATTGAGGCCTTTGAATCCAGCACTGAATGTAGAGGATTTACTGCTCCCATGGTTCCCAAGAAGAGGTCAGGTCCTCAGATGCAGGATCTTGGAATTCCCAGCCACCTTGGGGTGGACCCAACCACACTGTGGGCAAGTGGAAGAAGCCGCTGGGGCCGGGGGCCTTTGGGCTGCCTTTGGAGGCGAAATGACTGGTTATATAATCGAGATTCAAATCGCATGCCAAGGAGCACATGGCAGTGAGAGCTGTCACTTTGGGGAATGGGGTCTGTTGCCCTGGCAGAGGGGAGAACCACATGGGATCAAAAGCCACTCACCCCCAGCTAGGCCGCAGGGTTGGGGTGGAGACAGAGAGGGGTGCAGGGGATAGAGATGAAGTATGTGTTGCTGGTGGGGGATTGAATCCAAGGGACTCATGCTTGGATTCATGACCTCCACCCCCACCCCCCGTCCATCCTGAATTTCAAGTTCATAATTAGGAAACACACTTTGGCTGAAGGGAGTCGGGGAGAGATGCAGATTGAGGGAGAACTGAACACACATCCAGCAACCAAGGAACACACCAGTCTCCAAAAGAGTTGCAAGCACCAGATCCCACCTTCAACACTGCCGGGAAAGCTGGGGAGGAGGGTCCCCAAGTCTTTCAGCCCTGTCTAAAGAGGAACAGGCCTCAGCCCTGGCCTTGACCTCAACCTGGACCCCGGGGAATTTCTTTTCCGAGCTCAGGGAAACTGTTGGCCTGACAGTGTTCAACCCTTCAACTTAGGAGCAGGGAGGCCTGCTGGGGGGCTCCTGCAGGGCGGGCAGCCAGGCTCAGAGGTAAGGGAATGGCCCTGATGGGGGGATGGGGCTGGGAGGCCCCTGCTGGCCCCTCCCCAGCCTCAGCAGCTGGCAGATGAAAGAACCCAGGCAGAGCAGCCCAGCGCTGAGTAATGCCCCTGGCACCCCGCGCTCTGACCCACCCACAGCCGGTCGGAGAGGGCAGAGGGGAGGGCAGCCTCGCCGGCAGAGCCCGGGGTCCTGGGCCTGTGTCTAGAACTTCCCCAGGATCCAGGAGGGCGGCGGAACCGCGCCTGGCAACCCGTCCCGCAGTCCGACCCGGCAGGGGGCGAGTGTGGCGCGGGGAGGGGGTGTCCGGACGCCTTAGTGGAGGACGTCCCGCTCCGGAACCCCCTCCCCCACCCCCTCTCCCTCCAGCTGTGCCGGGGCCTCGCCAACGGAAAACGAAAACTCGGGCAGAGGAAACGGCGGCAGGCGCCCCGCCTGAAAAACCCGAACAAAAGCCGCGGGCCTCCCGCCCCCGCTGCCCAGCCGCTGGGGGCCTGGCACCGCCACCTGGGTCTGTGCCCCCTGTCCTGACAGCCCCGTGCCCGTCCCGACCCCTTGCCTGCTTCCGTCCTTCCCACCCCTCTACCCCGGACAGCTCTTGCTCGGGCCCCCTCCCGGGCCTGCCACCAGCTGAATCTCCCCGCAGCGGTGCCCGCGGTGCCCGCGCCCACCGTGCGCCCCAGGCTGTGCAGGGCGAGCGGGGTCGCAGCGACCCTGGCTTGGCAGCCCGCTCCCCAGCAGCTACCGGCCCCGCCCACTTCCCTGGCCCAGCACCCTCACCTGTGGGGGCCGGGGCTCCGGGCGGGGCGGGATCCCGACCAGGCAGAAGGCGACTCCATTCATCGGGTGGCAGCGGCGGCTCTGCGGCCGGGGCACGGCTGGGGGCGCCGGCAGGGACCCGGGAGGGGCGGGGCCGGGGGCGGGGCCGAGCGCGGTGTGGGGGGCCCCCCGGGGTCCGCCCCCTCGCCCCTCCCCCTTCCCACCACCCACCCCGCGCTCCCTTCTGGGTGCCCCGGCGGCCTCGCTCAAGGGCCACAGACCTGCAACCGGGCTGAGGCAGAGGCGAGCGCTGCCTGAGAGCTGGACGTCAGAGCCCAGCCTGGCGAAGAGAGGCGGTCTCCAGGAGACGCTTGCCCGGCCTCTAAGGGACCGGCCCAGATAGAGGGCCATCCAGGCCCAGGAAAGAGGACAAGGGCACCGAACCCAGAACTAGCACGGGGATAGGGAGGGAGGGAGAGGGAAGCAAAGAGAAACAGCCAGCCAGAGATGGTCAGAAACAGAGATCCAGAGACCCAGAAAGCATGAGAAAGGCAGAGACAAGATAGAGACAGCGCAGAGAGAGGCAGAGAAAGTCAGAAACAAAGATGAGGAGACCCAGGATCAGAAAGGGGGGAAGACAGAAAAAGGCTTAGAGGCCCCCTTCCCTTTAGAGACCCCTAGACATTGAGACACAAGGGAAGATTTAGTGCAGGGGGTGGGGAGACGGGGTGCCCCTCAGTGTAGGGTAAGCCCCTCCCAGCCAGAGTCTCAGCCCAGGATCCCAGAGAGGAGGGGGAGTCGAGCATAGAAGAGAGGCTGGCAGGTGCCCCAGCCCTTCGGACCCCCACCCAGCCAGTCCTGGGGCTCAGGCCATGGGGCCAGCCCACAGTCCTGCTCTGCAGTGAACAGCAGTGACAGCAGAGGCTCCCAATCACCAGCACCCCACAGCCACCCTTCCTGGCTTCACTCTGAGCTGGGCCTAAAGAGATGCCCTGGTCCTGAGCCAGCTTCTTTCCTTGTCCCCCAGAAGGACCCCCTCCAGCCCATCCCCTGACAGTCCAGGGAGGGACAGTCCTTCTGTCTTTCTTTTCCTTTTTTTTTTTTCGGCAGGGTCTCACTCTGTCACCCATGCTGGAGTACAGTGGCACAATCTAGGCTCACTGAAACCTCTGCCCCCAGGTTCAAGTGATCCTCCCACCTCAGCCTCCCCAGGTAGCTGGGACTACAGGCCCATGCCACACCGCCCACCTAACTTTTGTACTTTGGTAGAGATGAGGTTTCACCAGGATGGCCAGGCTGGTCTCAAACTCCTGACCTCAAGTGATATTCGCCTGCCTCAGCCTCCCAAAGTGCTGGGATTATAGGCGTGAGCCACCATGCCTGGCCTTGTCCTTCATTATTAGAAAATAGCTAGAAAATTCTTTCTACTATCTAACTCCCATTCTTCCTGCTTCTTACTTCCTCCAGCTTATGCTTACCTCTTTCCCATGACTTTTTCAGTTTAAGGGGCTTCCATATTCCTTTTCCCAGATTATGTAGAAAAGAAGGCGGAGGATAAAATAGGACTTGGAGAGAGGAGGCAGTGAAAGCGGGAAGGCCAGCTCTGCCTGCTGGAGTCACCACCTTCCTTGGGCAAGGAGACCCCTGAGAGCCGAGCAGCCCCAAGACCTCCACCCCTTTAACCTTGATCAGGGTTGGGAACTCAGGTCTTAGAGGGGTTGGGGTGCCCCAGACAACAATTAGGCCATCCCTACTCCTGTGAACCTGAGGAATGAGATACTGACTGGGGTTTAGCTCATATGCTTTATTTAATGTATTTTAAATCCCCTGGCAGTCAAGAGAAAGGGATTCTGTTTCATAATAATGGAGGGGCAGTTAAATGACTCCTCTCCCTTCCTCATCCCTTTTTATCAAGGTCATGTGCAGCCAGAATTAGCCTCCACTTCTGGAAAGTCCTTCCTGCTGTCTAACTGTAATCTGTCATACTGCCTGGATTTTTTTTTTTTTTTTTTTTTTGAGATGGAGTTTCACTCTTTTTGCCCAGGCTGGAGTGCAATGGTGCCATCTTGGCTCACTGCAACCTCTGCTTCCCAGATTCAAGCTATTCTTCTGCCTCAGCCTCCCAAGTAGCTGGGATTACAGGCGCCTACCACCACACCTGGCTAATTTTTTAATTTTTTGTATTTTTAGTAGAGACAGGGTTTCATCATGTTGGCCAGGATGGTCTCGATCTCTTGACCTCGTAATCCACCCTCCTCGGCCTCCTAAAGTGCTGGGATTACAGGCATGAGCCACCGCGCCTGGCCTACTGCTTGGATTTTCTTGCTTAACTTTCCACCAGGTCCCTGTTCCTGTCTCTTTCTGCCCTGTAGCTCCAGTGGTCCAATGCTTGTTGCCACCTTGGCTCAGAGGTCCTTTCCTCCCAGGATAAAGGGTTGTCTCTGTGAGGGAGAAAGGTTGGCATCTGAAATCAGACTGAACTGAGGCCATGGGGGAGGAGGGAGGGTGGTGGCCGTGGGGTGCCCCTGGCTCACTTTTTCCAGAGCCTGATGCCCTCAGACCCCGCAGGAGGGGGTGAGAGGAAATGAGCTCACACTGACCGGCAGGCGAATTCCTCCCTCCACAATGCACTGCACAGCCTCCCCCACCCGCTCCCACTTCCCAGAAAGTGCGGCTCTCTCCCCACCCTGCCGCCCTTCCCACCTCTTCCTGCACCTTGACCTGCACCCCCACCCTGTCCCAGCCCACCTCATCTATCTTCTTTAGCTGCTCTTCCTCCTCACCTTCCTCTCCATCCGGGCTCCCCTTCCTCTCTCGACACTCTGGGTCTCACTCCATGCATCCTGCCATCCGCCCCAGCACCCACTGTATTCCTGTACCCTATTTTTTTGGGGTTTGGAGCCATAGAGCCCAACATGGGGAGAGTCTCCCTGGTTGAGGACCCTCCTCATACTCCCCCTCTTTCCAAACTCCTTCCCCAGCCCAATCACCATCCTTCATTCACAAGGTCTACTATGTGAGGGGGTAGAGGAGAGGAGGGGGTGGGGTAGGTTGGCCCTGGGAATACAGAGGTGAGGCCTAGATCCTTCCCTTGAGGGGCCTGGGTCTCCTCCAGTTGTGACTCTATAAAGAACTCCCAGCACAGGAGCACATTCGGCTGGAGAAGCAGAGGAGGCTTCCCCAGGAGGTGCCTTGAGCTTCTTGGGCTTCCTGGATGGGGCAGGGGAGAGTGGGAATAGGGAAAAAGGCACTCCAGGGAGAGTGATGCTCAGGGCGAACCAGGGAGGCAGGAGAGAGAGCAGGCTCCGGCATCGGCATCGTGGCTGGAGCCAAGTGGAGGGTGCCTATGGGCAGGAAGCATGGAGGGATGAGGAAGGAAACACAGGCGGGGGTGTGACGCTGGAGGGGCTGCCCAGAGGCGCTTCCGTGCTAGCCTGGTTTGGGGCAGGGAGCTGAAGCAGCGATGTGCCATGGCCACCGTGGCACATAACGGGAACAGGAATGGAGGGCGGCAAGCAAAGTGATTCTAGGAGAAAGGTACCAAAGCAAGGGGCAGGGGCAACAAACAACAGAGGCTCTGGGATTTGGTGAGCAGGAGGAAGGAAATGGAAGAGTGCAGGGCAAGGCCAAGGCCTGGAATATCAGGTTGTCTAGGGTGTTCACAGAGAGAGGGGACAAGCCAGGCACGAAGTCCTTTGTATGTGAGATCCCAGTTAAGCCTCACAAAGGCCTGTGAAATAGATCTCAATCCTCATTCTATGGATAAGGAAAATGAGGCCCAGAGAACTCAAGTATCTTACCCAAGGCCACACAGGATTTGAACCCAGGCATTTGGGCTCCAGGGTCTATACACTTAACCCGCAGGCTGTGAGGCTGGTGGAATGGTGACAGGCTGCTTAAACCGTGGGTCCATCTTCTGAAAGAGAGGCTTGAGCTAGAGACTCTGGTAGTCCCTGAGACCAGGGGTGTGGTTCAGATTCTCCAGGGAGAGTGAAGAGTGAGAGGAACCCTGGCTTGGGGGTAGGCAGAGAAGGAGGAGGCAACAAGGACTGGGAGGAAGCAGGCAGCCAGAGAAGGTGGCACTGTGTGGGGCAGAGACAACAGCCTCGGGGGCCAGTGGGTGTGGGGGTCAGACTGTGCAGGGAGGAGGGGCCCCAGGGAGGAGGGAGTCGAATCTGCCCACTGAGCATTAACAGGAAGGGACAGGCGACAGGCAGGCAGCACAGGTGGGTGTGGACAAGGCAGGTGTCTGTTTGGGTGGGGAAGACTTCAGCAGGCTGTTGGGTTGAGGAGCAGGTGCCAAGGAGAGACAGCCGGAGGGGACGCAAGGAGGGCGTGATGAGCGGACTGGAGGAAAAGTATCTGGAGGGTGGGGCTCCAGAGGAGGAACCCAGGTTTATGATGTCCTCAAAGGAGCCCTGAATCAAGAATCTGAAGACCTGGGTTCAAATTCGTGCTGCACCCTCCCTGCGCCCCAGCCCCCAGTAGCTGTATGACTTTTGAGAACAAGTATATTCTCAGAACCTCAGTTTCACCCTCTGTAAGATGAAAACGATAAGGCCTTCTCGGCCTGCCTCTGATTTGAGGCTCACATTTGACAAAGAATCTGAAAAACTCTGTGAGCTGAAAAGGAAAAACCATAATGTATGAAAGGTGGGTTATGGGGCACGGGCACCTACACCTGGCCCCAGCTCAGGCCCTTCCACCAAAGGAGAAAGAGCATCCCCTGGTGGAGAAGGATGGCAGGGCAGGACTAAAGGGGACAGCGGTTCTTGCACTTTTATGGCTTCAGCCCCCAGGTCCTCTACTTGTCCCCCACAGGCAACACCCCCACCACAGTTTGTATCTCCAAAGCGAGAGGGGCCCCATTTAATCAAGTCAAAAGACATTTATTGGCCAGGCGCGGTGGCTCACATCTGTAATCCCAGCACTCTGGGAGGCTGAGGAGGGCAGATCACTTGAGGTCAGGAGTTCGAGACCAGCCTGGCCAACATGGTGAAATCCCATCTCTACTAAAAATACAAAAACTTAGCCGGGCGTGGTGGTGTGCGCCTGTAATCCCAGCTACTCAGGAGGCTGAGGCAGGAGAATTGCTTGAACTGGGGAGATGGAGGTTACACTGAGCTGCGATCATGCCACTGCACTCTTGCCTGGGCGATAGAATGAGACTCTGTTTCAAAAAAAAAAACAAAAAGCAAAACAAAAAATTAGCCAGGCATGGTGGCACGTGCCTGTAGTCTCAGCTACTTGGGAGGCTGAAGCAGGAGAATCGCTTGAACCCAGGAGTCAGAGGCTGCAGTGAGTCGAGATCATGCCGCGGCACTCCAGCCTGGGTGACAGAGCAGAACATCGTCTCAAAAAAAAAAAAAAATTATTGAGCACCTAGTACATGTAAACTGCTGTGTTGGGTGGTAGGGAGGGAACCGTCCCCATATTCCACGGAGGGCAACAAACACAGCAAAGGGTGCCTGGGATGGTGCTGAGATTGTGGTGCAAGCACAGTGTTGAGCAAAACAAGAAGGAGCCTCCAGTGACTAGGGGAGGAAGAAGGGGTCTTGGGAGGCAGGCAGGGTTTGTCCTAGACCTCAAAGCCCTCTACTAGCAAACGTCAGAGAAAGGAGGGAGAGGGTGGGGCACAGGCGCTGGCCACAGCCCCAGACATCCCATAGAGTGAACCTCACTGAGCATATTTAATGATGGAGGGTGGGGCAATGGTCCACTCAAGATGATGCCAGTTCCCACTCATCCCTGGTGTCAGGTCTCCCAGGAATCCTGTGAGAAGAATCCCACCTGAACACCCCTTGGGGAGGGAGGCTGAAGACCCATGGCCAGGCTGGGGCCAAAGAGCTCTGGTAATCTGCCAAGCAGCTGGGGCCTACGCAGAAAACCTCTGGACAGCTGGCTACGGCGGGAGCGAGAGGCTGCATCTTGTCTGAGCTGGCAGCAGGGTAAGCTGGCAGCAGGGTAAGCAAGCCACACCCAGCGAGGCCCCATGTCAGGTCAGGAGGTGGCCGACAGAAAATCCACCCCTGCCACTCTGAACTGGCCATCTTTAGGGAAACTACGTTTGGGAAACCCAGCCCAGCAGGCTTTTCACTGTGTGACACCCTGTCAGGGAAGGCCGGTGGCACGGACCCTGTGTATGAGTGAGTGTGCGCGAGGCTCAAAGATGCCTTACAAAAACCATGCCGTCACTCAGCAGGGGCTTGCAAACACCAAGACGGAGAGGAAAGGAATTAAAATACGTTGAGCACCCACTATGTGCCAAGCTCTTTATAAACATTATTTCATTTAGTCCCCATGACAACACTGTAAGGTGGGTATTATTAGCCCCGCTATGTAAATGAGGAAACAGACACAGAGAGGCTAAGTAGCTTGTCCAAGATCTCCCAGCTAGGATTCAGGATTCTAGCCCAAGTCTGATGTTGCTCTTTCTATCGAATGATCCCTCTGGGAGGGGTCAGGCCAGGGAGTTCATTCCAGCTCAGGATGCTAAATTCTACAGTTCTACATAGGGCTTTTCAATTCTTCCTGCTTCTGTTCCAGGCTCCCAGCCCCTGCCCAGCCCCACCTGGTCCCCACACATCACTGCACATGGGACCCATCCTCCTCCCTGTCTCCATTTTGCCCTTCTGGAAGGGAAGAAGGAGAGGAGCAAAGAGGAAAGAAGGGGAACATAGAGGAAGGGAAGAGAGAGGAAGCGAAGGGGAAGGGATTAGAGAGGAGGCTCCCACCTCCCCGTCGAAGCTCTGGAAATCCCCCTGCAGCTGCTCCCCTCTCCTCTGTCTGGCCCTGAGCCAGCCCTGGGTGGGAGTGTTGGGAGTCAGATGAGGAGAAAAGAGGGGCGGGACTGACCACAGTGGGGCAAGCCCCTCAGTCCTGGCACTCACCCCACCCAGCAGTTCCAGCCCCCGTGAGAGATTCCAGGCATGCTCCCCTTTAAGGAAGCCCTCCATGCCAAAATCCACACATACCAAACAGACACATCGGCGGCTCACGCACTATAAAAGGATTCTTTGCTTTACAAGAGGGCTCAGCACATGGGAAACTTAAAATAGGAGCTTCCCCTGGTGCAATGAAAGAAGCTCTGATTTCAGACGCACTCCATACACACCACGCTTCCGGTGCATCCAGAAAGCCGGGCGTTAACCACATCAGCCTAGGCACCTCGGAGAGTGTGCCGATCATCAGAGTCCATGTCTGTGGGGAGGGACCTCACAGTCCAGGGGACAGGCTGAGCTGCTGTGCTTGGCAGAGGTGTCCTAGGACATCCAGAAAGGACCAAGAAGCCACCACTTGGCATAGCTGGCAGAGATTTCACAGCAGCCCAGACAGGATGAATGTCCAAGGCTTCCCAATGATTCTGTAATGGAGCCAAAGGCAGAAGCCCAATGTCCTGACTCCCCTTGATGTTTCTCCTCCCAGGGGAGGGTACAGGGGAGCAGGCTGTGGTCTGTCCTCTGGGAAAGGGGAAGCGGCTGATCCCCAGAACAGTTACGGAGGGCTGATGAAGGCCAATGATGGGCAGATGGGCTACTTGGAGGAACAACTCAGGCTGAGCTGCAGGCCCAGTGAGATGCATTTAGGATTCTCTAGACAGGAAGCAGTAGTGGCCCCTAGCCCTGCCCCTCTTTTTAAAAAAAATCCAGGTGAAATTCACGTAACGTAAAATTAGCCATTTTACAGTGAGCAATTCAGTGGCATTTACTACTCTTCCCTCCCTCCCCGCCCTACCACTATTTTTGTGTTCAGTCAGTAATGACAATAGCAGCCAGGCCTGGTGCTCTGGGGAGCTGCCATTGGCCATTTAAATTAATGCCCAAGATGCCAAACAGGCCTGGAAACTGGACCAGCCACAGCCCCGCCCCAGACTCACACCCAGCCCAGGGAGGATGCCCAGAGCACTTTATGCCTCCCAGTGCCCCTCTCCAACCCCCCAGAACTTAGGGTCACCCCTTCCACGGACTCCACCTCCCCCGACTCCTCACCCTCCACTCCTCCTCACCCCTCTCCTCACCACCATCACAGGCCACCCACAAGCCCTCTGCCAGAGTGATAGGGGGCCTGTGCTCAGCCTGGAGGGGAGGGTCTCAGAGCCAGGGCCCCCAGCCACTGCTTTAGGCAGAACAGCCCCAAAGAACTTGGGCCAGGAAAAGAAGGGAGTTAGGGCGGCTGAGCACTGAAAGGTGTGTCCCAAATAGAAAACCTATCCCGCCTCTCCAGACCCCACCTGAGACCTCACCCCAAGTGGGGGTTGGGAAGGGAGTAAGGCAACCCCTGGAGCAGCCCCCTCGCTCTGCCCCCCATCAGGCTGCTGGCTTCTCTTAGATCAGGGGGCTGCAAGTCAGGATACAGCCCCTTGCTCACTGAAGGGGACTGGTCCAGCCTGTCTGGGATTTGCTGAGCTCCGTGCAGGGAATGAGAACTCTGACCAGAGGGGGTCTTCATCCCCGCCCACTGAGCCCAGCCCACACTCAGTGTATTCTGATGGAGCCTGTGTGAAAGGAAGGCAGCACCCCCCTCCCAAAACCTGGCTGGGGCTGCAGCTCTGCCTTTGGGGTGCATTTGGAGAAAGCCTCTTAGCCCACCCCATCTTTTCACTGACATGAAATGGTGGCAGCAGCTGCTGCAGCTGCTGTGACTGGGAAAGGAGGGGAGCCGGGCTGGAAGAAACCCCTTGATGTGTAGGGGGAGGGGACCGGCGTATCTTGAGGTCCCACCAGGAGGGACTGGGGGTCAACGAACCAGTAGTCATATGGCACAGAGCCCACCCACTCCTTCATTCTGCAGAGTCTGTAGCCTCCTTGGGCCTGGGTTCAGGGAGCAGGGGCTGTACCCTTACCAAGTGGGGATGGGGGTTTCTCCGTGTGGGTGATCTCTTTCTGGAAAGGGGGTGGGGAGAGAGGTGCCCTCTGCACACGCCTTCCTAGGTGTCAGTGATAAGGGAGTACTCGTGTGTGTGTGTGTGTGTGTGTGTGTGTGTGTGTGTGAGCTCTGTGTCACATCAGTCCCATCCCTCCCCCAGAGCCCCCGCTCCGCCCGGAGCTCCAATGCCCCAACCCCTCCCTCGGTGGCGGCCCTCGGCGCTCGGCGCGCCCACCTCGCCGGGTCACAACGCCCGCAGCTCTCTCTCCCCTCTCGGCCGCGCACCCACGCCCGGCGCCCGCTCACCTGCTCCATGCTGGGCCCTGCTATGCCGTCCTCGCCGCGCCGGCCCCGGGGGGCGCAGGGGGAGGCGGCCCCTCCATGCGCCCTGTCCGGGCAGCTGCACCCGGCGACCGCCAAGCGCAAGTAGCGGCTGGTGTCAGCGCTCGAGCCCCCTCCCCGCACCGCCCCGCCCCGCCGGCCCCGCCCCTCCGCCCGCCCCCTCCCCTCCTCACCCCGCCCGGCCCGTGGCAGCACCGCGCACCGGCGAGCACACGCGCTCACAGGCAACCGCACAATCGCACGCACGCACGTGGGGGCACACACACTCGAACACACACACAACGCGCACCCGACCCTCGCACATCCCTGGCTAGCCCGCTCCGGCACCCCCTGTTCTGCCCGTCCTGGGGGCGCTGCTAGGGGAGAGGAGACCCCTGCAAGCGAAGCCGCTTTCCTCATTCCTGAGGCTCATCGGAGTCGGAAGGACCCTACTCTCATGCTACAGGGGCCAGAGAGTGGCTTGCCAGCGGTCTCACCGCACCTTGGCAACAGAGCTGATCCCAGTTGATCCCAGACCAACTGCCTCCCAAGCTGACGACCCGCTGCAGGGGGTGACTGACAGCAGGCCAGAGACACCCAGAGCACTGGGACTCAGGGAGACACTGTGCCACCCCCACCTCGAGATCGCTGTGGGAACAGGGAGCTGTTGCCGACGTCCAGCCTATAGTTGAAGGTGTTCTGAGGCCCTTGGCTGGGTGTGGGAAAAAGAGATGGGGATTCCTGTTGCCCACCCAGTGAGCCATGTTCCTGGCACTTGCCAAGCAGGAGGAGGGGGCTGATCTGTTTATCCACTCCCAGAGAAGGGGGATCTGAACCCCCAGATACTACTGGAGAACATAATGTGTGGGCAGCGGGGCCGCCCACTCTGGTGAAGACCAAGGAGATGGCAAAAAGACACCTTCGCTCTCTGACACCCTCCATCAGGTGTGGCTCCTGACCACCCACTGCCCTCTGTTCTGCATCTGACAGGGCAGGACAAACTGAGAGGGGCATCACATAAATGGTCATGTGAGAGGTGGGCACGCTGCCCTGGGCAGGGGTACGCAATCCCCAGTGGACAAGGGTGGAAATTAACCTGCCCCGAGGTGGGCGGTGGGGTGGAGGCATTGGTTTACAGGCACTGGCTGCCCACACCCCCTGGGCCAATGCCCAGGCTGGCATGAAGGTGGCTTCACCACTTCTCACTGAGCCCTGGCCTCTTTGTTAGGCACCAGAGGATGAGGGAGAGGGGGTGGGAAGCTGAGATGGGGAGAGTTAAGATCCTCAGTGGCTCAGACAAAGGGGGCTTTATAGGCTGGGTGTGGGGGGCATGTTGGGGGCAGGGAGACAGGAATGTGGGCCAGGGAGGCCCTGAGCTCCGGGCAGCCCATTTTGGGGCTGAAGTTGGACTCCCCCAGCCTCCCATGCTGTGGCCCTGCAGGGTATTTGCTGCTTTGCTCCTGGGACTACAGCCAGGAGTACCCGGAGCCCTCATCCTTGGCCTCCCCTGGTGGCAATCTGGTGGGCACTGCCCACGCACTCCCAGTTTTCCCTGACCAGCTGGCTGCCGCCTCTCTTGGCTTCCCCGCCAGTGCCCTCCCAGCGGCCTTGTGGCTCCTGTCTGCTACTCAAGGACCCTGCTGGCTGCCTGGGGAGGGAGGGACAGACTTGGGTGGGGTCACAAGGCTATGAGGTCAATGGGGCCCTTTGTCCCTTCAGACGGAGTCTGTCTTGAGCTAAAGAGACTGGAGACAGAGAAGAGTGTCAGCCAGCAAGCCTGCCCCTCGCCCTGAGCCGCACTCTCCCGGGCTGTGGTGTAGCAGGGCCCTGGCTGTGGAAGCCAGGCTCCATTCTCTCCAGTTGGTTTCCCTCAGGTTCTCTTTCAGTGCTGAGGAAGTGAGAACAAGAAGGTGGTGGCGGCGGTAGCCACCCATGCTGGGCCTTCAAATAGCTGTTGCTTGGCCAGGCCTAGGGTCTGGTGTTGGGCTTTGCAAGATCAGGGACTGTCTGTCCTCAGAGATGCTAATCTGGCTCTCAGGAGTAAACTCCTACTAGCCAAAGTCATGGTGGCTAGATTGCTAAACCCAATGCTATCTTATCAACACACCTTGAACACTGCAGGAAGATTCACAAGCAGAGTTCCTGAATAAGGAAGGGATAGTACCACCCACAGTCTCTGTGCCAGCCTGCAGGGTCCACAAGTGCAGTCCCCCAGTCCTCCCTCCTCCCTGGCAGGCTGGATCCCCCAGTGCTTCTCTTCTTCTACATCCCACAGGGACCAGAACCTTCAGCAACAATGTTGCCTCAGAGGTACAGCAGTGTGGAGAGGGGCAGGGCTCATTTGATATGAGCCCAGGCTGGAGTGCAGTGGTGCAATCACCACTTACTGCTGCCTCCACCTCCCAGGCTCAAATGATCCTCCCACCTCAGCCTGAGCAGCAGGGACTACAAGTGCATGCCACCATGCCTGGCTAATTTTTTATTTTTTTAGAGACGGGGTCTCAGTATGTAGCCCAGGCTTCCATGGATATTTGTTATTTATTCTATCTCTTTGATAAAGTTAAAATAAGATACTTATCTCTTGATGAGTGTCTTGGCCAAAAACAATCTTTTAGGGGTTTAAAAAAAATGTTCCGGGTGGGTCAGCATCGAATTTTCCAACCATCTCTTCCAGAGGCTTCAAGAGGGAGGCAGACCAGGACTCACCTCCCAGACCTGCCATTTAATATTCGCGCAGTCTTGGGCAAGTGTTCTGACCTCTCTGCCCTGCAGCTCCCTTATCTGTAAACCAGACATGCTAACCGCACCACCTCACAGAGCTGTTGAAAGATGACATGAGAATGTGAGTCTAAAATGCTCGGTCTACTGGTGGGCACAGAAGTGATCAATAAAAGTTAAGCACCGGCAGGGTGTGGTGGCTCACGCCTGTAATCCCAGCACTTTGGGAGGCCGAGGCTAGCGGATCACCTGAGGCCAGGAGTTCGAGACTAGCCTGGCCAACAAGGTGAAACCCCGTCTCCACCAAAATTACAAAAAATTAGCTGGGCGTGATGGCACATGCCTATAATCCCAGCTACTAGGGAGGCTGAGGCAGGAGAAATTCTTGAACCTGGGAGGCGGAGGTTGCAGTGAGCCGAGATTGTGCCACTGCAGTCCAGCCTGGGTGACAGAGCGAGACTCCATCTCACAAAAAAAAAAAAAAAAAAAAAAGTTAAGTGCCTTCTACAAAGGGCTGAATTAATTCATTTTATGTTGATTATTATTAGTTTTAGTTCAGCAGGTGACGATTTCTGACCTTGTCCCCAAATTCTAGGAGGCTATACCCTGGCTACAACCGGGTGTTCCCTTTGCGGGTGGCACCTGCTTTCAGCCAGTTGGGGGCTAGAGGTGAAGAATGGCGGTTTCCAGCCTGGTGCTCATCCCTGCCCCCCAGTCTACTTCCTTCCACCTCGGTAGCCTCCAGGGCTCCCTGGGGAACAGGGAGAAGGTAGAAAGGGAGCTAAGAGCCACGGGTAAGGCAGACAACTCCCGGGGTGCCATGGGCCTAGGAAGGGAGGAAGGAGGGGGATTACCCAGGAGGGAGTGGAAGGAGATGAGAGGGAAGGAGGGGGGCGGCGGGTGGCAGGCCCCACTCCTGCACCTGCTGCTCTGAGAACAAAGCCAAGAATGATGCAATCCTGGCCTGGTGCAGCTGAGGCTGCAGGGCCCCGAGAGAGAAGTGGGTGTCAGGGGCGGGGAGGGCAGTGGGCAGCAGGGCAGGACGCCTGACCTTGATTCACAGCCAACGTGTGGCCCCTTCATGAGGACCCTCAGCCTCCTCCTGAAGCCCCTCACCCAGGGCCAGACCCCTCCCCAGTAGTCACAGCCACCTAATAGGCAGGAGTAGGGCATGATGCAACCAGGCCATCACTCCAGGCAGCCTCCTCAGAGGGAGGGGCATGAGGAGAGGCCCCATCCGGCTCTCAGGCCTCGGGCGGCCGGTCTCTGTCCGCACCCTCTCCATACTGGAGACAAAAAGGCAAAGTCCTCCGAGAAGGTGAGATGGGAAGGTTCAGGAGAGCCCTAACCCGGACCCTGCACAAAATAGTGCCTATTTATAGAATTAACTAGAACCCGCAGCAGACACGGACATGGTCCCGGGCCCCAGTCTCTCCCATGAGCAGCCATCAAGCAAGCGGGGGCGGGGTGCATGAACGTGGCATCCACCGTCCCCAGGTGTCCGCCTCGGCCCCCCAACTCTGCCCCGGAGCCAGGAGAACAAAGGCTTCTCGCTCTCCCTCCACCTGGAGGAGGGGGTCGTGTCCCACACACCAGGGCCAGGTGAGGGATGCCTCATGGGCCAGGGTCCCTGAAAGGGCAGGGCGTTTAATGGGCTAACAGAAGAGGACTGGAGACACCGTGTTTAGGAATATTTAAGTGCGGCCTCACCCCACCACCACCGAGGGGACCTGAGGGAACAGCAGGGTGGCTTAGCCCTGAGGAGCCACTAGGTGGCAGGAGAAGCCCAATGACTCACCCAGCTCTGCCCGCGGCCACCAGCAGCCTCCGGGCCCTTCCCCACCTGGAAGCTCCCTCCTCTCTTTTTCCCTACAGCCCGCTCCTCTGCGGCCTCCGGTAAGAGGAGCTTTTCATTCTTCCTCTGCCTTTGGCAAAAAGAATCTCAATCCTAGTTTTCAAAATACTGCTAACAGGGCCGGGCACAGTGGCTCACGCCTGTAATCCCAGCACTTTGGGAGGCCGAGGTGGGAGGATGGCTTGAGCCCAGAAGTTTGAAGTTGTAGTGAGCTACAATAGCGCTGTTGCACTCCAGCCTGGGTGATGGGCGAGACTCTTTCCCTCTCCCAGCAAAAAAAAAAAAAAAAAAAAAAAAAAAGCCCGCTAATAATAATGATCATGGGGCCAGGAACGGTGGCTCACGCCTGTAATCCCAGCACTTTGGAAGGTTGAGGCAGAGGGATCACCTGAGGTCAGGAGTTCGAGACCAGCCTGGCCAACATGGTGAAACCTAGTCTCTACGAAAAATACAAAAATTAGCCAGGCGTGGTGGCAGACGCCTATAATCCCAGCTACTCAGGAGACTGAGGCAGGAGAATTGAACCCAGGAGGCAGAGGTTGCAGTGAGCTGAGATCTTGCCACTGCAATCCAGCCGGGGTGACAGAGAGATACCCTGTCTCAAAAATAATAATAATAATAATAATGATCATAATCAGTGCCGAGAGAGAGAGAGAGAGAGATGACACACATTTGAGACAGAGTCTCGCTGTGTTGCCCAGGCTGGAGTGCAATGGCACCATCACCATTCACTGTAGCCTGGACCTTCCAGGCTCAAGCGATCCTCTCACCTCAGCCTCCTGAGTAGCTGAAACTACAGGCGCACGCCACCATGCCCAGCTAATTTTTTACTGTTTATGAAGACAGGGTCTTGCTATGTCGCGCAGGCTTTTGTGGATATTTATTAAGTGCTCAAGATGTACCAGGCATTTTACACACATGTCTCATTTACTCACACATGAGGTAGGAAATAAAACTCAGGAGGAAACAGACCAAAAAAGCATAAAGTGCCCAAGATCACAAAACGAGCAGGTAGTAGAGCCGGGACTCAAACTTGGGTCAGCAAATCCTGGGCCAGGCCCTCCCCAGGAGTCTTAACAGGCAGGCAGGAGCATGGGAGGAAGCGAAGAGCCCGTGGATGCCCCTGAGATGTCTCATCTGCTATCCTCACCACCGCTCTCCCCCACAACCCCTTGAGATTCTAGGAGGGTGTCTTAGTCTTGGGAGTGAGATGTGAAAATGTTGTCTAAGTGATTCAAGCTCACAAAGCCTCTGCCCTGGCTGAGAACCACGGCACCATCCCCGAAGCCTCTCCGCCAGACTCCACAATGCATTCTGCGGTCTCCCCCACCAGCATTTGCTGAAAACAGTTCCCACATAAACTCCCATTCCAATATGGGAGCTCCCCGGTCCAGGCCCAAAGGTGATTCCAGCCTAGAAGACCTTTCCCCACTGCCACCTCCCTCCTGGCCTGGCTCTGCCTCTGACCTGCTCCATGGTTTTTGGCAAACATTCACAGGTATCCCTTCATGTGCTCGGCTGGGGGATGGGGGTCATCCCAGAAGATGAGCAAGACACAGAGCCCGCTCTCCACATGCAGTCGGCGTTTAACATGTCCAGAGCCGTATGGGATCCCAGTCAAAGACATATCTGCCCCGTATCCAGACAGGTTTTTCTTTGTTTTGAGACAGAGTTTTGCTCTGTCACCCAGGCTGGAGTGCAGTAGCTCAATCACAGCTCCCTGCAGCCTTGATCACCTGGGCTCAATCAATCCTCCTGCCTCAGTCTCTTAAATTGGTTGGGACTACAGGCACATGTCACCATGCCCAGCTAATTTTTTATTTTTTTTTCTTAGAGATGGGGTCTTGCCGGCCGGGCGCGGTGGCTCACGCCTGTAATCCCAGCACTTTGGGAGGCCGAGGTGGGTGGATCACGAGGTCAGGAGATCAAGACCATCCTGGCCAACATGGTGAAACCCCGTCTGTACTAAAAAAAAATACAAAAAATTAGCCAGGCGTGGTTGTGGGCATCTGTAGTCCTAGCTACTCGGGAGGCTGAGGCAGGAGAATGGCATGAACCCGGGAGGTGGAGCTTGCAGTGAGCCGACATCACGCCACTGCCCTCCAGCCTGGGTGACAGAGCGAGACTCCATCTCAAAAAAAAAAAAAAAAAAGAGATGGGGTCTTGCCATATTGCCTAGTCTGGTCTTGAGCTTCTGGGCTCAAGCAATGCTCCTGACTCTCTATTTTTTTTTTTTTTTTTGAGACCGAGTCTCCCTCTGTCACCCAGGCTGGAGTGCAGTGGCACGATCTCGGCTCACTGCAACCTCCGCCTCCCAGATTCAAGTGATTCTTCTGCCTCAGCCTCCTGATTAGCTGGGATTACAGGTGCCCACCACCACGCCCAGCTAATTTTTATATTTTTAGTAGAGATGGGGTTTCACCATGTTGGCCAGGCTGGTCTCAAACTCCTGACCTCAGGTGATCCACCTGCCTCTGCCTCCCAAAGAGCTGGGATTACAGGCATGAGCCACCATGCCTTCCCCATACTCCTGACTCTTAAAGTGCCGGGATTATAGGCGTGGGCTACTGCGCCGGACCCATATATCAGGTTTTTCAATACCAGGGCATGGGGAAGAAGAGGCACCAAGAGATGACACCCACTGCATAGTGAAACATCTTGACTTTATCGGTCTCACACACAGGACAGCTGTTGCCAAAGACCTTCCTACCCATTTCCAAACCTTCTCAATGTCCCCCAAGCTCAGCCATTACCATTTCCTCTTACTTTTCTCTCCCAGTATAAATCCAGCTAGCCTCTCCCGTTCTCCCATCATCCCTGGATCTGCAGAATAAGGGCCCAGAAATAAAATCAAGTTTCTCAGCAGTGCAGGGGCCAGGAAGCCAGGCCTTGACACCCACCCCCCACCCTGACCCTGATGAGATGAGAAACCTGGGATGTAAGCCTAGGATGTGAGAAGGGGGCCTGGGTTGAGCTCTCTTTAAATGCAGGGTTTCTGTTAAGTGATAACTCAGCAGGGAGTAGCAGGTGGCTCAGTGCAGTCTCTGGCCACTGGACAAAGCCAGCTGACCCTAGATCAGTGGCGTCTTCCATCCAAGAGCAGCGACAGCTCTGTCATCCTCTATGATGTCAAGAGGAAGCAGTCCACATCCCACCTCTGGAACATCTTGGGTTACCGCTGTATACTTCTGTCTTTCTTTCTCTTTCTTTCCCTCCCTCCCTCCCTCCCTTTCCTTCCTTCCTTCCTTCCTCTCTCTCTCCTCTCTCTCTTTTTACTTTTCTTTTTCTTTTTGGTCAGAGTCTCACTCTGTTGCCCAGGCTGGAGTGCAGTGTCACGATCTCAGCTCACTGCAACCTCCGCCTCCCGGGTTCAAGTGATCCTCTCCTGCCTCATCCTCCACACACAGGCATGTGCCACGATGCCCATCTAATTTTTTGTATTTTTTAGTAAAGACGAGGTTTCACCATGTTGACCAGGCTGGTCTCAAACTCCTGACCTCAGGTGATCCACCCACCTAGGCCTCCCAAAGTGCTGGAATTACAGGCGTGAGCCACCGCATCCACCTTGTATCACACCTTTCACACTCCTACTCCAACCATGAAAATTTCAGTCTCTTGAGAAAGTTTTGCAGAAGACTGACATTTGGGGCCGGGCACTGTGGCTCATGCCTGTAATCATAGCACTCTGAGAGGCTGAGGCAGGTGGATCACTTGAGGCCAGGAGCTAGAGACCAGCCTGGCCAACATGACAAAACCCAGTCTCTACTAAAAAATACAAAAATTAGCCGAGTATGGTGGCGCATGCCTGTAATCCCAGCTACTTTGGAGGCTGAGGCATGAGAATCACTTGAACCGGGGAGGCGGAGGTTGTAGTAAACTGAGATCGCGCCACTGCACTGCAGCCTGGGTGATAAAGCGAGACTCCATCTCAAAAAAAAAAAAAAAAAAAAAGAAGAAGAAGAAAAAGACTGGCATTTGGTGACTAAAAATCCCCACCTCTAAACAATCCAGTTGTCCAGTGTGAAAGGTGGAGATCCAGGTTCAAGGACTGGCTAACTAGAGGGGAGGGAATATTAGCAACATT
The DNA here is from genome assembly GCF_000001405.40 of Homo sapiens. Taxonomy (NCBI): domain Eukaryota; kingdom Metazoa; phylum Chordata; class Mammalia; order Primates; family Hominidae; genus Homo; species Homo sapiens. The sequence continues at coordinate 2,446,036 of NT_187614.1, read as the reverse complement.
CGTGGGAAGGGGGCTGATCTCATCTCCTCAACTTACCACCACCTTGGCACGGCCATTTAACTGTGCCAGGCCCTGGAAGTGGGGAGAGAGATGAATAGGACACTGTCCCTCGCAGAGGTCACAGTCGGAACAAGCAGGCAGAGATAGATGAACAAATGTCATAAGAGAGGAAAGAGCCATTTGTTTGTGGCTAGTGACAATTCCAATTCCACAGAGTGACCCTGGGGCAGGGCCCTGAAGAATGAGTTCAGCAGGTAAAGAGGGTGACAGGTAAGGGTCCTCCAGGCACAGGGTGAACCATGAGGGAAGGCAGAGTGGCAGGAGGGATGCCATGATTACAGGCTTCAGGTCACACATGTGACCAGACTGAAGCCTACGTGTCAGGGAAGGAAAAACAGCATTGGAAGGCAGGTTGATGGTCAAGATTTCAATGGGGATTTCTCTTGGTTGAAAGACATCAAAGACTGTAAACTAAAGAAATGACACCATTGGGCATGGTGGCTCATGCCTGAAATCTCAGCACTTTAGAGGCCAAGGTGGAGGATGCTTGAGCCCAGGAGTTCCAGACCAGCCTGGGCAACATAGTGAGACACTTGTCTCTACAAAAAGATTAATTAGCCAGGCATGTTGGCTTGTATCTTAGTCCCAGCTACTCAGAAGCCTGAGGTGGGAGGATTGCTTGAATCTGGGAGGTTAAGGCTGCAGTGAGCCAAGATTGAGCCACTGTACTCCAACCTGGGCAACACAGTGAGATCTTATAGAAGGACATTTTTTTTTTTTTTTGAGACAGAGTCTCACTCTTTCGCCCAGGCTGGAGTGCAGTGGCGCGATCTCTGCTCACTGCAAGCTCCGCCTCCCGGGTTCACGCCATTCTCCTGCCTCAGCCTCCCAAATAGCTGGGATTACAGGTGCCCGCCACCACGCCCGGCTAATTTTTTGTATTTTCAGTAGAGGCGGGGTTTCACCGTGTTAGCCAGGATGGTCTCGATCTCCTCCTGACCTCGTGATCCGCCTGCCTCGGCCTCCCAAAGTGCTGGGATTACAGGCGTGAGCCACCGCGCCCGGCCAGAAGGACATTTTGAAGGACTAGAGAGGAGAAACAGAAGCAGGAAGACCAGTTGAAATTGTCCAGGTTCACGAAGGAGAATGCCTAATGAGGACATGGCAATAGACGGATGGTGAAATCATAGCTTCAATGGGGATGTGTGCAGCAGAGGAAGCTGCAAAATTCCTCTCAAAAACCCCTTGCGGAGGGGCTCCATTAGGGATCAGCTAGTGCCTCTCCTGAGCTGGAGTCAACTCTTGTGCCTTTGGCTGAGCACCAGTGAAAACAGTTGGTCTTCAGAATCCACGTAGTACAAATATGCACTGGAATCCTTATACGCGAGATGCTCACACTATGAGAGGCTGGAGGGAACCAAGAGACATAAAACTTACTGTTCCCATCTCACCTTCAATCGGGGGGGCACACAATGGAATGAATGAGGAATCTCCGGCACTATTACTTGCCAAGTGCTTATCATTGAATTCAAGTAAGTATGTGCGTGAGAAGACTCCATTGCAGAGGTTTGATGGAACAGCCTTTGTGATGAGGAGATGAAGCAGGTAGTTTCAGGTTTGGAGGTGAAGACAGTGGGAAGGGGTTTTATTTGGGGCCCATTGTTTCCAAAAGAATGCTAGGCTGGGCACAGTGGCTCATGCCTATAATCTCAGTGCTTTGAGAGGCCAAGGAGGGAAAATTGCCTGAGGCCAGGAATTCAAGGCTGGAGTGAGCTATGATCGTGACACTGCCCTTCAGCCTGGGCATCATAGCGAGACTCTTTCTCTACCAAAATTTAAAAAAAAAGTTTTTAAGTTAGCCAGACGTAGTGGCACATGCAGCCCACCTACTCAGGCAGCTGAGGCGGGAAGTCAATGCAACTGGTCACCCAAGAGCTCTGATGGAGCTGCACAAGGAGATGAGTGTTGTTTTTGTGACTGCTAACACAACATCCATTCTGCAGCTGATGGATCAAGGAGTAATTTCGACTTTCAAGTCTTATTTATTTTTCTGAGATGGAGTCTCTCTCTCTCTGTTGCCCAGGCTGGAGTGCAATGGCGTGATCTCGGCTCCCTGCAACCTCCGCCTCCTGGGTTCAAGTGATTCTCATGCTTCAGCCTCCCAAGTAGCTGGAATTACCAGCATGCATCACCACACCCGGCTTATTTTTGTATTTTTAGTACAGATGGGGTTTCATCATGTTGCCCAGGCTGGTCTTGAACTCCTGACCTCAGGTGATCCACCCACCTCGGCCTCCCAAAATGCTGGGATTACAGGCATGAGCCACCGCGCCCAGCCCCAGCTTTTTTTTTTTTTTTTTTGAGGCGGAGTCTTGCTCTGTTTCCTAGGCTGGAGTGCAGTGGTGGTGTGATCCTGGCTCACTGCAACAGCCTCCTGAGTAGCTGGGATTACAGGTGTGTGCCACCACACCCAGATAATTTTTGCATTTTTAGTAGAGACGGGGTTTCACCATGTTGCCCAGGCTGGTCTTGAACTCCTGACCTCAGGTGATCCGCCCACCTTGGCCTCCCAAAGTGCTGGGATCACAGGCGTGAGACACTCCACCTGGCCCTCAAGTTTTACTATTTAAGAAATACAATCATGCCAGGCGCGGAGGCTCATGCCTGTAATCCCAACACTTTGGGAGACCAAGGCGGGCAGATCACGAGGTCAGGAGATGGAGACCATCCTGGCTAACACGGTGAAACGCCATCTCTACTAAAAATACAAAAAATTATCCGGGCGTGGTGGCAGGCTCCTGTAGTCCCAGCTACTCAGGAGGCTGAGGCAGCAGAATCGCTTGAACCGGGGAGGCGGAGGTTGCAATGAACCGAGATCACACCACTGCACTCCAGCCTGGGTGACAGAGTCTCACTCTGTCTCCAAAAAAAAAAAAAAAAAAAAAGGGAAATACATTCATAAGGCTGTAGCTGCCATAGTGATTCCTCTGATGGATCTGGGCAATGCAAATTAAAAACCTTTTGGAAAGGACTTGCCATTTTAGATGCCATTAAGAATATTCATGTCACGCACGGTGGCTCACAATTGTAATCCCAGCATTTTGCGAGGCTAAGGCGGGTGGATCGCCTGAGATCAGGAGTTCAAGACCAGCCTGGCCAACATGGTGAAACCAGGTCTGTACTAAAAATACAAAAATTAGCCGGGCATGGTGATGCACACCTGAAATCCCAGCTACTCGGGAGGCTGAGGCAGGAGAATCGCTTGAACCCAGGAGGCGCAGGTTGCAGTGAGCCGAGATCATGCCATTGCACTCCAGCCTGGGTGACAGAGTGAGACTCCATTTCCAAAAAACAAAGATCATTCATGATTCATGGGAGGAGGTCACAGTATCAACATGAACAGGAGTTTGAAAGAAGTTAATTCCACGAAAATGGAAGTTAATTCCACGAAGAAGTTAATTCCCCTATGAGGGGGTTCAAGACTTCAGTGGAGGAAGTAACTGCAGATGTGGTGGTAATAGCATAACTAGAATTAGAAGTGGAGCCTTGAAGATGTGACTGAATTGCTACAATTTTATGATAAAACTTAAACAGATGGGAGTTGCTTTTTTTTAAGGGACAAGACTGGGTCTTGCTTTGCTGCCCAGGCTGGCCTTAAACTCCTAGGCTCAAGGGATCCTCCTGCCTTGGCCTCCTGAGTAGCTGGGGCTACAGGTGCGTACCATCACACCTGTCTGGAGTTACTGCTTATGGATGAGCAAAGAAAGTAGTCTCTTAAGATAGAATCTACTCCTGGTGAAGATGCCGTGAACTTTGTTGAAATGACAACAAAGGACTGAGAATGTTACATGAACCTAGTTGATGAAGCAGTAGCAGGATTTGAGAGGGCTGACTCCAATTTCGAAAGGAGTTCTACTGTGTGGAAATGCTATCAAACAGCATCACATGCTACAGAGAAATCTTTTTTGAAAATAAGAGTCAAATCAATGCAGCAAACCTTATTGGTGTCTTAAGAAATTGCCACAGTAGGCCAGGCGCGGTGGCTCACGCCTGTAATCCCAGCACTTTTGGAGGCGGAGGCGGGCAGATCACGAGGTCAGGAGATTGAGACCATCCTGGCTAACACAGTGAAACCCTGTCTCTACTAAAAATACAAAAAAATTAGCTGGGCGTGGTGGTGGGCGCCTGTAGTCCCAGCTACTCGGGAGGCTGAGGCAGAAGAATGACGTGAACCTGGGAGGCGGAGCTTGCAGTGAGCCGAGATCGCACCACTGCACTCCAGCCTGAGCGACAGAGCAAGACTCCGTCTCAAAAAAAAAGAACAAGAAATTGCCGCAGCCACCCCAACCTTCAGCAACTGCCACTCTAACCCATCAGGAGCCATCAACATCGTGGTAAGATGCTTCATAAGCGAAAAGATTACAATTTGCTGAAGGCCCAGATGATCGTGTTTTTTAGCAATAAAGTATTTTTAAATTATGCACATTATTTTTTAAGATTACACACTTAACAACAGCATAGTGTAAACATAACTTTTATATGCACTGGGAAACCAAAAAATTTGTGCAACTTGCTTTATTGTGATGTTCACTTTATTGCGGTTGTCTGGAATGGAACCCACAAAATCCCCGGGATATGCCGATACACACGTTGTCAACCAGAGGAACAACTTAGTCCCTTTCTCTCCGAAGAGCACAGCTTAAGCAATAGTAGGCTAGAAAGGCAGCAGGAGGGCTATGGGTTGAACTTAGGAAAAACCTTGGTGCCAGCCACAGGGAATACTAGGAATGACTGCTATGGTAAATATGAACTCTCCTTAGGTAGAGCCCCACGCCAATGCTCACCAAGACAAAAAGGCCACGGGCACTCAGCCCCAGAAAGCTCTCGGGAATGCTCCTGCACTTCCTAGGGAAGGAGAAGGTAGCTCTGAGCAGTGGCCATCAGCCTCAGGGATTTTTCAGCACCTCTAATTCTGACAAGCCTAGTGCTGGGTGCACTCTGCTTGGCTGACATCACAGGGATCACCCATTCCCCAGGGCTGGGTCATCAGATCCTATTGGGGCATGTCAGGAGTCACATGAGATGGGAGAGGGAGTGAAAAACACCAAACCAAAGAACATGAAATAATTTCTAAACATTTTTATTTCAAATCTCTTTTCACCCCTCCCCAAAAAGACATGGGTAGGTACAGCAATCATAAAAAGGAGATACAAACACAAGAGTCAAATGTCTCTCGCACTGACACTTACAAAAAACTGGGAATTGTACATGGGGTTTCCAAACAGGACCTGCAGCAGCTACTAACGTCCCTTTACGAGAGTCAAACATGCCTATTAATACAGTATATACAGACACCCCATTCTGGAACTAATCTACAGGGACATCCCTAACCCCACCCCCTCTATCCCCAGAAAAATACCAAAACACACCCAAAGTGCATTTGTTTTGTTTATATCAAAACCTCTTTCCCTTTCCCCATCCCACCCTCAGACCCCTCCCACCCCATTTAAGATTGGCCTGCAAGTCTATTTTAACCATTTAGTATTTTTTTATAGTTTATGAAAATAAATTATACAGCAACTATTTTAATAAATTAAGCACAAAAGGAAGGGTAAAAGAGGAAAACTAAATGGGAAGACAAAAGCCAGGCCACGCTTTGGCTTGGAGGAGGGCAGAGGGGGGGCTAACGGAGACAGAAGTGGTTGCAAGGGGTGGCTCCCTTTCTGGTGAAAAATTGGCAACCACCCCGAGCCCAGAATGACACCCCTCTTCATCGAGTTTCTTAAAAACAACCAAAAACGTACAGCAGTGGCTATGCCACAGGCAGCACCAGTGTGGGCATTCCAACAGCCAGCTACCCAAAGTGGCACCTGGACCCTACCTGTCCCTTGGACAGGTTCTGGGCCTAAGAGTGAGGGACAGGTCCCCGCCCAAGGGAGCACCAGAGATGGAGGAGTGAGAGCAGGCTTCTGCTCCACCTGAGCTGGTTAGGGAGCTCAGGACGAAACTCTGAGCGGGGCAGTGTGGTATGTGATGATCCCAGAGTCTGAGGAAGAGTGTCCTAAGTTCCTCACACTCTATCTCCAGGAGGAACTACGATCGCAGTCCAGCTGCAACCAAACATGCATGTCTTCCCGCCGTGGCTGGCTGCTTTCTGTCTGCCCCTCCAGGCCTCTTGGTGTTGCAGAGGAGGGGGTAGGAGAGGGAAAGGGAACGGTTCCAGGTCACCTCTAAACCCTCTAGAAATGAAATGGGAATGAAGCAGGTCACAAACTCAGCATGCAGGGCTGGCTTCCCGGGAGGTAGATGGGAGTGGGACGGGATAGCAGGTGTGGAGAGGACAGGAAGGGAAACAGGAAGAAACTGAGCGACACCTGCCAGGAAGGTCAAGAAGCAATGAAAAGGACAAAGACAATATGAAATCTGCATGAAAAGACAGGTCCTTTTCTGGCAGATTAGAGAATCAACATTTTCAGTACAACTCATAACGCTACTTTCCTAACTGCAGTACCCGAGTCCCCAGCGCCTGTCTCTATGATCCAACCCCCATTTCACTGCTCCCAAGACTTTGCTCTCCATTTTATCAAGGCCTCCAATCATTTTGTGCTGAGTGTGAAGGCTCCAATGTGAAAGCAGGGTCTACCACAGGGACGTGCAGACTTGACCTTTGTGACCCAATCATTTTATAGCTATCGCAGCATAGGAGGGGGGCACACTTTTCTTTCTTTTTTTTTTCTTTTTCTTTTTTTAATAAAAAAGGTTTTACTCCCCAGGAGCAAATAAATCATTTTGAACTACTGATAAACACTGCTGCAGTGAAAAGAAAGATGGCTACATGTATGCAATAGCACAAATTCAGTGGAAGAACAGCTGTGTTGACGATTAGAGATAAAAATCACTTATCCATTCCCTCCTTTCCCACAAACCAAACCGAGGATTCCCATAGGGAAAATGTCTAACTCAATAGCTCCTCCCTTACATGACAGGGGGTGTGTCATTCTCTTAACAGTGGAAAACAAATGCCAGGTCTCCGCCCAGTGGAGATGCTCTTAACACCCTAACTGGTAGCAAGACTTCTGCAAATGAGGACACACACACACACACACATGCATGCATATGCACACACACAGACTCAGACCTCCTTCCAGCAGCCATAGAGCTTTATCCCAGTGTCTTGTCCACTAACTTTAGGGCTCCAAAGCTAAGGGAGCGAGGCAGCAGGGAAGGGAAAGATCTAACTGAAGGAAAAAGCTCCTCCTCGCCCCAGTTTCTGCAGGGAGCAGAGGGCTTCAAGCAGGCCATGCTTTCCTGGGGGCCCTGGGGTGAGGGCTGACACGGCTGGATTCCAGGGCACTTCTGGTTCTACTCCCACCTCTCACCCCTAGACCTAGGAACTATAATTACCCCCACTCCCTAATTCTTCCTGGATGTCTGTTACAGGGGTGTCTGCAGCTATCTCCACACCATCCCCAACCTCAAGGGGGGCTTACATCATTAGCCCAAGTGAAATGTAGGGAAGGGGAAGGAGCAGGAGCCATGCAGGAGTTTCCTTTGGCCACACCTTTCTCCTCAGGGAGGTGGCGCCACCTCCATGGCTCAGGTTCCAAGATGTAACATTCACTTGGCCTAGGCACAGGCAGGTGACCAGGCAAAGGTCAGCACCAATGGTCCCAAAGAGCCGGTTGCCACCCACTTACCTAGTGCCCACACCAAAACCCCCGCCCGCCTACTCCTGTGCTACCAACATAGCACACGAATTTCAAGTAACAGCAAGTTGTAGCAGTAGTTGTCACTGGCTCACAGCAGCTCACTCTCAACCTGAGGAAGGTTACAGTAGATCAGTCATAAACAGGTGAGGGTTATGCAGGCACTGAGGCCACTGATATCACCCACCCACAACTTAGGAATCAACAGTGGGTCCCTAGATGTAAGCCTTTTCCAATTTGTGACTTGAAAATACAACCAGAAAGAAATTATTTATTTTTTTTGAGATGGAGTCTCACTCTGTCGTCTAGGCTAGAGGGCAGTGGCGCAATCTCGGCTCAGTGCAACCTCCGCCTCCTGGGTTCAAGCAATTCTCCTGTCTCAGCCTCCCAAGTAGCTGGGACTACAGGCGCATGCCACCATGCCCAGCTAATTTTTGTATTTTAGTAGAGATAGGGTTTCACTGTTTGGCCAAGCTGGTCTTGAACTCCCGACCTCATGATCCACCCACCTCAGCCTCCCAAAGTGCTGGGATTACAGGCGTGAGCCACCGCGCCCAGACCTAGAAAGGAATACATTTAAATGAGCTCTGCACAGCACTGGCGAAGGAGGGACGGGCCTGGTCAGGGAGGTGAAGGGCAGGTGCTGCCACACCTGTTCCTCTGCTCCATTTACTCTCTGACCAGGCTGTATCCCAGAGAGCTGGCCCAGCCCCATGCCTCCCCCTCATCTTCCCCTAACTGCTCTGTGCAAGGCCACCCATGCAGGCACCAAACACCCACACCTGACGAAGACTGTCTCCTCTTGCGCTGCTGTTTTGCAGCCCACTCCACAGAGAAAGGACTAGGCTGCGGCCAGGGCTGGGACCAGTGCACTGACACAGACACAGTTCAACACGACACTCCCCAGGAGGAGAAAGGTGGGTGGTGAGGTTGGGTCACACCTCCTCAGTTGGTTTGTTTTGTACCTGAATGTATGAGTTCTCCAGAAGAAACCCCAGTAACACAGGGGGTGCGGAGGCTCTGCCTCCCTCACATGGCCTGAGCTGACCATAGTGAGGCCCTGGCAATGGGCAGGAGCCTTGCTGACTCCTTTGGGCTTTGGGCTCCACCTCACCATCATAACCCCTCGGCACTCAGGTCTGCCTGGTGGCTGGGAAGCTTCCATCTAGAAAACCGCACTGGAAAGGATTCTTTAACCATGTTGCTCTAACAGGGCTGTGCACTGTTCAGTACATGCCATGCAGATTTCTGCTTCCTTGCTTTTGCTCATGTGTTTTTCATCTCACTGTCTGTCCTGCCATTGACTACAACCCAAAGCCTCAGAGGCACAGAACTTTCCCAGACCATCTGGTCTACCCTGATCTTATCTACTATAAACGTCTTTAGATAGTCCTTGATTTTCTGCTTGATGTGCAGCAGTCACCTAAAAGCTCCCTTAGGCCACATATTACGTCTTTTACCTTTTTTGTTTTCTACAATATCTAGCGCAAAGCCAGGCACACACACACTAAAAAATAATATTAAAATTATGGGTGGTTGAAAAGGAACAAAAAAAAGAAAGATCCCAGGCTGTATATCAGCCACCCAAGGATCTCAACAGATTCCAACTTCAGGCTCTATATTGGGGTGGCACTTCCTGCAAGATGGCGAGTTATATTACTTGTACTCTCACGAGGCAACACTCACATGCTAAGCCAATTTCTGGGATCACAATCTTGCTTAGTTGGTAATACTACCATGGAAGCCAAGGAAAGAAGAGGTACCACATGACAAATCAGAGGTGGGCTGTGTTTATGGTGCACAGCTCATCTTGTGGGCCACCCTTCCACAGTCAGGTAATGGTGCAAGTTTCCTCCCTGTTCAGCTACAAGGAGGAAGACTGGTCACTCCACGTGGGACTAAGGAAGAAGGCAATGCTCCCAGATGAGGCAGTCCTATAAATTACCAGGACACTGGGGCCCCACCCAAACCATCAGGAAGCCACAAACCTGACATTAGTATCTGTCTTGTGACACGAGGCAACTATAAGCATGGGGAACCCAGAAAGAGAGTCCCATGGAACACACGCAAAGGAGTCATGAAGACCCAACAGCTCCACTGTTACATCTCAATAGCAAACCTCTCCCCAGAGCAGCTCTATAAGAAAGCAAACTCACAATGTCATATGAATTGGCCATGGCCAGCTGCAGAAACCATTAAAGACCATTGGAGTTTTTCTCCCCGCTCCTCCTGAAAGCAGGGACAGGCAGCTCTCAAATCGGCATCTGGCAGACTTTCCAGTGAGTGGAGACCAGCAGGATCTGATCCGGAAATGTCTGGGTTGCTAGAATGAACACAAGAAAATACAGAAGCCCTTGCTACCTCCCATCCCAGAAGTGGGATGGCAGTGATAAACCTAAAAACGTGAGATGCGATGCTCTCCTCTGACCTAAGGAAATCCCGTGAGGGCTGCGTTCTGAGAGCTTCCTCTAGGAAGAGCACAACTGTGGGAGCTGTATTTCTCACCTTCCTCCACATTCCCCCTCACAAGCTGACAGGCACATGGAAGTAACACTCACTCCTAAGTCATGAGTACAGTTTGCCATGAAGAACCTGGAAACATGCTCCATTAAATTCAGCAGCCCATGACTGGCTCTGAACCGCCCAGGTGATGGGAAACACGATTGCCATGACAGCTGGCAGAAGCAATAGGGATGCTGTTACCATGATCAGAGTGACATGTACAGTTATCTCAAGGGGCAATGGGTTGAGAGCAGAGGAAGAACGGGGTTAACTTCAGGTCATGGAACTTAAGGAATTAAGTAAATCACAACTAGTACAGCTTCCATGAGAGGTGTTTCTGAACTCAGGTTCCTAAACCTTAAAAAAGGATGCAGGAGTCACTACTTCTCCCAGCTAAGGCCAATTGGCTAGGTTTTGCCCAATATTCTTTTCGAGACCACCCACCCTCCTTTCTCTCCTGCTCCTACAACAGCTGCCCATGGCAACAAGAGGCAGATTCCCCCTTCCTCAGGAACTCCCAGTCCTTTGCAAACCTCAAGCCCCTCCTCCCATCTTCCAGGCCCACAGCACAGACTCTAACTCTGCCTTTGGCACCAGCTGAATGGCCGTCCCCTGTTCCCTCCTCCCACCCCTTCTTTGGACCTGCTCACCCTTCGCACCACTTTCAATCCAACGGGCACAAACCCCAACTGCCTTCAAGGTGAGTTTTCCATACCAAGTAATATAAATATCAAAAACAAAACTTCTGAAAAAGAAACAGTGTTGAGACTTCTTCCAGTTTTCCAAGGAGCCCCTCCAGTCCTAAGATGCCCAGGGGTGGGTGTGAGGTGGAGCCCCACGCAGAGTACGGTCATGTGCTTCTTCCAAGCCCCAGGGCTGCGTGGGGAACCAAAGTCTCTGCACAGAGAATCCCAACCTTCCTGTTCCCTCACTTTTCCTCTTCTTTTCATGGTAGCTTAATTTGGTTCTTCAAAGCTGGAGCTTGGCAACCAAATGCCTAGGTAGAAAAGGAAAAAAAATTAAAACAGTTCAACAGAATAGAACCAAAATGGAGTGAAATAACAGCCAGCCACTGGAGGTGGAGCAGCACACCTCAAAAGGAGAACGGAGCCTGGAGAGCTGAACGCTTCCATGAGGGCCACATGTGACTAGGGATGCAGCAGTGGCCTTTGTCAGGGGGACCTGAGCAGCCTATGACTTGGATGACAAAACAAGGTCCTGAAATAACTAATAAATACATCCTACCACATTGCATAAATTCTCTCTTTCCCTTTCCCTTACCCCTTCATTTCCTACCCATTTTTTCCCTGAGGCTCAATTGCTCTAGGGACTGAAAAGGGAAGTAAGCCCCTGGAGTAACCCCTTTTGAACCTGGCAAGAAAGAGCTCTATATTTCTTTCTTTCTTTTTTTTTTTTTTTTTTGAGACGGAGTCTCGCTCTGTCACCCAGGCTGGAGTGCAAAGGCATGATCTTGGCTCACTGCAATCTCCACTTCCTGGGTTCAAGATTCTCCTGTCTCAGCCTCCCAAGTAGCTGGGATTACAGGCATGCGCCACCATGCCTGGCTAATTTTGTATTTTTAGTAGAGACAGGGTTTCACCATGTTGGCCAGGCTGGTCTCAAACTCCTGACCTCGTGATGAGCCCGCCTTGGCCTCCCAAACTGCTGGGATTACAGACGTGAACCATCACACCTGGCCAGAGAGCTCTGTATTTCTGCAGCTTCTGTCAACTGGACAGGGTTGACACAGAAACACAAAGGCCACTGTTGCTTCCACCTTCCGACTTGAGACAGGCACTGTTCTAGCCATTACTCTATAGTCTGACTCCAAACCCCCTGGCATGAAATTCCCCAGGTAACAGCACACATAGACCAAGCAGGCCATTCAGAACTCCCAAATTAAAATCAGCCTGAACAACAAGAAGTCATAAAGGCCAAATTTCATACCCTAAAGACCTTTCCCAATGGGGCACAGTGGCTCATGCCTGTAATCCCAGAACTTTGGGAGGCCAAGGTGGGTGGATCACTTGAGTGAGGTCAGGAGTTTGAGACCCAACTGACAAACGTGGTGAAACCCAGTCTACTAAAAATACAAAATTAGCCAGGCGTGGTGGTGCACACCTGTAATCCCAGCCTCCCACTGGGAGGCTGAGGTGGGAGAATTGCTTGAACCCGGGAGATGGAGGTTGCAGTGAGCCAAGATCACGCCATTGCACTCCAGCCCGGGCAACAAGAGCGAAACTCCATCTCAAAAAAAAAAAAAAAAAAGACCTTTCCCTTGGGAAGTGTTACTTCCTCCCTTTCCAGGGCTCCTAGGGTCTACACCAGGAGCAAGTTCAGCATTACGCTTACTCTTTGTCACAGGCATCAATACTGATGTCACAGCAAAAAGGGATCCTGGGAGTTCAGTTCAAACCTTCGCCAATATATGACTGCCCCCAACACTCAAGACAAATGGCTACCCACTGGCCTGTTCCTGATCATGCCACGTCCTTCCCAGCTGAGGCAGGGCCTTTATACCTCTAGGTCCCCTTGCCCAGAATGCTCTGCTCCAAGGCACTCCCATGGCTGGCTCCTTGATATTTGGGTATCGGCTGAAATGGCACCTCCTCACAAGTCTCTCCCTGACCATCTAAACTTGAGGAGTATCCCACCACTAATCACTAAACTTTACCCAGTTTTACTTTCCTCACAACACTGTACAGTCACCTGAAATTAGCCCATTCATTTATGTTCATGTTTGCTGCCTGTCTTTCCTTAGGAGAAGGGAAGCTGAGTGAAAACAGGGCCTTTGCTTTGCTCAGCACTCTATTCTCAATTCATACTGGGTGCCAAATAAACACAAATATACAGCTATCTGCTGAATGGAAGCTCTTGAGGAAAACCATCCCAGTTTTGGACGTCTCTGTTAAAAAGGTTCTTGTAAAGTTGGACTGAAATCTAGTTCCTTGTAACTTACATTCATTTTGGTCCTTATCCATGTCTCTTTTTGCTGTGACATGGGAGGGCCTTGGGGCAGAGCATTCTGGGCAAGGGGACCTAGAGGTATAAAGGCCCTGCCTCAACTGGGAAAGGTGTGGCATGATCAGGAACAGGCCGGCAGGGAGCCACTTGTCTTGAGTGTTGGGAGCAGTCACGCACTGGCAAAGGTTTGAACTGAACTCTCAGGATCTCTTTTTGCTGTGACATCAGGATTGTTGCCTGTGGCAAAGAATAAGCGTAATGCTGAACTTGCTCCCCACTGGAACCACAGAGAGGAGGTTAATCACTCTCTTCCTTAGGAAAACCCATCAAATGCATCTTTCAGCTATCCCTCCCTAAAACCTCCGTGCTCTGGGTTAATCACATTTCTTTCTAGGCCATTTATTCCCATATGATGAAGTTTGAGCTCTCCAATGCCACAAGGCCTTTCTCTGAACATGCTCCCTGTTTATATGGGTTCTTCTACAGCACTGCACCCACAGACGTGGTCCTCTAACTGAATGGCCTAATTACTCTTCAAGGGTAGTCAGGTAGGTGGACCTCCCTAGTGCTCTACCTCTCACCCTAATCTCAACTGCAAAGCCATCATGCAGAGAAATCCACCTAGACACAAGACATTAGATATTTAGTCATTTCCAAAGGCATACAATTTGCATATAATTGAAGACATGATGAGACTGTACATCTACTCCAGGATCCACACCAGAAGAAAGCAGTCACTGCACACTGGCAGTCAATCTTGCTTGTCACCACCACCACCAAAGTCATGGCTCCCTGGCAATTGTGTTCCCTACTCAGGAACTTGGCCCCACAATGTTCACTTTAGTGCAATTTAAAAGACTAATTGGAATTCATCTGCACAAACCAGTATTGCAAGATGTTTTATGGGAAAATAAATGGGTAGAACTGTGTAATGATGGGAGAAGAGCCTCGTAGATAAATGAATTCCTTAGTTTCAACAATTTACTTTGTAATGGCCCAAATGGAACGCTAAATAGAAGAGTGGGCTGTTTTTCCTCATCCCCATATTCCAAGCTGTGGGACATGGTGGAGTCTCACTGAAGTGCATGCCTGTTGCAATTAAAGGCATGTTTGCATTCTCTTTGATGAAGTTTCCTTTCCCTTTAGCTTCCTGCTTTATATGCCATTTGTGCAGTATCAGGGAGATCAGCCCAAGTCTGTATGAGAGGAGGCTGCACTCTTCTTCTTATTTTTTTCAATTACCCTCTCCTTGCCAGAGGCCGCACTCTTAGCTACACTTGGGTGTCCCCCTCCTTGCTCACATTCAGTGATTAGCTTGCACGTTTCCTGGCAATCTACTTTCATGTCTTTCTCGTCTGTCTGCTTTTCTCCCAAATGGGGTGTGTGCCCCTTGAGGACTCCACGGTCAGATCTTGTCATTCTATGGGCAAATGCCTGGATCGGGGCTATCCATGTTGGGAGTTGTGGGGAGGGGGCCCAAGGCTCAATGCATGATGATGACTGCCCAGGAAGAAATGTGGCTGGGCAGTGAGGCAGAGAGCTCATACCCTTGGTGGTGACCAGCAGGGAGCCCCTCGCTACGTGGAGGGTTCCACCTCTTGCTTCTGTTTGGAAATGAGCTGCGCTTCCTTTAGAGACAGGTATACCTCTTCCTGAGGATCATAGTAGTAGAACTTTCGGATATAAGAGATCAGAGGTCTGTGAAAAACAAATGACGGATATACACAAAAGGTTTTTATACAAAATATAAAAGAAGTAACTCCTTTGTTCAACTCTTCTTCACTCCCTACATGGTTGAGACCTAACACAATCCCCATTTTCTCAGTTATTATAGTTCTGTCTTCCTTACTCTTACCACTTCTACTCTATTCTTCCTAGAGACTGCAGAAGGAAGGCTGACACACACACCTTCCTCCCTCTGGCTGCAATATGACAGTTCTAGAGTTAGGTGCTAAGACACAGGAAATGTGTAAGAATGACATCTGCAAATATTTTATGCCAGACTCTGCCTGTGAAGGTAGCTTGCAGGCCTCACTGACATTGTTACCTCCCCACAACCCCCTTACTCATTCCTGTCCCAAACCTGACAACCCCATTGTACTTAGGCAGTGGGAGATCTGGGATGTGATCTATCCTGACGAGCTGTCGTATCCGGAATCTGCAAAGGTGCTGGAGGGATTTGACATTGCTGAATCGGGACACTGGATAGAGCAGCTGGACAGGAGTTGGTGGCAGTCCTTCAAGAAAGAAAACAAAGGAAAGTATTCAGAGGAAACAATGGAGCTAACTACCATTTCTTGTATGAAGAGAACCTAGGGAGGGGAAATGGGACTTCTTTATGGTTCATATATGTATTCTGTGCAAAAGCCCCTCCACAAAGTGCTGTTGATTTCCATTTCCAGAAGCACCACCACCACATTCACAATTAAGGAAATCCATTCTCTGCCAAAGGCCTCCCTAGCATCACTTTTTTGTGTGTCTTTTGTTTTGTTTTTTGAGACAGGGTCTCGTTCTGTCACCCAGGCTGGAGTGCAGTGGCCCAGTCTCAGCTCACTGCAGCCTTGACCTCCCAGACTCAAGCAATCCTCCCGCCTCAGCCTCCTGAGTAGCTGGGACCACAGATGCATGCCATCGTACCCAGATAATTTTTGTATTTTTAGTAGAGACGGGGTTTCCCCATGTTGCCCAGGCTAGTCTCGAACTCCTGGGCTCAAGCAATCCACTCGCCTCAGCCTCCCAAAGTGCTAGGATTACAGGCGTGAGCCACTGTGCCTGGCTCCTAGCATCACTCATAACAGCTGAGAGTCCTGCTCCTCGGAGTAGCCCAATTATGCCAAACTAGAGACACTGCTTGGACCCAAGTGGCCAATCCCAGGCCTGAGGCTCTCGGGAAGGCCAAGAATCAAAAGTATCCCTGCTGGGAATGGGAGATACTTGTTGGGCACATCTAGCAGTATCCTGAAGGTGAGGACCCAGAAAAGCCGTTCAGAGGAGTCCCCACCAAATTCCAATTGGTTCAGCAGAGGCTGGTTCAGCAGAGAGGCTGGTTCAGCAGGGAGGCTGGTAAGTAGAAGGTAACAGCTAGGATCAAAGTTAACAAGCCTATTATTCCTGCCATTATTTCAAGCCAGGATAATCAGGTTTAGCTACCTTTTATACCCAACCCCCATAACCCCCAGTTCCTGCTTCTGAAATTTTAGGCCAGGAGACCAAAAAAAGATGATGCTTTTAAAAGAACAACTACAATCGCTTGGGCAAGCTAGGATTAGTACCGCTCAGTGCAAACCCGCCTGCTGATTGATGCCAAATAGACTCAATGGGAGTACCACACCCTTATGTATTAGCAGGCTCTGTGCTGGGGAATCCCACCCCAAAAAGGGCCCCACGCCACAGCATGGAGACATCCAGAATGGCAGGAACACTGGGATTCAAGGGAACTAAGAATATTTTGCTTTCAATAAACAAAGGGGCTATGGAAGGTAAACAAGATTCTTTGAGAAAATCTGAGTTGCAAAACCTGTCAAAGAATTCTCAGCCATTGTCATATCAAAAGACATTCTATAGACACAACTGATTGGAAAATAAAATATCTACTATTATTGGGGTTTAAGTTCAAATAGTTTTTTTGTTTGTTTGTTTGTTTTTTGAGGCGGAGTCTTGCTCTGTCGCCCAGGCTGGGGTGCAGTGGCGCGATCTCGGCTCACTACAAGCTCTGCCTCCCGGGTTCATGCCATTCTCCTGCCTCAGCCTCCCGAGTAGCTGGGATTACAGGCACCCACCACCACGCCGGGCTAATTTTTTGTATTTTCAGTAGGGACGGGGTTTCACTGTGTTAACCAGGATGGTCTTGATCTCCTGACCTTGTGATCCGCCCACCTCAGCCTCCCAAAGTGTTTGTTTGTTTTTTTAAGACAGAGTCTTGCTCTTGTCACCCAGGCTGGAGTGCAGTGGCGCGATTTTGACTCACTGCAAGCTCCAACTCCTAGGTTCAAGCGATTCTCCTGCCTTAGCCTCTCGAGTAGCTGGGATTACAGGCGCCCGCCACCACACCCAGCTAATATTTGTATTTTTAGTAGAGACGGGGTTTCACCATGTTGGCTAGTCTAGTTTCGAACTCCTGACCTCAGGTGATCCACCTGCCTCAGCCTCCCAAAGTGCTGGGATTATAGGCATGAGCCACCATGCCCGGCCCAGATAGTTTTAAAATTTTATTTGAAGGCATGAAAACAAAACAAATGAAAGCATGTACACCGCATCCCAAGGCCTTTCCATGATCACTGACAACATACTTTCCGGGGGAAAAAAAAAATCAAAATACATTATTTTATTGTTACTGAACAAGTTAAGCTCATCTTAAAAACATTTAACTCAGGCTGGGTGCAGTGGCACACGCCTATAATCCTAGTACTTTGGGAGACCAAGGAGATAAGATCACTTGAGGCCAGGAACTCGAGGCTACAGTGAGCCAAGATTGTGCCGCTGCACTCCAGCCTAGGTGACAAAGTATGACCCTGTCTCTAAAAAAAAAACAAAAATAATAATGATAACTTATTTAGTCTTTAAAACTATACTTTGAGGCAAACACCACCATCCCCATTTCACATATAAAGAAACTGAGGCCCACTGAGCTTAGAGAACTTGCTGTGGCATGGAGCCACTAAAGCCGGCCTGCCTTGAACACCTGCCCTAAGGAAGAATTATCGGTAGCTCTGCCATAGCCGAGGAACCTCTCAGCAGGGTTCTCCAGGAGGGTCTCTAGAGTGCCTGCACCTCTGCCCATCTAACAAGGAGGTTGTCCAGGACAGTCACAGCACTCTGGTTCATGACCAGCCTCTCCTAGTCCCCTCCCTGGCACTCCCACCCCTTCAAAACTAAGTCTTGTATTTTGAAGCCCTACTTCTCTCCTCTACCCACATGGCTGGTCCTCTCCATTAAAAGAAAAGAAAAAGAACTCACACGTGAATTTCTCACCTGAATATATTTAACTCAAGTGGTTTTAAGAAATAATTTTGGGTTCAAATGCCTCTTTGAATTTGTCCTGTCCCTCACTGGTATTTATATATTCTTTAGTAAATTAAACTGTGGCAAACAGAAAGCTTTGGGGGATTGGCTGTAATACTGGTAAACTCAACATGATGTTTCAGAGATAAAAGTAATTTATACATCTAATAATTTATTCCCAAAGATAACACTGTGCTTAAAGAGATCAGGATAATATGCAACATACAATTATCTGATTGTTTGCCTACTTGAATTTTAATGACCACATATACTTGCCTATTTAATTGTATTACTTTTAGCCTTTAGGTTTACAAATAGCAATTTGAAACCTGTTAATTTTCTGATATTCCCTGGTATTAATCTGACCATTTACTGTTTGCCCACAAACGCCAACAAACAATTAGAACTCTCACATTTAGAGCATGCTAACAGAAGCAGTTCAAAATGTGAAGAATCCAGGATAAGACCCAACTGGGACTAAAAGAGTAAGGGTGAAGTCGAACATTAATCGTCAGTAACTTTCTTCCAGTCCTCATGCCAGAGGTCCTGGGCACAAACCTAGTTTCTAGCCATGCACTATTTTTCGTTTCTCCCAACAAAGACCATGTTAGGGGTAAGAAATCTCTTCCAGGTATAAACACCCAAATACCCATGTCTTTCTGCCACACCAAAGGTTTTTCTGACCCCTGAAGACAGAATCAGATAAGGAATCACATCTGTTTCACATTCCAGATCTCATTTTCTTAACAGTGTAAGTAAAAAGAGAATAAACTAGGGAGTCTAGTTGACTTATATGTAATCCTCCAAGAAGAAAAAAACAAGCACAAGGTCAAAAGTAAAAGAAGGCCCAGTGCGGTGGCTCACGCCTGTAATCCCAGCACCTTGGGAGGCTGAGGTGGGAGGACTGCTTGAGCCCAGGAGTTCAAGATTGGCCTGGGCAACATAGGGAGGGAGACCTTACCTCTACAAAAATTAAAATTAAAAAAATTAGCCAGGCATTGTGGTGCACAACAGTGGTCCCAGCTACTCAGGAGGCTTAAGTGGGAGGACTGCTTAAGCCCAGAAGGCTGAGGCTGCAGTGAGCTATGATTGTACCACTGCACTCCAGCCTGAGTGATAGGGTAAGACCCTGTCTAAAAAAAAGATATTCAGCTAACAGTGAAGCACTGTTTTTTAATATCCCACTCCTTTCTTCAGCTTGAAACAGCTTAAGAAAAACTAAACAATAGTTTAGCTTAGTGGGAGCAGGGGTGAGAGGGCAGAAGATTCACTTTTCCTTATATTCCCTTGCGCACTATTTGACCTTTTTACCACATACATGTTATTTCACAATTTAAAAAGAAATACATAATAGAACTAATAAATGAGTTATGCAAGTTTACAGGATATAACATGAATGTGCAAAAAGCAATTAAATTTCTATACTCTAGCTATAAACAATCCAAAAATAATTAAAATTAAGAAAACAATTTACAATAGGATCAAAAACAAATACTAAAAAATAAATTTAACAAAAGAAATACAAAACTTATATTATGAAAAAATATGGGCCAGGCACAGTGGCTCATACCTATAATCCCAGCACTTTGGGAGGCTGAGGCGAGGTGGATGGCTTGAGCCAAAGGGTTAGAAACCAGCCTGGGCAATGCGGTGAGACCCCATCTCTACTAAAAATATAAAGATCAGCTGGGCATGGTTGTGTGTGCCTATAGTCCCAGCTACACAGGAGGCTGAAGTGGAGGACACACTGGGCCAGGGAGGTGGAGGTTGTAGTTAGTGAGCCAGGCACCACTGCACTCCAGACTGGGTGACAGTGGGACAAAAAAAAAAAAAAAGACAGAAAGAAAGAGAAGGAAGGAAGGAAGGAAGGAAGGAAGGAAGGAAGGAAGGAAGGAAGGAAAACGAACAAAAGAAAAAATATAAAACATTGTTCAAAGAGTTTTTAAAAAGACCTAAATAAGCAGAAAGACAGCCTATGTCCATGGATCAGAAGACATAATATTGTTGACATGCCAATATTCCCTCCCCAAATTGATGTACTGACTCAACTCCACACTCTTGCCAACATGGGGGTATTAAAATCTCAGTAGGCTTCTTTGCAGAAATTGACAATCTGATCCTAAAATTCATATGGAAATGCAAGAGACCCAAAATAGTCAAAACCAACTTGAAAAACAACAAAGTTGGAGACTCACACTTTTCCATCTCAAAAAGTACTACAAAACTATAGGAATCAAGACAGTAATGGCATAAGGATGGACATACAACTCAATGGAATAGAACTGAGTCCGGAAATTAACCTTCACAGTTACAATCAACTGATTTCAACAAAGATGCCAAGACAATTCAATGGGGAAAGAGTATCTTTTCAACAAATGGCGCTAGAACAACTGAATATTCACATGAAAAAGAATAAAGTTGGACTCCTTTCTCATGCCATACACAAAAATTCAAGGCTGGGTACGGTGGCTCACACCTGTAATCCCAGAACTTTGAGAGGCTGAGGTGGGAGGATCACTTAAGGCCAGGAGGCGGAGGTTGCAGTGAGCCACGATCGTGCCACTGCACTCCAGCCTCGGTGACAGAGAGAGACTCTGTCTCTCTCTCTCTCACTCTCTCTCTCTCTCTCTCTCTATATATATATATATGTACATATATATATATATATGTACATATATATATATGTACATATATATGTACATATATATATATGTACATATATATATATATGTACATATATATATGTACATATATATATATATACACACACATACACACCAAACAAAAAAATTAAAAAACAAAAATTAACTCAAAACGGATAGTAGACCTAATGTAAAAGCTAAAAGTTTAAGTCTCCTAGAAGAAAATATAGGCATTAAGCTCCATCACCTTTGGTTAGGCAAACTTTTCTAAATATAACAAGCAAAAAAAAAAAAAAAAGTTGGAATAGGAACTCATCAAAATCCTTCATGCTTCAAAGAATACCATCAAGAAAGTAAAAAGACAACCCACAGAATGGGAGAAAATATTTGTAATTTATATCTGACAAGGGACTTGTATCCAGAATATATAAAGAACTTTATTTTTTGAGATAAAATAAAAGCTGGAGTGCAGTGGCGTGATCTCGGTTCACTGCAACCTCCACCTCCTGGACTCAAGCAATCCTCCCATCTCAGTCTTCCAAGTAGCTAGGACTACAGACATGCACCACCACACTGGGCTAATTTTTAAATTTTTTGTAGAGACAGTGTCTCCCTGTATTGCCCAGGCAGGTCTTGAGCTCCTGGGCTCAAGCAATCCTCCTGCCCTGGCCTCCCTAAGTACTGGGCTTATAGGCACCATACCCAGCCTGTAAAGAACTCATAACTCAATAAGAAGACAAATAGCTCAATTATAAAATGAGCAAAGGTTGTGAATAGAGATACAATAGCCAATAAGCAGATGAAAAGATGTTAACATCATTAGTCATTAGGGAAATGCAAATCAAAACCACAATGAGCTACCACTTCATACTCACTAGGATGGCTATATTCAAAAAGATGGACAATAACAAAATCTTGGGTGCAATTGTTTTGGGAGTCTGGCATGGGGTTAAATATGGGATTACCATATGACCCAGCAATTTCACGCCTAGGAATATATCCAAGAGAATTGAAAAGATATTCACATAAACAGCTGTACATGAATGTTCAAAGAAGCATTATTTATTTCATAATAGCCAAAAACTGGAAACAACCTAAAGAATGGAGAAACAAAATGTGGTACATCCAGAGTGGAATGTTATTCAGTCATAAAAAAGAATGCTGTGCTGACAGATGCTACAACACTGGTGAACTTTGAAAACATTATGCTAAGTAAAAGAAACAAGACATAAAAATATTGTATGATTCCATTTATGTGAAATGTACCAAACAGTCAAATCCATAGAAACGGAAAACAGATTAGTGGTTGGTAGGGGCCAGGAAGTAGAGGGAATACGGAGTAACTGCTAATAGTCTGAGGTTTTCATTTTGGTGTGATGAAAACATTCTAAAATTGATTGTGGTGACTGTTGTACAACTCTGTGAATATACTAAAAACCACTGAATTGCACAGTATTTTTTTTTCTTGAGACACAGTCTTGTTCTGTCTTCACCCAGGATGAAGTACAGTGGTGTGATCTCAGCTTACTGCAACCTCTGCCTCCTGGGTTCAAGCAATTCTCCTGCCTCAGCCTCCTGAGTAGCTGGGACTACACGTGCTCACCACCGCTCCTAGCTAATTTTTGTATTTTTTTTTTTTATCAAGATGGGGTTTCATGCCATGTTGTCCAGGCTGGACTTGAACCCCTAGGCTCAAGTAATCTACCTTCTTTGGCCTTGAATCACACATTTTAAATGGGTGAATTTCATGTTATGTGAATTATATCTCAATAAAGCTGTTAGATAAAAGCAAGGAAGGAAGGGAGGGAGAGAGGGAAAAATACCCCGACATGAAGAGCCTTCTGCTGGTTAAAGGTGAGACAATACGAGCTTCAATAATTATAACTGTAATGAATTAAAAGCCATTAAGTGGGCCAGGCACGGTGGTTCACACCTATGCCTATAATCCTAGCACTTTGGGAGGCCAATGCAGTTGGATCACCTGAGGTCAGGAGTTCGAGACCAGCCTGGCCAACATGGCGAAATCCCGTCTCTACTAAAAATACAAAAAAATTAGCCAGGTGTAGTGGCACGTGCCTGTAATCCCAGCTACATGGGAGGCTGGGGCAGGAGAATCGCTTGAACCCGGGAGTCGGAGGTTGCAGTGAGCCAAGATCACGCCACTGCACTCTAGCCTGGGTGACAGAGTGAGACTCTGTCTCAAAAAAAAAAAAAAGAAAGCCATTAAGTATGTTTAATTCCATGAATTTTATATGTATATAATATATAGTATATATATAATATGTATAATATAAATATATAAATATATAAAATATATAGTATAATATATACAATATACAGTATAAACATATATAGTATATTGTATATATACTATATATAGTATATATATATTATACTGTATATAGTATATAATATACTGTATATAGTATATTATACTATATAGTATATAATATACTATATACTGTATATTATACTATATAGTATATATAATATACAATATATAGTATATATACAATATATAGTATATATAATATACAATATATAGTGTATATAATATACAATATATTGTATATATAATATACAATATATTGTGTATATAATATATACAATATATTGTGTATATATATTATGTATTGTGTATATATATACTATATATTGTGTATATAATATATACAATATATTGTGTATATATATTATGTATTGTGTATATATATACTATATATTGTGTATATATGTATATATTTTTTTGAGACAGAGTCTCTCTGTCACCCAGGCTGGAGTGCAGTGGGGTGATCTCGGCTCACTGTAATCTCCACTTCCCAGGTTCAAGTGATTCTCCTGCCCCAGCCTCCCAAGTAGCTGGGATTACAGGTGCCCACCACCACGCCCGGCTATTTTTTTTGTATTTTTAGTAGAGGATGGGGTTTAGCTATGTTGGCCAGGCTGGTGTTTAACTCCTGACCTCAGGTGATCCAACTGCCTCGGCCTCCCAAAATGCTGGGATTACAGGCGTGAGTCACTGCACCTGGCTGAATTAATCATATATATATATATATACACACATATATATATATATACACACATATATATATATATATACACATATATATATATATACACACATATATATATATATACACACATATATATATATACACACATATATATATATATACACACATATATATATATATACACACATATATATATATATATATATATATTTTTTTTTTTTTTTTTTTTTTAAGATAAGAGTCTCGCTCTGTCGCCCAGGCTGAAATGCAGTGGCGCGATAGCTCACTGCAAGCTCTGCCTCCCGATTCACACCATTCTCCTGCCTCAGCCGCCCGAGTAGCTGGGACTATAGGTGCCCACCACCACGCCCAGCTAATTTTTTCTATTTTTTAGTAGAGACGGGGTTTCACCGTGTTAGCCAGGATGGTCTCAATCTCCTGACCTCATGATCCGCCCACCTCAGCCTCCCAAAGTGCTGGGATTACAGGCATGAGCCACTGTGCCCGGCCATTAATTATATTTTTCAAATGGTCACCTTCAAAGGATGATAGGGAACCAATTCGTTATCTTGAAAATTAGTAAATAAAGAAAAAGAGTCAAGCATTTATCCTGCTTTTTCTATATGAATTTGGTAAATAATAAATGAGGAGAAATGTCTCTATAAAACTATTCCATCTAATAAATAAAAAGTGATAAAATTAGAGTATCATCATTTTGCAACTCCCAATGAACAGCTGCTAAGATCACAAAAAGAGACACAACCAGACATCATGTGTTTCCTATGGGCATGCCAAATACTACCTATATAATCTTGCTAAAAGGATCAAGCCTCAGTTTTTTTGTTTGTTTCTGAGATACAGTCTCACTCTGTCACCCAGGCTGGAGTGCAGTGGCATGAACACAGCTCACTGTGGCCTTGACATCACAGACTCAAGCGATTACCCTGCCTCGGCCACCTGGCTAATTTTTTTTTTTTTTTTTTTTTTTTTTTTTTTTGAGACACAGCCTCCCTCTTTTGCCCAGGCTGAAGTGCAGTGGCACAATCTTGGCTCATTGCAACCTCCGCCTCCTGGGTTCAGGCCATTCTCCTGCCTCAGCCTCCCAAGTAGCTGGGATTACAGGTCTGGGCCACCATGCCTGGCTAATTTTTATATTTTTAGTGAGACAGGGTTTCCCCATGTTGGTCAGGCTGGTCTCAAACTCTTGACCTCAGGTGAGCCACCTGCCTCGGCCTCCCAAAGTGCTGGGATTACAGGCCTGAGCCACCGCGCCTGGCCTCGGCTAGTTTTTAATTTATTTTTTTGGTAGAGACAGGGTCTTACCATGCTGCCCAGGCAGGTCTTGAACTCCTGGGTATAAGCGATCCTCCTGCCTCACCTCCCAAAGTGCTGGGATTTTAGGCATGAGCTACTATTATATGTTCAGTCAAGCCTGAGTTTGAATCAGACTCCTGCTAATTTGTAAGAAATACAGAAGACAGGACAACATGCTAAACTCCAACAAGAGTACGTAATTAGTAAAATCCAAGGAAATTTTCCAGGTCAAACAGCCCAATTATTCAATAAGTAAATCGTAAGGAAATGAAAGAAAAAGCCACAGATTAAGATATTTAAAAGACATGAAATTTTTTTCAAATGAGCAATATCAAACTATAGTGTTCAGGGATATACACTGGGGTGATAAAAGCATTCATGGAAAAATGAAAGGAAGTGATTATTATAAAGACAGGTGTAGAGATTAGTATGGGGCACACGGAAGGATTTCTGGAGTGGCTGGAAAAGTTTTGGTTCCTTTGCCTGAGTGGTGTTCACCTTATAATAATATTAAACCATGCATATGATTTTTGTGGTTTTCTATTTAAAAAAAAAAAAAAAAGAAAAAAAATTCAGATGAAGTAATGCTGTCACGCTGCTCCCCCTCCCCAACGAATCCAAATTGGGTAAGCCTTTGAATTCAATTACCATTTTACAGGAAATTCAGAGTACAGAGGAACATATTAAACAACGTCATGGAGAAGCAATAGGTAAACTCCAAACATAACAATATTTTAAATATATAAATTGCAAGAAAAAAAGGGAAAAAGAAATGGAGGAAGAAAACTACAAATTAAAAAAGAAGTGCTGCTGGGCACGGTGGCTCACACCTGTAATCCCAGTACTTTGGGAGGCTGAGGCGGGTGGATCACGAGGTCAGCAGTTCAAGACCAACCTGACCAACATGATGAAACCCCGTCTCTACTAAAAATACAAAAAATTAGCTGGGCGTGGTGGCGGATGCCTGTAATCCCAGCAACTTGGGAGGCTGAGGCAGGAGAATTGCTCAAAACCGGAAGGCGGAGGTTGCAGTGAGCTGAGATTGCGCCACTGCACTCTAGCCTGGACAATAAGAGCAAAACTCCGTCAAAAAAAAAAAAAAAAAAAAAAAGAGCTGGGTGCAGTGGCTCACGCCTGTAATCCCAGCACTTTGGGAGGCTGAGGCGGGTGGATCACAAAGTCAGGAGTTCAAGACAAGCCTGACCAACATGGTAAAACCCTGCCTCTACTAAAAATTAAAAAATTAGCCAGGTGTGGTGGTGTGTGCCTGTAATCCCAGCTACTCAGGAGGCTGAGGCAGGAGAATCACTTGAACCCGGGATGTGGATGGTGGCAGTGAGCCGAGATCGCACCACTGCACTCCAGCCTGGGTGACAGAGGGAGACTCCATCTCAAAGAAAAAAAAAAGAAGCTGGGCATGGTGGTTCACACCTGTAATCTCAACACTTTGGGAGGCTAAGAAGGGAAGATCACTTGAGCCCAGGAGTTCATGACCAGCCTGTGCAACATAGAAACACCTTGTCTCAACAAAAAAATTGAAAAATTAGCCGAGCATGGTGGCCCATGCCTGTAGTCCTAGCTACTTGGGAGGCTGAGGTGGGAGGATCACTTGAGCCTGGGAGGTCAAGGCATGATTGCACTACTGTACTCCAGCCTGAGTGACAGAGTGAGACCCTGTCTCAAAACAAAACAAAACAAAACAAAAGTATATTTAAACACTAAACACTAATATGCAATGAAGAAGTGGACAGGTATACAAACAGGGCAGGAGTGGCCATGGGCTGATGGTTGCTGGGGCTGGGTGATGGATACACAGGGTTTATTACACCATTCTGCACACCATACAAATAAACATAAAGCAGGTAATAAGCCAGGAATAAGTCTAGTTTGCAAATATCCTCAAGGGAGTCTTACGGTGTTGCTAAAGGGGGTCATGCAGCCAGAGCAAGGAGGGGAGCCCCATCAGTGGCATGACTCTGTACCTATAAAACAAGGACGAACCGCTTACTGGGGAGATGCTCAGAGACACTGGTCACAAATCCCCAGGAAAGGACTCCTGGCTTCTTTCACAAGCGTAAGTGAAATAACCTCTTCTGAGTATGTCTAATATCTCATCAGCAAATGTTTGAGTGTTCTAATATACAAAATAATATAGAGCAGGCTGGGCGCGGTGGCTCACCCCTGTAATCCCAGCACTTTGGGAGGCCGAGGCGGGTGGATCACCTAAGGTCAGGAGTTCGAGACCAGCCTGACCAATATGGTGAAACCCCGTCTCTAAAAAATACAAAAATTTAGCCGGGCGTGATGGTGGGCGCCTATAATCCCAGCTACTCAGGAGAATTGCTTGAACCCAGGAGGCAGAGGTTGCGATGAGCCGAGATTGCGCCACTGCACTCCAGCCTGGGCATAACAAAGTGAGACTTCATCTCAAAATAATATAGAGCTAAGGAAAGACAGTTCTTGCTCTGGATGACCTGGCAATCAGACAGGTAAGATAAAATAACGACAAAGGGCATCTCAAAGGATATCACAAGGATATCTGAGGGGCCACCCAGAGTATCATTCAACACATATTATCTTGGGTACCACCTTTATAGGGCCAGGAGAACACCAGAGATACCACCTTAAACACTTCCTATGCACCTACATCTTAGAGAGCACTGAGAAAAGTAACATCTGTTGAGTGCTTACTCTGTGTCAGGCATTGTCTTAAATATTTTACATGAGTTAACTCTTGCATTCCTCAAAACAACCCTATAAGTGAGGTACTATAATCATCCCCATTTTACTGTTGAGGAAACTGAGGCAAGAGAGGTTCAGTTCATGCCTAAGATCACAGAGCTAGTAACTGGCAGGACCTGGGGTAGCACTCGGTGCTCTGGATCCAGAACTTGTACTTTTTAACCCCTATGGTATATAACAATGTTTCCCAACTGGGGATGATTTTGGCCCCCAGGGACATATGGAGACATAATGTGATTGTCACAGCTTGGGGTGGGGGTGAGTGCTCCTGGCATCTAGTGGGCAAAAGCTAGGGCTTCCTCCAATACACGGGACAGACCCCACAACAAAAAACTGTCCAGCCTAAAATGTCAATAATGCAGAGCTGAGAAACCCTGGTAAACAGGGAAGACATGTCACTGAACAAGTAATTATAAACTTAACAAGGGTTACAAAAGAGGAAGTAACCAATTTCCTTAAAGAGCTGTCCAATTCCGCCAAGCGTGGTGGCTCACGCCTGTAATCTCAGCACTTTGGGAGGTTGAGGCAGGTGGACCATGAGGTCAAGAGTTTAAGGGCAGCCTGGCCAACATGGTGAAACCCCGTCTCTACTAAAAATACAAAAATTAGCTGGGCGTGGTGGCGGGCGCCTGTAATCCCAGCTACTCGGGAGGCTGAGGAAGGAGAATCGTTTGAACTCGGGAGGCGGAGGAGGTTGCAGTGAGCCGAGATCGTGCCATTGCACTCCAGCCTGGGTGACTGGGGTAGACTCCATCTTGAAACAAACAAACAAAAATGAGCTGTCCAATTCAAAGCATGATTTTTTTTTTTTTTTTTTTTTTTTTGAGATAGGGTCTCGCTCTATTACTCAGGCTGGAGTGTGGTGGTGCAATCACAGCTCACTGCAGCCTTGACCTACCCGGCCTAAGAGATCCTCCTACCTCAGCCTCCCAAGCAGCTGGGACCAAAGGCACACACCATCACATGTGGCTAGGCTTTTTTGTTTTGTTTTGTTTTTGTAGAGATGAGGTCTCTCTACATTATCCAGGCTAGTTAGAACTCTTGGGCTCAAACAATCCTTCCACCTCTACCTCCCAAAGTGCTGGGATTACAGATGTGAGCCACCAAGCCTGATCAAAGCATGATTTTTTAAAGATATTTTTTTCTTCACGAACTTTACAGATGAAGATTCTCTCAATTAAAAAGGGTATGTTTGCTTTTAGCCTGGCTCTAATAGGATCAGAGGTTTTGTGTGACATCAGTCACACTCTCACTGCTGTCTGGTGTTAGGGGTTTAGTTTTTTTAGTTTTTTTTTTTTTTTTTTTTTTTTTTTGAGACAGAGTCTTTGGAGTGCAGTGGTATGACTTGGCTCACTGCAATCTCCAATTCTGGGGCTCAAGCAATTCTCATGCCTCAGCCTCCTAAATAGCTAGGACTACAGATGTGCACCACCATGCCCAACTAATTTTTTGTATTTTAGTAGAGATGGGGTTTCACCATATTGCCCAGGGTGGTCTTGAACTCCTGAGCTCAGGCAATCCGCCCACCTTGGCCTCCCAAAGTGCTGGGATTACAGGCGTGAGCCACTGCGCCAAGCCTGATACCAGTCTTAACACCCTCCTACTGCATCCAGCTCTGGGATCTGAGCCAGAAAAACCTGAGATCTCATCCTGGTTCTGCAACTCACTGGACCTCAGTTTCTTTTGCTTTTTCAAAAAGAAAAAAAATAAAAAGGAGACGGTACTATCCCCTCAAAGGGTAACACTTGGTTAAATGGAATAACACCTGGCTCCTTGTAGGTGTTCAGTTGTCATCATTCCAAAGTCTGAAGACACAGCCTCCTTTCTGAATCGATCAAGTTAAAATCCCTGACGCAGACTGACAGAGCTCAACCTAAATGCTAATACCTACCTCTTCCTCACCCTAATAGTCTCCTCTAATAAAATCAAGCTTATATAATGCCTTCCCCTTTATAAGCAAAAGAGGGCAGCAAACAGTGGTAAAGGCTTTGTCTTCTTTGGCCCTATCCTTCAAAGAGAGGTCACTTAGGGTCGAGGGGCAATAGCTCTGCTTTGCCCTCTCAACTTGATTACAATTTTAAGTATACACAGATATTCAACTGGAGCATGTGCACCCTCCTGCCCCCAGTAAACATGGTTCTACCTTCTTTAGGTAGTTTCCACAAATGCCAGCAAACTTTCAATCTGATTACTACTACCTCTTCCAATAACAGACCGGTGGGAAATAAAGTCAAGGATTTGTAGTCAAGCCCAGGTTTGAATTCTGGCTTCAGCACTGATCAACCGAGTTACCTTTAGAGTAAGTAACTTAACTTTTGAGCTTCAGCCTCAGTTTCCTCACTGGCAAAATGAAGTCTCATGTATTATTTTATTTTTAAATTTATTTTATTTTTATTTTTTGGAGACAGAGTCTCCCTCTGTCACCCAGACTGAAGTGCAGTGGCTTAATCTTGGCTGACTGCAACCTCCACCTCCCAGGTTCAAGTGATTCTCCTGCCTCAGCCTCCCAGGTAGCTGGGACTACAGGTGCCCGCCACCATGCCTGGCTAATTTTTGTATTTTTAGTAGAGGTGTGGTTTCACCATGTTGGACACATCATTATCATTATTATTATTATTTTTTTTTTTTTGAGACAGAGTCTTGCTTGGGGGCCCAGGCTAGAGTGTAGTGGCACAATCTCAGCTCACTGCAACCTCAGCCTCCTGGGTTTTAAGCGATTCTCCTGCCTCAGCCTCCAGAGTAGCTAGGATTACAGGCGTGCACCACCACACCTGGCTAATTTTGTATTTTTAGTAGAGGCGAGGTTTCACCACGTTGGTCAGGCTGGTCTCAAACTCCTGACCTCAGGTGATCCACCCACCTCGGACTCCCAAAGTGATGGGATTACAGGCGTGAGCCACCGAGCCCAGCCATATTATTTTAATAGATTGATCTATATTACCTAACTTTGAGGTTGTTGTAAAAATGTCAATATATTTAAATAAAGAGCCTGGCCAAGTACCTGGCATTTAACAGGCACTCAATATTAACAGTTGCAAACACTACACACTCTAGCCCTTAATACAATGCTAAGAATCTTGGTTAAAATATCTGCAGACAGGGTACATTTGTACAATGAAATAAGCTGTATCTGAGGAGTCCAATATTCCACGAAGTTTTCTCAATATTCTACAAATAGAGTGATGTTCCAGAGTCCAGAATCTTCTTTGAGATTTCCCGGGCTTGTCCACAGGCAGAGCTGACTACCCTACTCTTGCTGGTTACCACCACATGCTTTATACTGACTTGAACATGTGCTCTGACCTTTGTCTTCCTTCCTGTCCCTTCTTTTAGACTATGACTTCTCTGAAGGCAGAAAGGTAGCTTATTTTTGATAATTAAGTTACAAAATAAATGTTTGTTAAATAAAAACCCCCCAAAAAGCCATAAACTTTAAAAACTGCTAAGCAGAGTCAACTCCTATAAGGAAGGAATCTAACTTTTCCCTTTAAGCAAGTCAACTGCACAAGACCCAACTGTGTTGACAGCACTGAGGCAAAACTAAATGAAGTGAGAATTAATACAGTTCACACCCTGTCATGCCTTATTCAAATCCCCAAGATTACAAGAAACATTCCTGTCACCTGGCTCAACCTGTTCCTAGTCTTCTGCCTGAGGCTCCCCTGAGCTCCTACAGTTTAGAGCAATTTCTAGGTGTTCTGTTCAAGAATCTTAATTTGATTCAATGGGAAAGCATGAAGTTCTCATTTTAAGTTGTTTCTTTTTTGTTGTTTTTGTTTTTTTGAAAGAGTCTGGCTCTGTCGCCCAGACTGGAGTGCAATGGCGCAATCTCAGCTCACTGCAACCTCCGCTTCCTAGGTTCAAGCAATTCTCCCGCCTCAGCCTCCTGAGTAGCTGGGATTACAAGGCACCTGCCACCACACCTGGCTAATTTTTGTATTCTTAGTACAGACAGGGTTTCACTATGTTGGCTAGGCTGTCTCGAACTCCTGACCTCAGGTGATCTGCCCGCCTCAGCCTCCCAAAGTGCTGGAATTACAGGTGTGAGCCACCAACCCCTGCCTTGTTTTTTTTTTTTTGTTTTTTTTTGTTTTTTTTTTTTGAGACAGGGTCTCGCTGTGTCACCCAGGCTGGAGTGCAGTGACGTAATCTTGGCTCATTGCAGCCTCTGCCTCCCAGGCTCAAGTGATCCTCCCACCTCAGCCTCCCAAGTAGCTGGGACTACAGACGCCTGGCATCACACCCGGCTAATTTTTGTGTATTTTGTAGAGACATGGTTTCACCATGTTGCCCAGCCTGGTCTTGAACTCCTGGACTTGAGCAATCTGCCTGTCTCAGCCTCCCAAAGTACTGGGATTATTACAGTGTGAGCCACCATGCCTGGCTTAAGTTGTTTGCATCTTACAAGTTCCTCATATTAATGTCCGTGTCATTTTGTCTTACCCAACACTATAAAGGCAGATTGCTCCAAACAATCCCCTCTTGCCCTCCACAGATTATACAGACACCTCCCTAACTTAGTGGGCAGGAAGACTATACAATCACATCAGCAAGGATAGCAACTGCCCAGTGCTCCCAAATGGAGAGAGGTCTTGTATTCATCAATGGTAGGGATGGCAAGATACAAAACAAAGTATTTACTATTCGGCAGCAAGTTTAGTACAACATGGGCAAACCCACAGCAGATACTTCCTAACAGAGTGCAATGTGCAACTGGATTTGGCCCTTACTTTTTCTTTTTTGGGGGAGACAGGGTTTTGCTCTATCACCCAGACTAGAGTGCAGTGGCATGATCACAGCTCACTGAAGCCTCGACCTCCTGGGCTCAAGTGATCCTCCCACCTCAGCCTCCCAACTAGCTGGAACTATAGGCATGTGCCACTATGCCTGGCTAATTTTTTATTTTTTTAAGAGATGGGGTCTCAAATTCCTGGGATCAAGCAATCCTCCCACCTCGGCCTCTCAAAGTGCTGGGATTACAGGCATGAGCCACCACGCCTAGCCATACTGAGCCCCACTGACGCTCGCCCCTGCCTTTCTGGTAAACATTCTCCTACCTTCCCCGTTCCTATGGGTAGGACCTGAGAGCTCTCATCTTTCTGCTTCACTTATAAATGTTGAGATGCCTAGATCAGGGATACCTCCAAATGTCAAATGTTCACATGATGCCTGGACATCAGAGGTGGAAGCAGTTTTCTCATTCACGTGGTTAGAGAAGCAAAGATTCCTCCTCAGTATGCTGAGAGATTAATGTACAAAGGCAGGGGATTAACCATGGGACTCTGTAAGAGCAGTGGTGGCTCCAACAGCCAGGGAAAAAAAGCTTAACCATGGCCTTTTGTGGGGATGGTGTTTTTTGACACTAAACTGGATCATACCCAACTTAAGTTAAATAATTAACAGAAGTACAGCCTTACCTGGAACCCTGGATCTTAAGAAATAGAGAAACTTTCCATTCTTGGAGTGCATAATGGCTCTCTTAATAAACTCTACAACAGATTGACAGCGGTCCTCAAACTTGGGATGACACCACAGGCTGAAGGTTCCTGCCATGGAAAATTAAGAAGTAAAAATTTTAAAACTTACTTCAGAAGACATGAGAGGCTGGTTTGAATATTTTAACTATGATTCTCACTTTTGGGAGGGCAGTTTGGGGGCAAGCTGGCTCAAAGGTCTCTGAAGCTACCTGTTCCTGCTTATCTCACAGTTAACTGTAAAAAGATGTTGCCTTTTGTAAGACATAAATTAGGTCTTACAAGGTTTTTGTTAAGTAAATACAAGCTAAGTACTCCTTATCCGAAATGCTTGAGACCAGAAGTGTTTCAGATTTTGGATTTTTTCATATTTTTGGAATATTTGCATTATACTTACCAGTTGAACATTACTAATCCAAAACTCTGAAATCCAAAGTGCTCCAATGAGCATTTCCTTTGAGCATCATGTCAGTGTGCAAAAAGTTTCAGATTTTTAAGCATTTTGGATTTCAGATTAGGGATACTCAACCTTTAATAATTTCAAATCAGAAAAAATGATATAAAATTGTTCACTGAGTATGAACATTAATCTTTAAATCACAGGCTTCCTCTCTCTATATAGATGTACTTATTATGTATATTAAGTATAGGTACAGTCATGCATTACTTAATGACAGAAATATGTTCAGAGAAATGCATCATTAGGCGAACATCAGAGTGTACTTATCCAAACCTAGATGGTGTAGCCTACTACATACCTAGGCTATGTGGTACAGCCTATTGCTGCTAGGCTACAGACCTGTATAGCATGTTACTGTGCTGAATACTGGAGGCAACTCTAAAGAATGGTAAGTATTCATGTACCTAAACACATTTAAACATAGAAAAACTACAGTAAAAATACAGTAATATAATCTTATGGGACGACTGTCATATATGTAGTCTATCATTGACCAAAATGTTGCTAAACAGTGTATGACTGTGTACACATATAAGCAGGTCTTTGAATAACATTTTGTTCAGTGTTGTTACCTTATAACTTTTTTTTTTTTTTGCGACAGGGTCTTGCTCTGGCACCCAGGCTGGAGTGTAGTGGCGGGATCTTGGCTCACTGCAACCTCCACTTGCTGGGTTCAAGTGATTCTCCCGCCTCAGACTCCTGAGTAGCTGGGATTACAGGCACCTGCCACCACGCCTGGCTAATTTTTGTATTTTTAGTAGAGACAGGGTTTCACCACGTTGGTCAGGCTAGCCTCGAACTCCTGACCTCAAGTGATCCACTCGCCTCGGCCTCCCTAAGTGCTGGGATTACAAACGTGAGCCACCATGCTTGTTTCCTTGTAACGTTGATAAGAAAAAAAAATTGATTTCCGGCCAGGACCACTGTCTGTGTGGAGTTTGCACATCTGCACAGGTTTTCTCTGGGTATGCTGGTTTCCTCCCATATCCCAGAGATGTGCGTGTAAGGTGAAATGGCATGCTAAGCTGTGCCAGTCTGAGTGTGGGTGTGTGGGTATATGCACCCCGATGGAATGGTGTTCTGTCCAGGGTTGTTCTGCCTTGCATCCTGAACTGCCAGGATAGGCTCCGGCCATTTGTGATCCTGAGCTGGAATACTTGGGTAAATGATTACCTAACTTATTTTCATTAATCTTTCTTACATGTGTGTACAGTTTACATATATTTCACTGTTTAATACTGGTCTTTATTTAGAAGTGTTTTGGTCTTTATTTAGAAGTTTGGTCTTTACTCCAGCCTGACCAACATGGAGAAATCCCGTCTCTATTAAAAATACAAAATTAGCCAAGCATGGTGGTACATGCCTGTAATCCCAGCTACTCGGGAGGCTGAGGCAGGAGAATTGCTTGAACCCAGGAGGTAGAGGTTGCGGTAAGCCGAGATCACACCATTGCACTCCAGCCTGGGCAATAAGAGCGAAACTTTGTCTCAAAAAAAAAAAAAATTGGTTTTGTTATACGTCATTTTGCTTAAAGTCAGTTTCCAAGAACCTATTAATGACCTTTAAGTGAGGAATGACCAATTTACGTACATAAACTGACCCTTGAATAATGTGGGGGGGAGCATGAACCCTATCCCAATGGCCCAACATCCTCCTCAACCCCACCAAAATAAAAAATCCACATATAAAAATCCATTTGACTCCCCCAAAACTTTACTAACAACCTACTGTTGACTGAAAGCCTTACCAATAATATAAACAGTCGGTTAACATATATTTTGTATGTGATATGTATTATATACTGTATTCTTACAATTAAGCTAGAAAAAGGAATACTATTAAGAAAACACTATTAAGAAAATAAGAGAAAATATATTTACTATTCATTAAATGGAAGTGGATCATCATAAAGTGATCATAAAGTGGATCTTCATAAAGGTTTTCATCCTCATTGTTTTCAAACCAAATAGACTGAGGAGGAAGAGGAAGAGGAAGAGGGGGGTGTCTCAGGGGTGGCAGAGGTAGAAGAGGTAGAGAAGGTGGAAGGGGAAGTAGGAGAGGAAGGCACATGTGGTATAAATTTATGGAAATGTTATAATTTGTCTGACTTTTTTTGCTTTTTCTATTTTTAGAAACAGGGTCTCACTCTATCACCCAGGCTAGAGTGCAGTGGCATGATCACAGCTCACTGCATCCTTGAACTACTGGGTTTAAGTGATCCTCCTGCCCTAGCCTCCTGAATAGCTGAAGCTACCAGCCCAGGCTGGTCTTGAACTCCTGGCCTCAAGTGATCCTCCTGCCTTGGCCTCCCAAGTGCTGGGATTACAGGCTTGAGCCTCCACACTCAGGTTTGCTTTTTCATTTCTCTAAAAATGTTTCTATATGGTACCAATTCTTCTTCTACCATTTGCTTTGGTTTTAGTGCCCATATCATAGAAGGGTCCAAGTCTAAAATAACTCAAAAGCAGTCTCAAATAACCTCGACCCTTCTGCCAGATTGCCTGACATTAATGTTTTCTGGCACTGTTTCTTCTACGTCTTCTTCCTCGTCATCTGGCACTGACTCAGAAGAACTCATCTCCATCAAGTCACCTTCAGTTAATTCCTCTGATGTGGTATCTATGAGTTCTTGAATTTCTCTAAGATCCCTATCTTGAAATCCTTCACCCTTCACCTTCTTTTTTTGCCATATCTCTTTCATGATTTCCTTGATTGGCTCTGTCACAGATCCTATGAAGTCACATACAATTTCTGGACACAGTTTTCTTCAGCAGTAATTTATTGTTTTGGGCTTGATGGCTTTCACAACTTTTTCTTTTGAGACAGGGTCTCACTCTGTTGCCCAGGCTGGAGTGCAGTGACATGATCACGGTTCACTGCAGCCTTGACCCTCCCGAGTACCTGGGACTACAGGTACGCATGACAGTGCCCAGCTAATTTTTGTATCTTTTGTGGAAATGTGGTTTCACCACGTTGCCCAGGCTGGTCTCTAACTTCCAGGTTCAAGTGATCTGCCCGCCTTGGCCTCCCAAAGTGCTGGGATTACAGGCATGAGCCACTGCACCTGGCCCACAATTTCTTCTATAACAACTATGGCATTTTTTTTGAGACAGAGTCTCACTCGGTCGCCCAGGCTGGAGTGCAGCGAAGCAATCTTGGCTCACTGTAACCTCCACCTCCCAAGTTGGAGCGATTCTCCTCCCTCAGCCTCCCAAGTAGCTGGGATCACAGGCGCGTGCCACCAGGCCTGGCTAATTTTTGTATTTTTAGTAGAGACAGGGTTTCGCCATGTTGGCCAGGCTGGCCTCAAACTCCTGACCTCAGGTGATCCACCCACCTTGGCCTCTCAAAGTGCTGGGATTACAG
Source organism: Homo sapiens (assembly GCF_000001405.40). Taxonomy (NCBI): domain Eukaryota; kingdom Metazoa; phylum Chordata; class Mammalia; order Primates; family Hominidae; genus Homo; species Homo sapiens. The sequence continues at coordinate 2,408,851 of NT_187614.1, read as the reverse complement.
GCGTGAGCCACTCCACCCGGTCAACTATGGCAACTTCAATGGAGGAATCTTTCCAGACATTCATGATGTTCTATCGGTGTCTTCTTCCACAGCACTTAAAATCCTTTGCATAGAGTACCAAGTGCAATGAGTGTTAAAGGTCCTTATGACCCACCTGATCTAAAGGCTGAATTAGCGACGTCGCGTCTGGGGGCAAGCAGACCACTTTGACACCTTCAGTGTTGAACTGATGGGGTTCTGGGTGGCCAGGGGCATTGACCAATATCAAAAGAGCTTTAAAGGCAATCCCTTACTGGCAAGGTACTTCCTTACTCCAGAGACAAAGCACTGATGAAACCAATCCAGAAAAAAAGGTTCTCATTGTGCATGCCTTCTTGCTGTACAACCAAAAGACTGTAGCTTCATAGATAAAGGTAGTCCTGATTATTAACCCAATTGCATTTGCACAAAACCAGAGAGTCAGCCTACCCCTTCCTGCCTTAAATTCTGGTTCTTACTTCTTTTCCTTACTAATAAATATCCTTTGTGGCATTTTCTTTTCCCCAGAATAGGGCACTTTCATCTTCATTAAAAACCTGTTCAGGCAGATATCCTTTCTCCTCAGTGATTTTCCCCATGGTGTCTGGGAACCTGTCTGCTGCCTCTTGGTCAGCAGAAGCTACGTCTTCTGTTATCTTGACATTTTTCAAGTCAAACTGTCCTAAAATTATCAAACCATCCATTGCCGGCATTAACTTCTCCAGCTCTAGTTTTTTCACTTTCCTCTTGCTTTAAGTTGTCATATAATGACTTTACTTTTATTAAATCATATTTATCTATAGGTATGCTTTTCTTTTCTTTTCTTTTTTTTTTTTGAGACAGAGTTCTGCTCTTGTTGCCCAGGCTGGAGTGCAATGGCACGATCTTGGCTCACCACAACCTCTGCCTCCCAGGTTCAATCGATTCTCCTGCCTCAGCCTCCTGAGTAGCTGGGATTATAGGCATGCGCCACCACACACGGCTAATTTTGTATTTTTAGTAGAGATGGGGTTTCTCCATGTTGGTCAGGCTGGTCTCGAACTCCCGACCTCATGTGATCCGCCCGCCTCGGCCTCCCAAAGTGCCGGGATTACAGGTGTGAGCCACCGCATCCAGCCTTTTTTCTTTTATTACAACAGTCCTTATGCTGAATTCACTTATCTTGAAATGGTGAACAACCACAGCTGTGGACCTCAAACTATGTACAAACTGAGCAATTTTTCTTGTAATGTTCTAACTTTTCTCTGCCTCTTAGGGGAACTTCCAGCAACACTAGTGGCACTAGTGGGTCCCATAGTATTACTCAAGGTTTACTGTATTGCACTAAACACAATGAAAACTATACAAGAACCATGAGAGATCAATTTTTACTGTGATACACAATTAGCTGGAGAGATAAACACTCACATGGTGATGACTAGCGTCACACAACATTTTAAGCGGATACTTGCAACACTTGAGCTCACCACAATAGTAACAGGGAGTTAGTTGGCTATGAAATATTACGGTAGTACACCCAGTATGTAACAGTTAATTTTATGCAGTTATGATTTAATACTGCACCTTTATATTTGTCTACATTTCTCTCAACAGTGAATGGTGCCATGTACGGTTTGTGTGCATAAGTTTTGATAAAGTTTTAACTTTTTATAACAGATTTGTATATATTTTATGGTAGCAAATGTTAAAATAGACTAGTATCCACATATATTTTATTCATTCATAACATACCTTTTTAATTCTTTTGATATTTCTAGGCTACAGTTTATCTGTAAGATTTTACAAATTGTCACAAATCTCCAAAAAATTTTCCAATATATTTACTTTTTAAAATCCATGTATAAGCAGACCTGCGCAGTTCAAACCCAGGTTGTTCAAGGGTCAACTATATATACTTCTTAGAGACCATATGGAATAGTCGAGGAAAGACAGGAACAGCAGTTTTGTGGGTCTCATTCATTCAAGTGCGTGTTGAGTGCAAAAAATAGAAATCTAAGTCTTTCCTTCTTTAACTTTAAAACCCCACGCCAACATATTACAAAGATCCCACCTCAAACTTTAAAATCCCAAATGGAAAAGGGAATCTGAACTCCTATGACTTAAAAAAATAAAACAAGAAAGAACTCAAAAAACTGAAGCACCAGATTCCAAAGGAATCACCCACAAAAAAAAAAAAAAAAAAAAAAACACAAAAGGGCCAGGCACAGTGGCTCATACCTGTAATCCCAGCACTTTGGGAGGCAGAGGTGAGCAGGTCACTTGAGCTCAGGAGTTCAAGACCAACCTGGACAACACAGAAAAATACCCGTCCCGGCCGGGCATGGTGGTTCATGCCAGTAATCCCAACACTTTGGGAGGCTGAGGTGGGCAGATCCCCTGAGGTCAGGAGTTCAAGGCCAACCTGGCCAACATGGTGAAACCCCGTCTCTACTAAAAATACAAAAATTAGCTGGGCGTGGTGGCACGCGTCCAGGAACTACTCAGGAGGCTGAGGCAGGAGAATTGCCTGAACCCAAAAGGCAGAGCTTGCAGTGAGCTGAGATCGCGCCACTGCACTCCAGCCTGGGCAACAAAGCGAGACTCCGTCTCAAAAAAAAAAAAAAAAGTTGGGCATGGAGGCACCCATCTGTAATCCCAGCTACTCAGGAGGCTGAGGCAGGAGAATCGCTTTAACTCAGGAGGTGGAGACTGCAGTGAGCCGAGATCGTGGCACTGCCCTCCAACCTGGGCACAGAGCCAGACCCTGTCTTTAAAAAACAAAACAAAACAAACAAACAAACACAAAAAAGGGATACTAATCAGTCAAGAGAACTGCAGATTTGAGTCTCTCTACCTACTCTTACAGTATCACTTAAAAAAGACAAAGACAAATGCTCCACTGCAAACTGGTAACGGAAAGGCCCGCAAGGTTTCCATTAAAAATTCCAGTTATAAGGCCGGGCGCCGTGGCTCATGCTTGTAATCCCAACACTTTGGGAGGCCGAGGCAGGCGGATCACAAGGTCAGGAGTTCGAGACAAGCTTGGCCAATATGGTGAAACCCCGTCTCTACTAAAAATACAAAAATTAGCTGGGCATGGTGGTGGGTGCCTATAGTCCCAGCAACTTGGGAGGCCAAGGCAGGAGAATAGCTCGAACCTGGAAGGCAGAGGTTGACACTGAGCTGAGATCGCGCCATTGCACTCTAGCCTGGGCGATGGAGCAAGACTCTGTCTCAAAAAAAAAAAAAAAATTCCGGTTATAGGCGAGGTACAGTGGCTTATATCTATAATCCCAGCACTTTGGGAGGCCAAGGCAGTAGAATTGCTCCAGACCAGGAGTTCAAGACCAGCCTGGGCAACATAGTGAGACCCTGTCTCTACTAAAAAAATTTTTTTAAATTAGCTGGGCATGGTGATGCACACTAGTCCCACCTACTAGCAAGGCTGAGATAGGAGGATCACTTGAGCCTGGGAGGTTGAGGCTACGACGAGGCATGATCTCACCACTACACTCCAACCTGGGCAGCAGGGTGAGACCCCGTCTCAAAAAAAAGAAATTCTACTTATTCAAGGAAGCAAAGTCCCTTTAACAAAAAGTAACTGGTGGCCAGGTGAGGTGGCTCACGCGTGTCATCCCAGCACTTTGGGAAGCCGAGGCAGGCAGATCACGTGAGGCTAGGAGTTCGAGACCAGCCTGGCCAACGTGGCAAAACCCTGTCTCTACTAAAAATGCAAAAATTAGCTGGGCGTGGTGGTGCACACCTGTAATCCCAGCTACTTGGGAGGTTGAGTTACAAGAATTGCTTGAACCCGGCCAGGCATGGTGGCTCACGCCTGTAATCCCAGCACTTTGGGAGACCAAGGCGGGCGAATCACGAGGTCAGGAGTTCAAGACCAGCCTCACCAACATGGTGAAACCCTGTGTCTACTAAAAATACAAAAAAAATTAGCTGGGCATAGTGGCGGGCACCTGTAATACCAGCTACATGGGAGGCTGAGGCAGGAGAATTGCTTGAACCCAGGAAGCGGAGGTTGCAGTGAGCCAAGATCACACCACTGCACTCCAGCCTGGTGACAGAGCGAAACTCTGTCTCAAAAAAAAAAAAACAAACAAAAAAAGAATTGCTTGAACCAAGGAGGTGGAGGCTGCAATGAGCCGAGATCGTGCCACTGTACTCCAACCTGGGTGACAAAGTTAGACTCCAACTCAAAAAAAAAAAAAAAAAAAAGTAATCGGAGAACTATTTGAAAGACCTCTTGTTCCTGGCATCTCACCTATCAAGAACTTAAAGGTCAAGTATTTATTTATAATTCCCAGGGCCTAGTCATTTGAACAGGTTTAACAAAATACTTCACTCTGAAATGCTCCGCTTCACATTTTGTTTTTTTCCTTGTGTGTTTTTGTTTTCACAAACAGCAGAACAGGAGGCAGTCCCCCTCACCTATCCCACCTAGTTATCTAATTCATTCCCAGGTCATTGGATTGAAGTTCCTTTCTCTTCGTGTTATCTCTAAGGTAGAAGTGGGTACAGAGGAAACCATGGACAAAGCTATGCTGACCTAAACAGCTACTTCCTGCCTCACAAGAGAACCCGATGCAGTGTGGGCTGAGTGGGGAAGATGCTGTGGGGCCTGAGAAGAGGCAGGACAGAGGCTCTTACCTCAGATGCAATGTCTCAGAGCATTCACTTAAGGTTGACCACCATGGTAAGACTGTGAGGGATGGGAAGCAAGTCCCTGAAACACACCAAAGTTCTCTATGCTTTTTCAATTTGTAGCATACACAGGTATTTTGACAAAGGATGTATTACCCAGCCTCAGAAACAATGACCATCACAAGTTTCTGGCCCAAGTTAGATACAGAATGTCTCGATACAAAGTCAATCCAGAGAGCTGTGTTTAACAAGTCGGCTTCTAGGCATGACTGGCACATGAAGTACCATCTGATCACAAAGGAAGAGGTACCACTAGGAGAATGGCAGATAGTCTAAAGCATGTTGATCCCACAAACTCTCAACATTTTAATGAATATTTCCTAAGAGACTACAACATTGACAAAAAGAGGAAATTATCACCATGCTGCCTGGGAGAAAGTGACTATCAGACAAAGAAATTCAGACACACCTGTAATCCAAGCCCTTTGGGAGGCCGAGGCGGGTGGATCACCTGAGGTCAGGAGTTTGAGACCAGCCTGGCCAACAGAATAAAACACTGTTTCTACTAAAAATACAAAAATTAGCCAGGCCTGGTGGCACATGCCTGTAATCCCAGCTACATAGGAGGCTGAGGCAGAAGAATCACTTGAACCCAGGAGGCGGAGGTTGCAGTGAGCTGAGATCGCACCACTGCACTCCAGCCTAGGCAACAGAGCGAGACTCTGTCTCAAAAAAAAAAAAAAGAAAGAAATTCAGAACAGAACAGTTACAGGATCAACACTAAATTCACCCTCTTTGTATACGTGATTTAACAAAATATCTCTAGATGATAAGTTTAACTACAAACAAAGCTTGTGAGAATTTGCCTAATGGTCCTACGTTCTTTCTTCCTTTTACCTAAAGAGTTTTACCGGCTCATTTCTCGGGAGCCTCTCCAACAGTTTTGTTCAGGCCCTCCTATTTAGGAAACAAGATGCTGCTGACAAGACTTTTAAATGGAACCCTTACTCTCCCTTCCCTACCCCCTCCATTTCTTCTAGTGACGGAAATCAGCGCTCATATCAATATTCAACTGAGTCTAAGATAATTTTTCCCCTATTTGTAGTTCCATTCCTATGAATCTCTTCCACAAAAAAGTCAGACAGCAAAGGTAGAGCAAATCAAGGGGGGAAGAAGCCTCTCTTACCAGTATCTCTTACCTCTGTAGTGCTCCATTCTAGTGTGGTGGGTGATACCCTGTGATCGGAAACTGAGGCTCAGGATGTAACGAGGATCAGAACTGTCTCGTACCAGGAAAGAACCATCTGGTTTCCCTTTCAGCTTCATCTCTGCATCTTCCCAATTCATTGGCCCCCAATACCAACCACACTATCAAAGACAAGAAGCAGTCCACTAGTTATCAGGACAGAGAAATGTCAAAGTTTTCAGTGCAATCTATCTTAACATGGGAGAACCCTCTGCATTCTCTCCAAAATATTTCAATAGGTAAAAGCCACTTACAAGTGTCTCAACCATTAGCAATGAACATCAGGCTCACTATACTTTTAGCCCTCCAAAGTAACAGAATAATAATTCTGGCCGTGAGCTGTGGCTCATGCCTGTAATCCCAACACTTTGGGAGGCTGAGGCGGGTGGATCACTTGAGGTCAGGAGTTCGAGACCAGCCTGGCCAACATGGTGAAAACCCATCTCTACTAAAAATACAAAAATTAGCTGGGTTTGGTGGCACATGCCTGTAATCCCAGCTATTCAGGAGGCTGAGGCAGAAGAATCGCTTGAACCCAGGAGGTGGAGGTTGCAGTGAGCTGGTATTGCGCCACTGTACTCCAGCCTGGGTTACACAGTGAGACTCTGTGTCAAAAAAACAAAAAACAAAAAACAAAATGGCTGGGCGCAGTGGTTCACACCTGTAATCCCAGCACTTTGGGAGGCCAAGGCAGGTGGCTCACCTGAGGTCAGGAGTTCAAGACCAGCCTGGCCAACATGGTGAAACCCCATTTCTACTAAAAATACAGTAATTAGCTGGGCATGGTGGTGGGCGCCTGTAATCCCAGCTACTCAGGAGACTGAGGCAGGAGAATTGCTTGAACCCAGGAGGCGGAGGTTTCAGTAAGCCGAGATTGCGCCACTGCACTCCAGCCTGGGCAACAAGAGCGAAACTCAGTCTCAAAAACAAAACAAGACAACAACAACAACAAAAAACAAAGAATAATAATTCTACAATTTTGTTACCAAAGACCCTACCAAGAAAAGAAGAGGGAACTGGGTCAGTTAATCTATCAAAATCAGCTTAGACTATGTAAAACATTTCTCCAACAACCTTTATCATGTCCAAATTTTTTCCCCAAATTCAATTTTATTACATCTCATGGAACTAATAGCAGGAGCACACTGTTTTGTCACTGTAAATATGGAAGCAAGTAAACTATTCTTCCTCTGAAAACAATAAACAGGGGCTGGGTGTGGTGGCTTACGCCTATAATCCTAGAGCTTTGGGAGGCAGAGGCAAGAGGATCACGTTGAGCCCAGGAGTTCAAGACCAGCCTGGGAAACTGCAAGACCAGTCTCTACAAAAAATATAAATAAATTTTAGCTGGGCTTGGTCGTGCATGCCTGCAGTCCTAGCTACTCAGGAGGCTGAGGCAGAAGGATCCTTTGGCCCAGGAGTTTGAGCCTACAGTGAGCTATGATTATGCCACCACACCCTAGCCTGGGCAACAGAGCCAGACCCTGTCTCTAAAAATAAATAAACACATAAATAAAGGTGTGTCCGAATACAGAATTTAGCTAATGGGAGGAGAAGTGACCTGCCAGTCCTTAGGTACCACCTACCTTCTCCAACTCTCGAAGGCTGGCTGCAAAGCTGCTCGAGTCAGGCCGGTAGAGGGGACACTGGAGGTGCTGTGGGGGTTGGCTGTGCAGGGATTCAGCTGCTCGGATGGGAGCAATCCGGGGAAATGCATCTGCAGGGCAAGACAGTGGTGGTCACTTGTTTACCCTCACTGCTCCCAACCACAAATAGACCCTCCCCCAAAAACAGAGGATGCTAACTGAAGAGGGCAAGGCATTAGAAGCTAAGCTGGAAAGGGTAGAAGCCAAAGCAGTGGCAAAGAGCTGGATGGGCTGGAACAAAAAGCTGTGTGGGCTTGTGTAAGCTGTGAAGGATGGGTGGGGGCACTTGACCCCAAGAAAGGGGGAGGGGAGCTGCTCACTAACCTTACTAAGGTGACTACTTCAGGGGCTTCACCAGCCTAGAGCGATTCCAACTTCTCCCACCTCGAAGTGAAGTGCCGATAAGGCAGCCTTGGAAATAGTGACTCGCTTACTTGCCCAGGAAGAGTAATGATTTTGCCAGGCAAGTAGAAAAGAATGCTGATTTCATTCATTTTATTCCTTGGGTACTGTAAGCTGGCAAAGCAGGTATGGGCTGCTAAATGCTTGGTACTTATTTACAAGGCTGCAGTAAATACTAAAAGCTTAGAAAAACCATAGAATGCTGAAAACCACCAACATATTAAACCTCACTATCCTGAAATTAAGGCAGTTTCTTAAGTGATATCTACTCAAGGATTGCAAAACAGTCTCAGCAGCAAAGACTGATGAAAAATTCAGTAGTCTTTCATCCCTAACAAAAATCAGATTGACCTCCATAAAGAAAACGGGTTAGGAAAACCAGTTCTCCGCCTCATTTCTAAGGAGTCTGGTCCAGCCAAGGGGAAAAGATTTAAACTTTCTACTAAGCTGTTATTTCCATAAATAGATTTCTCCCATCCTTCTATGGTAGAAAGTATCACTTTGTACTCCCAACTCTTACAAGTCTTGCCTCTAAACTAAGCTAACCTGGGGCATGGGGTGGAGGAGGCGGAGGTAGGGGGAAAGACTGCAAGGAAGACCCCATCGGAGCCACAAGGACAGATGTAGGCAGCGTCCCACTGATATCATCTAGAAGAGAGAACAAAAGCAAGAGGTTCAGAAATGTGAGCACAGAATGAGCACGCTGAAGGCAGAGGAGAGGGAGAAGGACTATCAGGCTGCCCTCTGGGGCAGGATGGCCCAACCTTCACCCAGTCTTTTTGCACAGAGGGCAACAATCATCTTACTCTGTTTTGCTTTTGGAAAGCAGGGTAGTAAGGATATTCCTAATGCAGCCCAATAGCAGTGGGTTCAAGGCAAGATAAATGTAAACTGAATTAATATATGTATAGTAAGTATTACAGCATGCGGGTGAGACCCATTTAATTGCTTAGGGAGATGACGGGGTGCTGAGAAAGAGCTGGGAAATAATTGAGTCATCATCGGAAACCCAGAAGCGTGGTCGGCCCCCAGCAAAGAACAAGTCCCTGGAGCTCACCCTCCCACTAGGCAAGAAGGTGGAGAGGGGAAGAAACTATACCTAGGAGGCTGAGGCTTCTTCTCGGAGGAGGAGGGGGAGTTGGAGGGTGTGGAGAGGTCAGGCCCCGCTGAGAAATGTCCACATCCACAAGCGACACAGTTTCACCTGAGGGATTCATGGAGCAAGCAAGTTACAGAAGCGCCTTGCCCAAAGCTGATGCAGAAAGCAAAGGGAAGCAAAGGGCAAGCAGGCGAGGCTGGGGGTCTGCTGCTCTCAGAAAGCTCAAAACCTAATGCCCCCAGGGCTGAAATCACCCCAACACCAGGAAGTCAATTTTTAAATTCTATCATTCCTTTGCCCTGTTAAGGGTCAAGGATTCTTTAGGACAAAACCATGGGACTGACAGTGGAAAAACCATCTAATTCTGGTTCCGCCACTGACTTACAACGTACCCTCAAACAAGGGGTCTTCTTTATCCAATAGAACCCATACCATTTATTTTTTCAGAATTGTGTATCAATTTCTGCCTTAGGAAGCAAGCCAAGTGGCTTGTTATATGCCCAAACAGACATGGAAAGCAAGGGCCAGAAAACCTAAGAACTGTACGGTAAGCTGAATGCAGATAAAGTTCCCAATGTTAGTCCTAACTTCTTCCTAGAGGGCAGTCCATATCTTGATTTTCCAGAGTATTCACACATAAGAGAATCTACCTGAATAAGATATCTGTTCTTAACAGCTGAGGCTACAAAGGCTGAAAGTACAATTTATAGTCCTAAAAATTAACTACTTTCACAGTCAGACAAAAGTCAGGTAATCTAAGAGGCAGCTTCTCCATAGGAACTTGGTGGGAGGAGGCACATGGCCTCTCTTCTTCCCAGCATGTCATGCAGTTCTGTTCCCTGCCATATACAATACTCCTTGCCACCCAACTCTGTCTATTCCCTCTCCACTTGAGTCACGAGAGGATGAAAGGTATTTTATTAATATGAACACAAGCTGATAGCCAGGAATACGGTTATTTTGGCAGGCCTGATGCACAAGTCAGAACTCAGGATTTCTCTAATTTAGCCCTTACGGTGTTCCTTCCAACACCTTTTTTTTTAATTCAGGGCTGAATGAGCCCCTCAGCTAGTATTTTAAATGTTTCCCCGTTAAGAAAATGAGGTGACCAATATCTACCAAAGGAAACTGGGCTTTCAGAACCTAAATACACAGTTTTTTTACAAAGCTCTTGAATACTAATTAAGATAAACAGAAAAGCTCTTCTAAAAGTCATCAGTGAGACCAGGTGCAGTGGGTCACACCTGTAATTCCAACACTTTGGGAGGCCAAGGTAGGCGAATCACTTGCACTCAGGAGTTCAAGACCAGCCTGGGCAACACGTTAAGACCCCGTCTCTACAAAAATATAAAAATTATTCAGGTATGGTGGTGCATGCCTATAGTCCCAGCTATTCTGGAGGCTGAGGTGGGAGGATCGTTTGGGCCTAGGAGGTCGAGGCTGCAGTAAGCTGAGACTGCACCATTGCACTCCAGCCTGGGAGACAAAGTGAGGCCCTGTGTCAAAAATAAACAAAAGCCATCAGTGGAAGTTCTAGAAAGCTGGTACCAGACTCACCATACAGCTTGGTAACTGAAAGCCTGGCTGCCCAGAGCAATGCGATGGAGCCAGACAAGTGTATTTCCTGACAGGCCAGAGCAGTCTAGACTATTGGTAGAGCACTTAACATAAAGGACGTCATTCAAGAGGGCTGAGGCTGACCTGAACCTCAAACTACAAATGTAGGTGGTGTTCCTTTTTTTTTTTTGAGACAGAGGCTCAGTCGCTCAGGCTGGAGTGCAGTGGCAAAATCTCTGCTTACTGCAACCTCAGCCTCTCGGGTTCAAGCGATTCTCCTGCCTCGGCCTCCCGAGTAGCTGGACTACAGGCGTGCGGCACCATGCCCCAGCTAATTTTTTGTATTTTTAGTAGAGACGGGGTTTCACACCATGTTGGCCAGGCTGGTCTGAAACACCTGACCTCAGATGATCTGCTCACTTCAACCTCCCGAAGTGCTGGGATTATAGGCATGAGCCACCGTGACCGTGACCAAGCCATGTTCCTTACTTTAATGAGGAAACAACTATTAACTAGAAAGACATGGTATCGCAAGATAAGATTTTTTAATTCTGGGCTTGGGTAAGAACAGAGACCTCCTTCTCCACTACAGTAGATGCCTATACAGGTACCAATTCACTTGTTTTGACAGTTCACAGCAGTCTACCCAGCTGCAAGTCTCATTGGCCTGCTTAACATTTTCCTGGAAGCATCCATTCCCAAATCGTAAGTCTTCCAATCACCTTTTTGAGGGACATGATATCCAAAGGAGTTTGAGATTGGGATTTTTTTTAAAGGCTTCTCAGTCACAACCAATGAGAAGTACTCAGTTTCTGAGACATGGGCAAAGCCCCACTTTTCTCCAGCTTATTCATGCAGGAGCTTCACCTGTGACTGACATAACAGAAGGTCTCCCTCTCTGAAAAAGCTCCCTACGAAACGAGAAGGCAGTTACCCATCATCCAAAGGAGATTCTACAGCCTTCCTAGTTTAGCAACTGTGTTCCCTGCTGCAAGAGGGCAGACTTAAATTAGATACAATAAAGAAGTCTAACAGCTGCAGGAACTGCAAGCCCCTAAAAAGACAAGAGCTCATGTAATCCCCTTTGCCCAAAAAAGTCTTTAAAAATAGACCAGATAATCATGGATCATTTTTATGAGATAACCCATGAACTCCCTTGGAAGCAGAGACAGAAATTGTATGACTTCTAGAGAGTCTTTTATGCACTGTGAGCCCATAAATTTGTAATTCCTAGTTTTAATTTATATGTGATGACCCTGAACTAAGCACTGCATAACTGCTAGGGCCACCCAGGCCACCTAATTACCAACAAGCAGCCTTTACCTCCAACTATAAAGCATCCAAAGTCAAGAATACATTCCATACCATAAAAATAGCCTCACCCCAAACCCACTAAGCATGGAATGAAGGAAATAACTGCAGACACGCCTACAGCTCCCTGTGATGCATCTGTAAGTGTTTCCCAACAGGTCTCAGAACGCCCCTGTTTTCAGATGTCAGAAGAGAGAAAGATATTACCCTTACCTGTGAACAGGGGGCTGAAGGAGACCGGAGAAAAGGCACTTTGAGTTCTTGTCAACTTGGGTTTCCTAGGGAGTGAGAAAGCAGAGAGAGAATAGAGGGGAGAAATGAACACATATGCATTTAAGTCACCACAACACTCAGTTCCAGATGCACTGAGAAATAAAGCAAACCCTAGTCGTTGTCAGCAACACTCTTGTAATACAGCATAAAATAAAGGGGGAGAATGAAATAATTAAGGCAATTCCTTAAATAGATTTGGCTACAGAATTCACCAACCTACAAAGCAATGAGAAATCCCTTTGGAGCTCACCATACCCAGTACATTAAAAGAGTAAAACACCTTGAGTGGTAATTAGCAAGTCCATTTCAAGAGGAAGGAAGTCTGATGCAGAGCTAATTTCCATCTGGGAGCCAAGAAAAGGGCTCTTAACCTGGACAGGCACCAGCTCAGAGCAAAGTTTCCCTCTGGGCTTGCCTATAGGATAGGTCATCCCAAAGTGAACCAAGGAACAGATTCTGACCTGAGAATAGCACTGCAGGATGCATGTGCAGTCTTCAACCTTGAAGACCTCTGATTTCTGCACAATTGCCCCAAGGCATGGGTCAAAGCCATCAGCTACTAAGTGGGCCTCCTCAGATTAGGGGCTCTGCCTAGCATCCAAGAGGGCCCATTCGTCTCTCTGAGCTGCCACTCACACAGCCCTCCCCATGACTTCTTGATGCTGTTTCAGGGAACCAGTCTGAAAACCCAGATCTTTTGGTTAATATACCAAAGATAACTTCACTTCTTACCACACTTTCAAGTGGCTTTTCAGCAAGAAATGAAAGAAACTCAAAAGACTCCAACAAAGACATTATGGCCAGAAGTGTGTTAAACCAAAAAAACTCACCTCAGAATTACTGAACTTGTCGAGGTAATAGAAATATGTTATATGCTGGCCGGGTGCGGTGGCTCATGCCTGTAATCCCAGCACTTTGGGAGGCCAAGGCAGGCGGATCACAAGGTCAGGAGATCAAGACCATCCTGGCTAACACGGTGAAACCCTGTCTCTGCTAAAAATACAAAAAATTAGCCGGGTGTGGTGGCGGGTGCCTGTAGTCCCAGTTACTCGGGAGGCTGAGGCAGGAGAACGGCGTGAACCCAGGAGGCGGAGCTTGCAGAGAGCCAAGATCGCACTACTGCACTCCAGCCTGGGCGACAGAGCGAGACTCCGTCTCAAAATAAAGTAAAATAAAATAAAAAATAAAAATAAAAAAATAAAAAAAAAGAAATATGCCATATGCTGGCTGGGCACAGTGGCTCACTCCTGTAATCCCAACACTTTGGGAGGCCAAGGTGGGCAGATCACAAGGTCAGGAGCCCGAGACCAGCCTGGCAAACATGGTGAAACTCCATCTCTACTAAACAAAAATTAGCTGGGCATGGTGGCATGCACCTGTAATCCCAGCTACTCAGGAGGCTGAGGTAGGAGAATTTCCTGAGCCCGGGAGGTGAAGGTTGCAGTGAACCAAGATCACACCACTGCACTCCAGCCTGGGTGACAGAGTGAGACTCCATCCCCAAAAAAAAAAAAAGAAAAAGAAATATGTTACATGCTGATTATGGTAGAAGTTATGATGACTATATATAAATTTGTCAAAATTAATAGAGCTGGACACTTAAAAGGGTAAATTTTGCGGTATATAAATTATACCTCAGGCCCGGTGCGATGGCTCACACCTGTAATCCCAACACTTTGAGAGGCTGAGGTGGGCAGATTGCTTGAGCCCAGGAGTTCGTGACCAGCCTGGGCAACATGATGAAACCTCGTCTCTACAAAAAATATAAAAATTAGCTGGGCGTGGTGGTGCACACCTCTAGTCCCAGTTACTCAGGAGTGTGAGATGGGAGGGTCACCTGAACCTGGGAAGGTCAAGGCTGCAGTGAGCCATGATTGAGCCGCTGCATTCCAGCCTGGGTGACAGAGACCTTGTCTCAAAAAAAAATTTTTTTAAATTAAAAATTTTTTTAAAAAAATAATATATATATATATATAACAGTAAAACAGACTTAAAGAAAATCCTACCGCAGAATTGAGTGCCTGTCTCCTAGCATTATAGCTGGCTCACCTTCCAAAAATACTCTTACCCAAAGGTCTAAATAGAACTTAAACTCTTTTCAACTATAAACTGCACCAATAGAGAGGGGCAAAAGCAAAGAAAATCCAAAATGAAATTCTATTTTAAATTATTTGACTTCAGAAGATATTTATGCATTTATGTTTTAACACTGATGTCTGAGCTTCTCAGAATTCACCTCAAACAAAATTCTAAAACCATACCATGAAGATCTTATTCAGAAAGAGCTGAAACCCTGGTCCGTCTTTCTCCTGACCTAGCTTTACATTCCCTTGGCAACCTCTTCCATACTTGAGGGTTCTGATGATCACGCTCACTATGAATATTCCACCCACAGCACCCACAGGAGAGGTGGCTACATAAAAATAAGATATGGCCACACAGTTTCTCCGCTCATAAAAGTGGCTCATGACTGCAGCTTAGTTCCAAAAATCCAGAGGAATGGAATGCAATGTTAATTCCACTGGACATGAACTTTAGGACTGCTGAAGAGCTTCCAAGCTGATTTTTATTTGATAACTTGTGGGTACAACATTAAACCCAGCAAGTAGAAACCTGAAGCACTGGCCTTTCAAAAGGTTCACACCTCAGCCATTTGGCCGTTTGCCTCTTTTCAAAGGAAGCTGCATTACTCTGCCATCTGCCCATGCTGGGGACGAGTCTCTTCAGTGCCAAGCACTGAAGAACGGCAGGACCCAAATGCACACATCTTGCGGAGGCCTTCTCACTTCAGCTCATCTTCTCCCCCACCCCCGGCATTTTGAAGAAGAAAAATCATAGTTTCTAGGATCTAGAAAAAGAAAAACATCTGAATCCAGGGAGAGCTGTTCGAGAGTGCCAGAATGGTTTTTCCTGGCAAATAAGGGGGCCTCATGGCTGGATGCTTGGAAAGGTAAAAGGTCTAAAGTCTAGGAGGCTAAAAGGCTACTAATAAATATGCATGCTTCTTTCTCTCTTTGGGGAGACAAGCCTAACTACAAACCCAAAGCAGTATCTGTCTCAAGGATCCTGAGAGCATTCTAATGGCAGTCATTCATGAAAAAACCAATCTAGATGACAATAAAAAAAAAAAAAACAACAACAAAGCAAGATACTAATACATAAAATTGAGGATGGTGGTTACCTGGGGGAGGGGTAAGATGTAATTAGAAAGCAACACTCTTCAAAGGTACTGATAACATTCTATTTGTTAAGTTTAGTGATGGGTACCTACATTTGTATTTTATTATTATTCAAAGACATACACTTTATATATCCCCTTTTGTATACATGAACCATTTGGAATGATAAAAGGCCATTCTAAGCTGACACACTATATTTTGGAGAGCAATATGAATAAAGGAATTTCAGATAACATTTTAAACTAACCCTCTATACTACATTCCCATGTTATTTATTCTTCCCCAGATCACCTCAAAAAGCATTAGGGTGCAAAGTTATACCCCTCTAACTTTGCCAGTAGACCACTTTCATCTTAGCAGCAACAAAGACTGGAGGAGTAGGGTGGGAAAGAATAGCATTTGGTGGGCTGTGCTTCAGGTGACAGAAAAGGACAGGGCAGCAGGCCTTAGGCAAAGGTCTTTGAGGCCAGCAGTCCTTTGTGTCAGCTAAATTACTGCCTATGCTGTAGGTAACAAAAAAACAGGATGCCTCTGTCCATTTCTACCCTGCAAATTATTAACTGTACTGCAACAGATTTATGGGATAAAGGAGTTAAAAGCATTAGACTAGACAGAACAACAACACATAGATGTAACCATTGGCTGGTTTTCAAATTCCTTGAAACCTAAAATAAAAACAATGAAAGAATAATAACCTATCTTGCCCATAAATCTCCTGTACTGATGCCCTAAGATTTACACATGTCCTTTTCTAAAGTAACTTCCAAACTAGGATGTCCAAATACCAGATTTTATGGCTCCAATGTACCTCTGCCCCTGCTAAAGCACACGGTGCCAAGTCAGCCAGCCTGTGCCATTTCCAACACGTCATAAGCCAGTGTCTGTTCATGTGCTACAGGCACAAAAACCATGTGTTCATTTTTAGTTCCAATACACAGACATCTGTGCAGCAAGGTCAGATCCAAAACTCCATCATAAACCAACTAAAGAACCTATAGAGGGAACTTCCAGGGAAAAGCCAAGAGGCATGGTCCAAGGTCTAAAACCTTAGAAATGATGTTGGCAGAGAGAATGTTAAGGAGTGAGAAGCACTGCACAGGACTCAAATGGACAGAGATTTTTTTTTAAGCCCAGGAGTTCGTTCTAAAGGAGAGCTGCCAACCACAACCACTTCATGGAAAAAATAGTTAAAAAGATCAACAGTGTGTGGACCCAAAACCCAAACATAAAATCAGAACTTCCTCGCCACACCATAAAATCATTTTGCTCTCAGCATGTCATGCTATTACTCAAAAAGATCCCTTTAGACCTGAAGACCCAAGGATACAGTGAAAAAAGTTTCTCACGTCTGCCAGGCCTGTCCACGACAGCAGGGCCCCAAATGGATGCCAAAGCAGCCTGCCTCTCTTTCCAGAATTCTATATTTTGTTTTTTTCCCCCCCAAATAAATAGATAGGAAACCACTACAGAACCGTCCTCCATTTCTCCACCTCACTACCATGAAGACAGCCAGTAATAGCCTCATCTGTTAACTTGGTAAAAAACAAATCTTGAAAAGTGAACAAGGTACCTATTTCCAACCAAGTGTGTATTACGTGATGATTCAAAATGGTCAGATCAAATTAGATCTCTCACCAAATCCAAAGGAAGGCAATCAACTCAACATATGAGAAACAGACATGGGAACTCCACTGGTTTTCCTGAAATAGCAATGCTAGATTACACTGAGGACCACAGGCATCAAGCCCAGCTCTTTGAATTCCAACATATGTGTGTTATAAGCCCTAGCCCAGTTCCCCAGAACAGAAACCTGATTAGTTGCTGGGCCCATTTCTTTCTTTCTTTCTTTCTTTCTTTTTAAAGAGATGGAGTCAGCTGGGCGTGGTGGCTCACGCCTGTAATCCCAGCACTTTGGGAGACTGCGGTGGGCGGACTGCCTGAGCTCAGGAGTTCGAGACCAGCCTGGGCAACACAGTGAAACGCCGTCTCTACTAAAATACAAAAAATTAGCCAGGCGTGGTGGCGTGTACCTGTAGTCCCAGCTATTCGGGAGAATGGCTTGAACCTGGGAGGCGGAGGTTGTAGTGAGCCAAGATCGGGCCACTGCACTCCAGCATGGGCAACAGAGTGAGACTCCATCCCCCCGGCCCCCAAAAAAAGATGGAGTCTGGCTCTGTTGCCCAGGCTGGAATGCAGTGGCACATCATAGCTTACTGTGCCCTTGAACTTCCTGGGCACAAGTAATCCTCCTGCCTCTGCCTTCCAAGTATTGGGACTACAGGTGCACACTACCACACCCAACTGGTGGGCCCATTTCTTACCTCACTTAAAAACAGTTATCTAAGTTGGCCAGACTTGGTGGCTTATGACTGTAATCCCAGCACTTTGGGAGGCCAAGGCAGGCAGATCACCTGAGGTCAGGAGTTCGGGACCAACCTGGCAAACATGGCAAAACCCCAGCTCTACTAAAAATAAAAAATAAAAAAATGAGCCGGGTGTGGTGGTGGGCCCCTGTAATCCCAGCTACTGGGGAGGCTGAAGCAGAAGAATCGCTTGAACCCGGGAAGCAGAGGTTGCAGTAAGCCAAGATCGCACCACTGCACTCCAGCCTGGGCGACAGAGCAAGACTCCACCTCAAAACAAAAAACAAAACAAAAAGACTTCTCTAAGCTAACTCATACCACACTGAAGACAATATATCCAGGTAGGTCCACTTACCAGACTCAAAAGCAACTAAAAGGAAGTTTTGCTTAGTGCTAAAATGTGGGAATTGTTAAACCTTCTAAAATGATTGTAGGAAGGCAGATGTTGGGAATAGCAAAGGGAATTATGCCCAGAGGTTACTGCAAAAGCCCCAAATTATACAGCAAAGACTATAGAAGCCCATAATTAACTCCAATCAACAATGAGGACAAAGGCATATACCCTTTGGCAAAAGACTGAAATTTCTCACCATTTCCAGGTCCTACCAATCAAAACAAGAGAACAAGCTAAAAATCCAAACTCATCCTCCCACTATTGCGGACTTAGGAGGTGCAGATCCACAGAAATCACAACTACCCTGGCCAGACTCACCAAGTTTCTCACAGCTGCGAGGCTGCCAGCAAGACTGGCACATAGTAAGCTGTCGAAAAGCTCACAAGCAGCACCAAATCCTAAGCATTAAAAAATTTACCAGCTCAGTCCTATTACTTATCTTCTAAAAAGCACAAAATATTCCATCTAGATTTCTCTTCTCAACAATCTACTCTTATAAGGACAGGAACAAGACAGTCAACGCTCACCCATTTTACAGATGGGGGAAAAAGGGAAGCATGAAGGTGACAAATTTGGTCATCTCCTAGCTGATGTTGGAGTTTACACGGAATCTAGACTTTCACATTCTCTATACAGCATGCTGCCTCCAAACAGCAGTCAACCAAACGTTTATACACAAATAACTAGCTCTTCTCCAATTCATCAAAAAAAGCCCTTGGACCAAAAAATGTAATTCTCCAGTGCCCTGAACTAAGCTTCTTTGCAAAGCTACAGCCCAATTTGCTCTGCAGCAGAAATCTGTATTGTGCTTAGTGTGAGGGTTGGTGACAGAGCAGCCAATGACCATTAAATTCTGCTTCCAAAGGCAAAAAACCGTATAATGTCATATGCCTTTTCCTCTTCCTAATCTATTAGACGTAGCAGCTAATTTCACGCCACACCTCGTATTTGGCGTCTCTGGAATCTCAGACGAACTCCTGGTCAATATGGAACAAAGGCAAGACAAACCACAAGAAAATTAGCAATCTATCCTATGTCATTACCCATAGCTTTAATCCCGCCCTCCCCTGCATCTGATGAAAATTTCATCTGTGCTGGTAAGTGGAGCATCGAATACAGAGCCTACCACAAAAAAAGCTGTTTCAGCAGCCACCCACTTTTCAAGATCTGAACTCCCAGCATGAATTCACTGGGAGGCAAAGCAGAAACACTGGCCTACCTAAAGGGACAACACACTGATTTCTTTAGAAAGTTTGGATTTGGCCTGATCCCCAAGATAAGCCCATGGCACAGCTGTTCAGAAAGGGCAAGAAAGCCAAATCCACCCAACATTTTCTTGTTGGAGTACCCAAGTTCCCTTGAAAACAGAAGTCTATGGATGAGTGGTTCCCAGTTCAGGATCAACTGGGGAGCTTTTAAAAAGTTCAAACTCTTAGGCTTTTCAAAAAGCTCCCCAAGTGATCTTAGTTCACAGTAAGGTTATCAATTTATACCTGTTCTTTAGCTTTGGTTTATGGCTGCCAGTATGTCTCAAGAATCCATCACGTAAACCACAACAAAACCCATTCCAATCTTTCTGAGAACCCAAAGAAGTACAAACCACAATGGCAGTTACTACAAGGTAACTAATTTCACTGACACCAAAGTTGACAGCTTTGTAAACCAACGCTACAGATGTAACACTGGATGCCGAAGATCAGTCCACCCCTCAGAAATGCAGGAAAAAAACTCAACGTCTATGTTTGGAATTTTCATCAATCGGCCTAGAACTCATGTACCTGTCTCTACCTTGTCTATATCTTACTGGTACTTAGAATTCTCAAAAGGCTTTGAGAGAGCGCAAAGCTATTTTCTCGAGACAGGCTCTCACTCTGTCACGCAAGCTGGAGTGCAGTGGCACGATCACTATTCACTGCAACCTCCGCCTCCTGGGCTCAAGTGATCCTCCTGCCTCAGCCTCCCGAGTAGCTGGGACCACTCCCGCCTAATTTTTTGTATTTTTTTCGTAGAGATGGGGGCTAATTTTTTGTTTGTTTGTTTTGTAGAGATGGGGTTTCGCATGTTGCCCAGGCTGGTCTCAAACTCCTGAGCTCAGGTGATCCGCCCTCCTCGGCCTCCCAAAGTGCTGGGATTACAGGTGTGAGCCACTGTGCCCGGTCTGCTATTTTCTATTCTCAGAGACAGTGGTCAGCACCCAAGTTTGATATGCCAAGTTCATCTAAGGGAACAACCAGGAAAACAGTAAAACTTTGAATAGAGGTGTCCAATTGATTGCTGGCCTACAATTGCATTTGAAGATTCTCCTGTCATTTGCATGCATGAGTGTGAAGGGAGGTGCGGTGCTGGTACACAGAATAAGCAAGGCGGTCAAGGTGCAACACCAGCTTTTTGCCCCAAAGGCCAAACACTTCCAGCAATCTCCCTTCCAGGGACAATGGCACACAGCCGCCTTGGAAAAACTTAAAAAGCCATGCCAGGATGGGGATGGGAGGATGGTCTGAAACCATCTTCCAACAAGACAGATGCAAACCAGCTGAGAAGTGTCACGGAGTGTGCACTCTTTAAGAGTGAAAGCTGTTTCCACAATTAGCGCTGACCTTATGCGAGATGTTACCACCTTTGGTCCCAAGTCTCTGCCTCCTCCTGAAGACCCTATCTTAAGAACTGTCAGGATCGCGATAGCAATAGATAAAAAGGGAAACCAAACAAGAAAAGGAAGTTTGTCGGCCAGCCCCCGGCCGGTCTCACCTCCCCGCGTCCAGCTCCCGGCCCGCAGAGCCTCCCATGTCTGTCAGGCTCGCAGCTGAAGCAGCCAGCTCTCCAGAAGGCCTCTTGCCGGTCCCATCCCCACCGCCGGAGCCACCGTTGCAGCTCTTGGTGCGAAAGAGGCGACTGAGGCGGATTTTGAAGGAGCCCTTCCGAGAAGGACCCGCGAGTGGCCGGAGGGGCCCGGGAGGAGGCGGGGGCGGGGGAGGTTGCTGCTGCTGCTGCTGCTGCTGCTCCCCTCTACTCAGGCGCCCCAGAGGGACCAAGTCCTGCAGCGGGAAGGGCACCGGAGGTAATTCAGGGCCTGGGGGCTGCAGCAGAAGCCGGCCGCCCCCTCCTCCTCCGCGACCCGGGCTGCTGAGCTCCTCTTCCGAGCAGCTGTTAGTCTCCAGGCTCTCGGCCTCCGATTCCAAGCCCTCCAGGACCAGCAGCGCGTCGCTCGTTTCCGTGGGGTCCTCCCCGGCCTGCGGGGCGGCAGCAGGCGGCTGGGGCTGCGGAGGGGGCGGCTGAGGAGGACACGGACACGGGCAGCAACCCCCACCGACTGTCTTGACCCCCGGCCCCGCCGGCTGCCCGAGCCCCAGAGCCGCCAACTGCGCCTCTAGTCCAGCCGCCGGGCCCCAGGTCCGCTCGAGCGCCAAGCCCGGCGGCAGGGCCTTGGGGTCCAGGGCACAGCGGTGCCGGGGACACAGCAGTTCCGAGGGTCCCGGCTCCGGGGCCGCCTCCACGTCCTCCTCCTCCGGCGGCCGACCCACGTTGCGGAACACCATCAGCTGCGGCGGCCGGGAGCCCCGCGGGCCGGGCCGCGCGAGGAAGGGTGGCGGCGGGGGGCCATGGCCCGGGGGCGGTGGCGGAGGGCCTGGCTCGGGGGCCGCCTCTCCATAGCCAAGGAGGCGGCTCAGGACGCGGTACGAAGCGGCCGCCGCCGCCGCCTCGCCATCCCGGAGCTCGGCCTCCTGCATCGGGGAGAGGGAGGGAGGGCGGGCGGCTGGGAGCCGGGCTGGGGTGGGGACTAGGCCGGGCCCCGCCGGAGCCCCGCCCGCCGCGGCCCCCGGAGCGACAGCGCTAACGGCCGCCGCGGCCTCTGCCTCATAGAGGGGGGCGGGGGGCGCGCGGAGCCCAGCGCGAGCCCAGGCCGCGCTCCGCCACCGCCGAGCACCGCCCCCAAGCCGACGTCACTTCCGGAAGGGCTTAGCCACGCCACTTTCCCCAGGGCGTGCTCGCGCTGGCCTCCACGGCGAGTGACGCCGCGCGCGCCCCCGGCCCCTATTGGCGGTGAGCTGTCTGTTGGCTGGCGTTGGTCTCTTTTCCCGGTCCTTGCTTTTCACTTCCTGGGCGCCCAGGCCCAGGCCATCCCATTCGGTAGAGTGGAGAGGCCTTGGAAACCATGGTCTGGTCCTGGGAGCGCGCCGCTGGCCTTGGGAGCACATATGGTTCTGCCATCTACGCCGCTTGCGATGTGTGACCTTGGCTGAGTCATTTCATCATTAATCTGTATCTCCGTCCGCCTGGCACCCAGTGAATGTTTGTGGAATCAGTACATGAATCGTGTTCTAGACCCAGTGCTGTACTGATAAATGTGTAACAACCAGCTCTCTGGGGGGAGAACGGGAATGTATGCACATATATAGGTACAAAAATTTGTCGTTAAGTTTTACTGACATAAAGGATGTGTAGTTCACAATTTACAATTAATAGTAAATTGGCAAATTCCATATAACTCTTTCTCACAGAATGCTTTCATTGATTTTTGCCAAACTCTTATATGGGTAGCCAAACTGTGATTGCAGTTGACCTAGGAGTGTAATTGTAAAGGTGAATGTTGGTTGATAAAACTGAAAAAGACAAAACTTAATTGGATTGTCAATGATGGGAGCAACTTCTTTGCTGAGTCAGAAAACGGTTTCAAATACTGGAAGAATATTTACTCAATTTTTGTGCTATTCATAATGTAACGGCTACAGACAACACATTAAGTTTTTGCTGTTGTTGAGATGGAATCTTTCTCTATTGCCCAGGCTGGAGTGCAATGGCGCTATCTTGGCTCACTGCAACCTCTGCCTCCCGGGTTCAAGCAATTCTCCTGCCTCGCTCCAGGTAATTTTTTGTATTCTTAGTAGAGACAGGGTTTCACCATGTTGGCCAGGCCAGTTTTGAACTCCTGACCTCAGGTGATCCACCCGCCTTGGCCTCCCAAAATGCTGGGATTACAGGCGTGAGCCACCGCGCCCACGCCCGGCCTTCTTATCTTTACACAGGGATAAGGATTGCAATTTTGCTTGCTTGCAGGCATGTTGTGAGGATCAAATAAGATCAAGCTTTTTGTGTGGAGGAGGTGAGACTGGAGGCAGGGAGCCCATTGAAATAGTCCCAGTGGGAGATATTGAGAGATGCAAGGGAAAAGGAGGAAGGATCAGCTGCAGAACTCAGTGACTTCTAATACCTGAGGGTGCATTGAGGGGAAGAGGGTGGAGGGTTGAGTCCTGCAACCAGAGGGACCTTTTCAGAATGGAAATGTGTTCATAGCCTGTGATTAAAATTGTTCATGGCTTCCCATTGTTCTTAGGCTAATGTGTGATCTTGTGATCTGACCCCTGTGTGATCTAACCCCTGCCTCTCTAGCCACATCCCCTGCTAAGCTCCACCTTGTTCTCTGTTCCCTGCATTCCCATCAACCTTGCGGCAGGCTCCCATACATGTGGGCAAGAAAAGCTATTCCCTTTTCTTGCAAGACTTTTCTCTTTTTGCTTAGTAAACTCCTACTCATCCTTCAGATTGAACTCACTCCTCACTACCTTAGGGAAATCTCCCTGCCTGGGCCCTTCCTCCTCCCCAGGCTCTGAGATCATTCCTTTGTTGCACTTACTTGCGCAGGTGTAATTTGCAATCTGTCTGTGGGGTCAGTTGATTAAAAGCTGTCCTCCCTACAAAACTGTAAATTCTATGAGGGCAGAAGCCATGTTTGCTTTTTGCCCCTTGGGGACTCTCCAGTGCCAAGGACAGTGCCTGGAATTGTTGTTCAACCTTAAGCCCTGTAAGAGTCTCCTGAGACAAATTCTGCACAACAGAATTAATTATCTTTCCTCACACATAAAGAGACAAAGTAAACCTCAGTGAGTTATTTAGCTAAAGTCACTCAATTCAAAAGGATGCAGTGAAAATCAAAACCAGCTCTGACTCCAGATAGTTCATTCTCTTCCCCTGGCTGCCTCTCAGGTGTCACTCAGGTTTCTGAAGAAAAGAAGAGCGATTGAGAGGGGCATGTTTACCCACGTCTGTAATTCCAGCGCTTGGGGAGGCCAAGGCAGGTCTTGGATCACTTGAGGCCAGGAGTTTAAGGCCAGCCAGGGCAACATAGCAACACTCTGGCTCTACAACAAATGTTAAAATTAGCCAGGCATGGTGGTGTGCCCAGATGTGGTCTCAGCTACTCAGGAGGCTGAGGCAGGAGGATTGCTTGAGCCCAGGAGGTGGAGACTGCAGTGAGCTGTGATCACACCACTGCACTCTAGCCTGGGTGACAGAGCAAGACCGTGTCTCTATATAGATAAATGAATAAAAGAAGAGAAATTGCTATAGAATCACACAACACCTGAGGCCTAAGAAGACTACCCAAGATCCCCAGCTTTCTCTCTGAGAAACTCTCTGGCCTCAGAGCCCATTACAAGCTGATTACAGGCAAGGTCCCTGGCTCTTCATCGCCCTCTGCTGTCCAGCTGCTTTCCTGGCCGTGGGAGAAGAGGACTGTGTGGGTTATCTGGAGTATCTCTACTTGCACGGAGTGCACAGAGGTACAGAGGAACACACGCGAGCTCTTTCTAAGGCAGGGCAAGCCATGGGGTAGACTTTTCCCATTTCCATAATTGTCCATTTCCGTAGCCCAGATCCTGGAAAAAACATTGAAAGTTAAATTCCAAGCAAAGAGGGTGTATCTTTGCATTTGTAGGACTTGAATTTGTGTTGGGGGTTGTTTGTTTGTTTTGAGACAGCATTTCATTCTTTTGTGTTTTTGTTTGTTTGTTTTGTTTTGTTTTTTTAGACGGAATTTTGCTCTTGTTGCCCAGGCTGGAGTGCAATGGCGCTATCTTGGCTCACTGCAACCTCTGCCTGCCAGGTTCAAGCGATTCTCCTGCCTCAGCCTCCCAAGTAGCTGGGATTACAGGCATGCGCCACCACGCCTAGCTAATTTTGTATTTTTAGTAGAGACAGAGTTTCTCCATGTTGGTCAGGCTCATCTCGATCTCCCAACCTCATTGATCTGCCTGCCTCAGCCTCCCGAAGTGCTGGGATTACAGGCGTGAGCCACGGCGCCCGGCCTCAGAGTTTCATTCTTGTTTCCCAGGCTGGAGTGCATAGGTATGATCTCGGCTCACTGCAACCTCTGCCTCCTGCGTTCAAGCAATTCTCCTGCCTCAGCCTCCTGAGTAGCTGAGATTACCGGCGCATGCCACCAGGCCCAGCTAATTTTTTTGTTTTTAGTAGAGACAGGGTTCCGCCATGTTGGCCAGGCTGGTCTCAAACTCCTGACCTCAATTGATCCACCTGCCTCAGCTTCCCAAAGTGTTGGGATTACAGGTGTGAGCCACTGCGCCCTGCCAAATTTATGTTTATTGAGCTGATTTTATGTTTAAATATACCTCTTTCACTGAGCACTATAAAAGTGGTCCTCAGCCGAGCGTGGTGGCTCAAGCCTATAATCCCAGCACTTTGGGAGGCCAAGGTAGGCGGATCACTTTAGCCTGGGAGTTTGTGACCAGGTTGGGCAACAAAGAGACCCAATGTTGTGAGGATGTCGTGAGACCTCGTCTCTACAAAAAATAAAAAAAAAATAGTTGGGCGTGGTGGCGTGCACCTGTAATCCCAGCTACTCAGGAGGCTGAGGCAGGAGAATCACTTGAGCCCAGGGGTCAGAAGTGGAGTGAGCTGTGTTCATGCCACTGCACCCCTGCCTGGGTGACAGAGTGAGAGACCCTGTCTCAAAAAAGTAAAACAGAAAATAAGGTGGGCACAGTGGCTCACGCCTATAATCACAACACTTTGGGAGGTTGAAGTGGGCGGATCACTTGAGCCCAGGAGTTTGAGACCAGCCAGGGCAGTAAGGCAAAACCCCATCTCTATTCCCACCGCCAAAAAAAAAATATATATATATATATATATATTTACCTGGGCATGATGGCACGCACCTGTAGTCTCAGCTACTTGGGAGGCTGAGGTGGGAGGATCCATTAAGCAAGCCCTGGCGGTGGAGGCTGCAGTGAGCCGTGATTGTGCCACTGCACTTTAGTCTGGGTGATAGACACTCCAGCTTGGGTGACTGAGTGAAACCCTGTCTCAAAAAAAAAAAAAAAGGTCCCTACAGAGATAGAGTCCTAGTTTTAAAAACTTTTATGAAGGATGACTTAAAGAATTTAAGGTCTGGCACAGTGGCTCACACCTGTAATCCTCGCACTTTGGGAGACCAAGGTAGAAGGATCACTTGAGCCCAGGAGTTTGAGACCACCCTCGACAACATAGTGAGACCTCATCTCCACAATTTTTTTTTTGGGCGGGGGGACGTTGTCTCTCTCTGTTGCCCAGACTGGAGTGCAGTGGTGCGATCTCGGCTCACTGCAACCTCTGCCTCCTGGGTTCAAGTAGTTCTCTGCCTCAGCCTCCCGAGTAGCTGGGATTACAAGTGCCCAACACCATGCCTGGCTAATTCTTCTGTATTTTTTAGTAGAGGCCGGGTTTCACCATCTTGGCCAGGCTGATTTTTTTTTTTTTTTTTTTTTGAGTCAGAGTCTCGCTGTGTCGCCCAGGCTGGAGTGCGGTGGCGCGATGTCGGCTCACTGCAAGCTCTGCCTCCCGGGTTCACGCCATTCTCCTGCCTCAGCCTCCTGAGTCGCTGGGACTACAGGCGCCTGCCACCATACCCGGCTAATTTTTTTGTATTTTTAGTAGAGATGAGATTTCACCGTGTTAGCCAGGATGGTCCCCATCTCCTGACCTCGTGATCCACCCACCTCGGCCTCCCAAAGTGCTGGGATTACAGGCGTGAGCCACTGCCCCTGGCCAGCCAGGCTGATCTTGAACTCCTGACCTCGTGATCCACCCACCTCGGCCTCCCAAAGTGCTGGGATTACAGGCGTGAGCCACCGTGCTCGGCCTTTTTTTTTTTTTTTTTTTTAATTAGCCAGGTGTGGTGGCACATGCCTGTAGTCCCAGCTACTCAGGAGGCTGAGGTGGGAGGCTCACTTGAGCCTGGGAGGCCGAGGCTGTAGGAAGCCATGATCTCACCACTGCACTCCAGGCTGGTGATAGAGCGAGACCCTGCCTCAAAACAAAAAAATGATAAAGAATCTAAAGAAGTTCTGAGATTCATTTGGTCATTCAACGGTGGGCTAGGTTTGGGGATGCAGTGATAAATGAGACAGACACAATCCCTGTCCCTCTGGACTTTGTGGTTGGTCTAGTTAGTCTTAATCATGCCACTTTCTGAATATATGAGCAAACGCAAATAATTAAACATCTCCGAACCCGTGTTTCATTTGTTAAAATGGGTCAGTAATAATCCCCCCTTGACATGGCTATTGTGGGGAATTAAATGAAAACTTACGTGTAAAGGTACTTAATAAATTCTACAGTGCTATACAAATGTTAGTTAATACATTTTTTCCCAAGAAGCTTTTCATGGTAATAACTTAATACATTTTTTCCCAAGAAGCTTTTCATGATAAGTTACTATTGTCTTCACCCAGTGTGTTTTGTTGACCCTCAACTAACAGTAACCAGTAATAAATACCAAGAAATTGAATAAGTCACTCAGAAAGGCCAAGGAAAGAGCTATGGATGTGCAATACAGGTTTCTGCTCCCAGCAATACCACTAACTGGCTGGGTGACCTTGTGAATGTCACTTTCCTTTCAGTGTTTTAGTTTCCTAATTTGTTAAAAAAAAAAAAAAAAAAAAAAGTCTGGGCTATGGGCCCTGCTAGTTTTGCCATCATAGAGATTCTCCTGGGGGCTTGTCCTCTAGCCCCGCTATCCCCACAGCCTGGGCACTCCCACTTAGGTTGCATAGCACAATTGTTCTTTGCAAGGCCGGGCACGGTGGCTCACGCCTGTAATCCCCGCACTTTGAGAGGTCAAGGCAGGCAGATCACCTGAGGTCAGGGTTTCAAGATCAGCCTAGCCAACATGGTGAAACACCATCTCTACCAAAAATACAAAAATTAGCCAGGCGTGGTGGCACACGCCTGTACTCCCAGCTACTTGGGAGGCTGAGGCAGGAGAATCACTTGAACCCGGGAGGCAGAGGTTTCAGTGAGCCGAGATTGTGCCACTGCACTCCAGCCTGGGCAACAGAACAAGACTCTGTCTAAAAAAAAAGAATTATTGTTTGCAGAGGTCAACTGGAAAGCAAGGGACATGTTTGGCAACCACCACCCATCCCTACCTACATACACTCAATGATCTTGGACATCAAAGGTTCCAGACATTGGGGGTTTGGAGGGGGTTTGAAGGGAAGAAGCCAAGAGACAGCCTGCGCCTGCGGGGCCAGATTGCCTGGTGAAGCAGGAAGCCCATCATCAAGGGAAAAGTGATGGGTGGGCAGGCAGGAGCTTTGTTCTGTGGCTTCCCCAAGAATCCATGCCCTTCCGGATCCAAGGAGGCCGGCTCAGACAGCACTGACTCAGGGCCCCCCAGTTACTGTGCCTAGCAGCAGGAAGGAGGTGAGGGGTAAGAAAAATGGGGAAAAGCGAGAGAGAGTAGCCACAGTTTTCATGAAGAAAAGGAGAAGGGGCCAGGTGCAGTGGCTCACACCTGTAATCCCAGCACTTTGGGAGGCTGAGGCAGGTAGACTACTTGTCAGGAGTTCGAGACCAGCCTGGCCAACATGGTGAAACCCCCGTCTCTACTAAAAAATTTAAAAAAAAAAATAAAATAAAATTTGCCGAGCATGGTGGCACATGCCTGTAGTCCCAGCTACTCAGGAAGCTGAAGCAGGAGAATCGCTTAAACCCAGGAGGCAGAGGTTGCAGTGAGCCGAGATCACGCTGGTGCAACTCCAGCTGGGTGGACAAAGAATCTATCTCAAAAAAAAAAAAAAAAGAAGAAGGTAGAACTTAGGATGACAAAATGAAGGTGTAAGAAATGGAGGCAAAACTGTGTTCACTGTCTTCTCCTTGCCCACCTCTCTCCCGCCACCATTGCCACTGTGCTTGTCGACTTTGGTTCAGAAGGAGGCCTGGGTTGTAGGGACGGACACCTGGGTGGAGGCTGCGGCTCTGTCATAAACAACACTGTGGTTCTAGGGAAGTCCCTTGACGCCTCTGCTAGGAGGCTTTGTTATAGTCCCTGAGGCTGAGTAACGGTGATGGTGGTGGTTTGGATGGGCAATGTAGGGGAGTCAGAGCTCTGGATGTAAGTCTCTGAGTGAGCTGCTTTGTGACCTTGGGTGAGTCTCAGTGTCTGCATCTGTGAAATGGGGATAAGAACATTCACCATACATGGCTGTGGGGAAGACTCATTCAGATAAGGCACATGAAAAGCACCTTATAAGCTGCCTCAGTCTGTACAAAGACCAATTACGGTACTATTAGGCTGTCTTTCCTGCCCTCAACATCCCCATTCTCAAATCCCAGCTCAGCAGCACAGGGTCAGGGGGGTGCAGGCAGCCAGCGCAGACTGCCAGGAGATGCAGCTTGGCCCCTTAGTGTGCCTGTTGCAATTGCTGCCAGGAGCCTGAGTGGAGCAGAGGGGTGGAGAGAGGGGCACAAGCTCATCTGCGGTTGCTATGGTGCCCCATCCTGGATTTGCCCATCTCTCCTAATGGAGCAAAGGGCAGGCAGAGGGAGGGAGGGAGAAAGAGCACAACTGGTGCCTTCGTCTCCCCTTCCCTCCCATCTCTCTCCCTCGGGAGCAGATGTGGATGGGGGATGGAGGGAGCCTGAATACTGGATAGGAGGGGAGGAAAGAGTGGGGTGCTGGGATTAAGAGGTTTGAGATAGGGGGCCGCACTGAGACAGTAGGGGGCAGGGCCCTCATACCTACATCCAGAAGCCAGCTGGTGACGTTAGAGAGAAGAAAAAAGCAGGCGAGCTGGCACCAGCGTGAGAGGGAGACGGAGAGAGGAAGAAGGAACGCCAGCATAGGAGGCGTGGAGGCCGACAGCCCCCAGACTGCAGCCAGCCTCTGCCTGGGCTCTCCTGAGCCTGGACCCCAGGGTCCTGAGAGCTGCCCCAAGGATGGGCACCAGGGGAGCGGTCATGCCCCCTCCTATGTGGGGGCTGCTGGGCTGCTGTTTTGTCTGTGCCTGGGCTCTGGGGGGTCCACGGCCCATCCGCTCTCTGCCCCCTCTGTCTTCCCAAGTCAAGCCAGGATCTGTACCCATGCAGGTGCCCCTAGAGGGGGCCGAGGCCGCCCTCGCTTATCTCTACTCTGGAGATGCCCAGCAGCTATCACAGGTGAATTGCAGTGAGCGCTATGAAGCGCGTGGGGCAGGAGCCATGCCAGGGCTCCCCCCAAGCCTACAGGGGGCAGCGGGCACCCTTGCCCAGGCCGCCAATTTTCTCAACATGCTGCTGCAAGCCAACGACATCCGTGAGTCCAGTGTGGAGGAGGATGTGGAATGGTACCAGGCACTGGTCCGCAGCGTGGCCGAGGGGGACCCAAGAGTGTACAGGGCTTTGCTGACCTTTAACCCTCCACCAGGGGCCAGCCACCTACAGCTGGCCCTGCAGGCCACCCGGACTGGGGAGGAAACCATCCTGCAGGACTTGTCTGGGAACTGGGTGCAGGAGGAGAACCCTCCTGGGGACCTGGACACCCCTGCCCTGAAGAAGCGAGTGTTGACCAATGACCTAGGGAGCCTCGGCAGCCCCAAGTGGCCGCAGGCAGATGGATATGTGGGGGACACGCAGCAGGTGAGGCTGTCTCCTCCTTTCCTGGAATGCCAGGAGGGACGGCTCCGACCTGGATGGCTGATCACACTCTCTGCCACCTTCTATGGACTCAAGCCAGACCTCAGCCCAGAAGTCAGGTAAGTGGGTTTGTGCAGGATTTGATGCATGTGTGGGGATGTAGGGGAAGGAAGTACAGGTCCCCTCAGCTGTGCCTGGGCCATTTGGCACGAACATGTGCATGCCTGGGGGGCACACAGATGTGGGTATTTGTACTCAGCTGTGTGTACTTACAGTCGGCTCTGGGAATCTGCAACTATCTGTTAACACATACAGGTGTGAGTGTACATGTGTATAAATCAATCCATATTTATCTGGGTTTATGTGCTTGAGCACATGCAGGAATGTCTGTGAGCCTGTGCATATACAAATAGGTATACATATGTAGCATACATCTATATGCAGGTATACACATGTGTGTAGAGATATGTCAGTATAGCTGGGTGCAGTGGCTCACGCCTGTAATCCCAACACTTTGGGAGGCTGAGGCGGGTGGATCACCTGAGGTCAGGAGTTCAAGACCAGACTGACCAACATGGAGAAACCCCATCTCTACTAAAAATACAAAATTAGCTGGGTGTGGTAGCGAGTACCTGTAAACCCAGCTACTCAGGAGGCTGAGGCAGGAGAATCACTTGAACCTGAACCCCAGAGGCAGACGTTGCGGTGACCCGAGATCACGCCATTGCACTCCAGCCTGGGCAACAAGAGCAAAACTCTGTCTCAAAAAAAAAAAAAAAAGATGTGTCAGTATAGACAGGCAGAGGTCTTGGCCCCCAGGCCTGAGAAGGGAGTGCAAGAGGCAGGAGAGGTCTTGGTGTGGATGACAGTGACAATCTATGCACCAGGCTTGTTAGTGGAGAGCTGGGTGGGCACTCCAGGCGTTCAACCTACTGCTCTCTAGCAACTGAGAGCTGTAAAATGAGGCTTCCCCGGAGAAGGAAAACTTTTTTTTTTTCAAGACAGAGTCTCGCTCTGTCGCCCAGGCTATAGTGCAGTGGTGCAACCTCGGCTCACGGCAGCTGCAGCCTCCCAGGTACAGATGATTCTCCTGCCTCAGCCTCCTGAGTAGCTGGGATTACAGGTGCGCATCATCATACCTGGCTACTTTTTGTATTTTAGTAGAGATGGGGTTTCACTATGTTGGCCAGGCTGGTCTCGAACTCCTGACCTCAAGTGATCTGCCCGCCTCGGCCTCCCAAATTGCTGGGATTACAGGTGTGAGCCACCACACCCAGCGGAAGGAAAACTCTTGAGGGGGCTTGGAATCAATGCTCTTTCTGCCAAGGAGCTGGCTGAGTCCCCAGGGCCATCTTCTTAAACCAAGCAGGCCGCACTATCCTGCCTGTCCTGACGCAGAAGCTTGTGATTCTCCTCCAGTAAACTACCTCCTCCCTCAACCACAGGAAAGAAGGATTGAGGGTCCTATTGGGAAGGGAGCAGCGACTGAGCCTAGGACTGCAGGGCATTCAACAATCAACACTGCTTCTCCAGCTCTGTGTCCCCATTCATTGTTCCCAGCAGGGTTCTCCTCCTGCCAGCAGGCAGCCTGGCTCCTTGCCAGCTCAGCCCAGAGCAAAGGCTGGGGAACTGCTGGTCCAGGCAGTGCCAGGTCAGGGCTCCTCTATTTCATATCTCCTTTGCTGTGATCAATTCAGACCTGGCTTGGGCAGAGAGAGGAGATGGTTAATAGCTGAGCTGATCTCTGTGTGTGTGCGTGTGTACATGCATGAGGAAGTGTGAAAATCCTCTTCAGAGATCATCAGAGCCCTGACTCCTGCCATGTCTTGACATGCGCCCTGTCTCTCCTCCTTGACAGAAACCAGGAAATGATAGGATATCAAAAAGCTGAGGGGTGGAGAGAACAACCTAGTAGAAAGAAGACTGTTGTCCACAGAGACAGTGAACATTCATAATACTGGAGAAATGGAATACATGCATGCCCTTCGCACACACTGCAGGTGCTGGGCTAAAGTTTGCAAAGACTGCATTGTCCCCAGATCTAGTGCCTGTAGGGGCAGAAAAGTGTGATCCCTTTCCTCACTCATCATAAGGGTCACAATACTCCTATAACAAAAGACAGATTAACAAGAGAAAGGCATAACAAATTTATTTAATCAAAGTTTTTTGTTTGTTTGTTTGTTTGTGTGTTTGTTTTTGAGATGGACTCTTGCTCTGTCACTAGGCTGAAGTGTAGTGGCGCCATCTTGGCTCACTGCAACCTCCGCCTCCTGGGTTCAAGCGATTCTCCTGCCTCAGCCTCCTGAGTATCTGGGATTACAGGCATGAGCCACCATGCCCGGCTGATTTTTGTATTTTTAGTAGAGACAAGGTTTCTCCATGTTGGCCAGGCTGGTCTCGAACTCCTGGTCTCAGATTATGCACCTGCCTCGGCCTCCCAAAGTGCTGGGATTACAGGCATGAGCCACTGCACCCCGCCTATTTAGCCAAAGTTTTACATGACACAGGAGCCTTCAGAAATGAAGACCCAGTGGCAGAGGCTCAGTGGCTTACACATATAATCCCAGCACTTTGGGACGCCCAGGTGGGAGGATGGCTTGAGTCCAGGAGTTCAAGACCAGCCTGAACAATATAACCAAAGCTCGTCTCCACTAAAAATAATTTTTAAAAACTAGCCAGGCATGGTGGCATATGTTTGTAGTCCCAGCTACTTGGGAGGCTGAGGTGGGAGGATTGCTTGGGCCCAGGAGTTCAAGACCAGCCTGAGCAATATAGCCAGAACTTGTCTCCACTAAAAATAATTTTTAAAAACTAGCCAGGCATGGTGGCACATGCCTGTAGTCCCAGCTACTTTGGAGACTGAGGTGAGAGAATCACTTGAGCCAAAGAGGTGGAGGTGGCAGTGAGCTATGATCATGCCACTGCACTCCAGCCTGGGCAACAGAGCAAGACTGTGTGTCTAAGAAAAAAAAAGAAAGAATAGACTCAGGGAAAACTGTTCATTGTTATGCTTAGATTCCATGAAGCATGGTCAGCCCTGTAGAACTGTGATTGGACAAAAAAGTCTATGATCTAATGGTAGTAGACCAAATAGGGAAACTCAGCCAGGCCTCTGTTCAGCTTCCTCTTGGCCTGTCTATGTAGCATCCTTCCTCCCAGGTACAGGGCAGGATCCCTCTGGAATGAGGGTCATATGACCTACTTACTATCAGTCAAGGCAGGCCAGAGAATTTCTTTATGACCAGCTCCTACACAGAAAGGCAGGGGAAGATGAGAGTAATAGTTCTTGGTTTTATATCTTGCTCTGGGGGAGGGGGATTCTAGTTTCTATGACCTGCCTTGGGGAAGGGGAATTCTGGTTTCTAGAACTCACTTCAGCGGGGAGAAAGAGGGGCAGGAGACAAGAGAGAAGGAGAAGGTCGGAGAGACCTTACTTCTGAACCCTTCTAATCTCCTTTAGTTCAAAGTCCTCAGCATGCCAAAGTGCCATAATTCCGAGCATCATTTTCTGGGCCCCAACAACGCCCAGGGACACACGTCCACTTTGGCATCAATCACTGTGCCCCTAATTGCCAATTCACTGCCGTAGGGGGCAGGTGCAGATGGACGTAGATCTCCAGAGTGTGGACATCAATCAGTGTGCAAGTGGCCCAGGCTGGTACTCTAACACACACCTGTGTGATCTCAACAGCACCCAGGTAAGGATGAGGAGGATGGGGGGCGCTACTAGAGTCCTGCCTCCCTCCCCTTTTCCCATCACCGCCACCATGCAGCTCCCAGGAGCAGCAGACAAAGCTACCCCAGCATCTCAGGGCTTCAGGGGAGTTCCTAGTGATTGGCAGAGGTGAGATACCAGGCTTTTAAAAAGTCAGGTCACCTACAGCCTGCCCCCCCACCCCCTATTCCTCCTGCTCCTGCCCTCATTCCTTTGAAAGTTCAGTGTTCTTCCTGTCTGCTCTCCTTTCTGGTACTCAGTGCTCCAGGACCCCTCCCCAGGGTGACTTCCTGAGCCTCAGTTACTTATCTCCTTTCCTTCCCCCGGGAACACATTCTTCATGTAACACAGCTCTGGGCTCCTCTTGGCCCACAAAGGATGTTCCATTGGTCTGTCTACAAAAGGGTGTTCCATATTGCTGAAATAAATGGAATTGCTGGTTGGAGTATGGGAGGAATCTAACCAACCAAGGAGCTCGAAGAGGCCTGGGACCAGTGAATGTGATGGAACCTGGGCCAGATGCAGGTAGATTCAAAGCTACGGGTGCAGGTGACTCACAGTGATGGAGAGCACTGGCTGGAAATCATGCAAACCCAGTACTGGGAAACTGGGAGGCCAGTGAATTCACCCGCTCCATGGTTACAATCACTGCATGCTTGTTCCTGAGCTGAGCCAAAGCCAGGGCGAGCCCTGTGGCCTGCTGGGGCTGGTGGGCATATTGTTCTGTGTGCACAGGTGGTTCTACTGCTCTTCAGGGCACATGTGTCTGCAGCTAGAGGTGGAGGGATGGAAAAGGGCTCCCACCATCCAGTTCACTGTTTAACCCAGACACATTCACTTCTCTGGGTGCATGTTTGTCTAATTGTGCAGACTGTGTAGTCCAGTGGTCCAAGCAAGAGGGGAAGTTGGGCCACAGCTTCACAAGCACCACACACTAACCCTACTAAGTGAGGTCAGGGGCTCGATATAGAATCTTCCAAGGTTAACCCTTTCATTTGCGTCACTGATGTCTGTTCCCAGCCACTCCCCACAATAGATCTGACCTCATTTGTTCATATTCCCTGCCTGGCTCTGAGGTCTGCTCTGTCCCCTGCCGGGCAAACATCAATAGGAGGAGGTGGAATAAAGGCTGGCCTTGGCATCCCACCAGCCTGGCATTAGCCTGGCATTAAGGCTGGGAAAAACAGTCCTGTGCGAAAGCCAGATGGTCCCTGGTGAAGGAAGCTGCTCCTCCGTGGGGGGCCTTTCCAGTCCATTTGTGTGCCAAAGATGGAAGCTGATGGGGACCCTTTGAAGTAGGATGTAGGCACACAAGGTATGGCTGGGCTCAGAACTTTCCCTACTTCCATCTCCCCCAGTACCTTGCCCTAGCAAGAGCTGGCCACTAGGAAATGGGTCCTATGAGGCTCCTGTCACTGCCAGTCTGAACAAAAGGGTGATTTCTCCCTGTACTCTTTGCTTAGGGTCTCTTTGGGAAGAGAGGCAACAGCAGGGGTCAGGTAGGGTTTCCACAGAGGGAAGGCTTCCCAAGGACTAGAGAGGGCTTCTGGAGGGATTCCCTAGTGTGGACCCAAGTCCCATGGATAGGGAGGTAGATGGACCCTCCATCTCTCCCAGGAGGGAAAGCTCTTCCAGAGAAAGCCCCACATAAACACATACTGTGTTTGTTGTCCCCATAGTGTGTTCCCCTGGAGAGTCAGGGCTTTGTTCTTGGCCGCTACCTCTGCCGCTGCCGACCTGGATTCTACGGGGCAAGCCCCTCTGGGGGTATGTAAGTGTGGTGGGGGCCAGGCATGTGTTTTACATGAGAGGATGGTTGGGAGGGTACATCTGGGGAAGAAAGCCAGATTGGGGTGAGACACTGGGAGGGAACTTGTGGGGCAAGGGCAGAAGGTTGAGAGAGGCAGGAGAGGCAAGCAGGTTGCAGTGTGGGGGTGTCTACACCTTCTGAGTATGAGCCTGTAACATGCAAATATGATGCAAGTTGGCCTCTCAAGGAGCCCTAGCCTGGTGTCACCTCTTCCTGGTACTTTGCCCTCCCAAGGAAGCACCCATTCCCACTTGTCCCTGGAGCCCCAGGTCACAGGAGAACAGGGAGAGGGCTGTGGTGACTATCAGGGAAAAGGCTGGGATGTCAGGATGCTCTAGCTGGGCCCCTCTCCCTGCACTCATCTTGTTCTTTATAGGGTTAGAGGAGAGTGACTTCCAGACTACCGGGCAATTCGGGTTCCCAGAAGGCAGATCTGGGAGACTGCTGCAGTGTCTGCCATGTCCTGAGGGCTGCACCAGCTGCATGGATGCCACACCGTGCCTGGTGGAAGAGGCCGCGGTGCTGCGGGCCGCTGTGCTGGCCTGCCAGGCCTGCTGCATGCTGGCCATCTTCCTGAGCATGCTGGTCTCCTACCGCTGCCGCCGGAACAAGGCAAGGAAGGCCCCACACCTCCTACACACATGTCCGACCCATCTCAACTGGAGGCCTGAGACTACCTAAGACCAGAATTTAGGAGAAATTGGTTCTAATCTTGATTCTAAATCTAACTCACTGTGTAGCATGATGCAAGTGATTTCTCCGCCTTGGACCTGCTTCCTCATCTGTAAAATAAGGGCATTGAACTTGATTCAATAAATGCTAGTTGAGTATCTACTCTAAGCAAAACACTGCCTAGGCTCAAATGGAAGTGATCTGGGCCTGCATGGAGTTCCCAGTTTAATGGAGGAAGCAGACATGTAAATAAAATGACAGCACAGTGAGATGGGGGCAAGGATGGAGGTGTCTGTCAGCTGCTGTGGGAGCTTACAGAAAGTCATCCTGCCTGAGATGGCATGGGAAAGACGTTCTGGATGTGACATGAGCCAGGCTTGAAGGTTAACTGGATACTTACTGGGCCAAGAAGGGGTACCCTATTCTAGACAAGGGAGCAGCCTGACCCAACGCTTGAGGAATGCATGAGATCCCTTCCAGCTCCAGCAGCCTCTGATTTGAGCCTAGGTCTGCAGCAAGGCCCTGAGCAAGACTGGGAGGAACACAGGGATGTGTGTGTGGGAATGATGTAAAACCTTGGCCTTAGCCATGTTTAGTGCCAGTGGAGTTGAGCCTGGGGTAACAAGGGACGTGGATGTGGGCAGAGAGGGCAGAGCCAGTGTTACAGGGTGAAGCCTTAGCTCAGGGTCACTGAGTGACCGTTCACATAGGCCTGAGAGCCTCTAGAACCATCGTCCAGACTCTGCTCACATGCCTCTCTCCTTGCTTCACAGAGGATCTGGGCATCTGGAGTGGTCCTGCTGGAAACTGTCCTTTTTGGATTCCTGCTGCTTTACTTTCCTGTGAGTCTGTGGCCACAGGCTGGCCCCACCTTCCAGCATCCCCCATAGCCAAAACCTGGCACCCTCCAAGCCCCAGAACCCTTCTCTGCCCTCTGGAAGGGATTCAGAGACCACAGATTTCCCCTACTCTTACCCACAAATGGCAAGCTGGTCTATGAGCTCTGGAGCCTCAGGCTTATTAGGAGCTCTGTGACTTGCAGTGTGATTTAGGGCAAGTTACCTAACTTCTTTGACACTTCAGCTGCTCCTCTGCAGAATGAAGGTGGTGATGGCTCTATTGCAGGGCTGTTGGGAGGATCCACAGTGTGCTTAGCATAGGCCTGGCCCACAGCAGAAGCATAGTAGAGAGCAGAGATTTTTGCCCCTTCCCACCAGGTCTTCATCCTATACTTCAAGCCCAGTGTATTCCGCTGCATCGCTCTTCGCTGGGTGCGGCTGCTGGGTTTTGCCATCGTCTACGGCACCATCATACTCAAGCTTTACAGGTACGGCCTGGGGCAGACTTTGCTCTCATGCTGCTCATCCCAGACCACCCCAGCTCACTCATGGAATGGTGTTTTTCAAAGCCAGACCCTTGCCAGCACCACTCCCCTGTACCCCCAAGGCCAACCCCCATCACCATAGCCTTGTCTTCCATGTTACTTTGTGGGGGGGTAGCAAAAGGCAGCAAATCACAAAAAGGATGGAAGGACAAGTACCTGTGTGGAGGAGAGGGCAGCAATGGACAGAGACCAGGGCGCTGGCACCCTCTTCGTGATCCACCCAGGTCCCTGCCATCCACCCTGTGTATTCTAACCCTCGCAGAGTGCTGCAGCTGTTTCTGTCTCGAACGGCCCAGCGGAGTGCCCTTCTGAGCAGCGGGCGGCTGCTGCGGCGCCTGGGGCTGCTCCTGCTACCTGTGCTGGGCTTCCTGGCTGTGTGGACCGTGGGCGCCCTGGAGCGAGGCATCCAGCACGCACCTCTGGTGATCCGAGGCCACACTCCCAGTGGCCGCCATTTCTACCTCTGTCACCACGACCGCTGGGACTACATCATGGTTGTGGGTGAGCTGCTTCTGCTGAGCCCAGCCTTACGCTGGTCCCTGCCTCTGTGCCTCCAGGGTTCCTCTTGTTCTGGTTCTCCTGACTTGTCCCCAGACCCCGAGCCCAGGCTCCCCCGAGCACATCTTTCAGAGAAAGGGGTGGGACAGCTGCTGAGGTGGTGCCGGCTCTCTCCCTCCCTGTCTCCCCACAGCTGAGCTGCTGCTGCTGTGCTGGGGCAGCTTCCTCTGCTACGCCACACGGGCTGTGCTCTCGGCCTTCCATGAGCCACGCTACATGGGCATCGCCCTGCACAATGAGCTACTGCTTTCCGCTGCCTTCCACACAGCCAGGTGAGGACGGACTCACCTCCCCACACCCCCTTCCACTCTAACAGTACTCCTCACCTCTCCCAGGTGAGGTGCCCCCATCCCATGCCATCCTGGCAACACTGCTACGCCTCAGCACGTTGAGGAAGGCCCCCACTTCTGGCTCTCTCCCTACCCCCCAGATGCCCCTTCTGTACTCCATGCCTGGCCCAGGTGAGGAGGCCCCCAACACAGAAGAGGAGGAAGAGGACCTTCCTCCTAACTCCTCACCCCTCCCAAAGCACCTCTCCAGCACCCCAACATACCCCTTTCCACACATGCTCAGTCCTCCCTGCCTTCTCCCCTCACTCCTCAGCCATAAGAGCAGCAGGCTGCTGTTTGTCCATAACGACCAGACCCTGTGGTGGAGGCAGAGTTAACCCACAGAGTGGGCCTAAGAGTCTGGAGCACAGGTCTGTGCTATACACAGCCAAAGAAAGTGAGCTGGAGTATTCTGGGAGGGCGTCTTGGAGGTTGGGATTAACAGGATTGAAGTGGGACCTAAATCCTGGAGAGGGCAGGAGAGGGCAGAATGCCCCCTCGTCCTAAGCGTATCAGGGTTGGGGCTGAGGTGAAACGCCAGTGAGAAGGCAAAGCAGAAGAGGCAACTCCTGCCTGCAGTAATGACCTGCGCCCCTATCCCGCCCCAGGTTTGTGCTGGTTCCCTCTCTGCACCCGGACTGGACCCTCCTCCTCTTCTTCTTCCACACCCACAGCACAGTCACCACCACGCTGGCTCTGATCTTCATCCCTAAGGTGAGGCCCTCCCCTCCTGCCTGTGAGGTGGACCCCAGCCCCTCTGTCAGGGCCACTGTGGAGCGGTTGTCCCGCAGCGCCCTCTGCAGGCCAGGGTGAGGACGACAGAAGGTGCTGGGTGAGTGAGCACAGTGCCAGGGGCCCTAAGCTAGGAGCTGACTTGAGTGGGGACACTCTCTGCTTCCAGTTCCTGGGCAAGGGAAAGAAAACCCAGGGCTGGAGGGGCTCCCTCCTGCAGCTGGAAGGTTGGCACACTCTGAAAATCTACTCAGAAGCAGGTATACAGGGAGAGGTGGGAGAGCTGAAGGACCCGGCTAGGAATTGCAGGGTCAGGGGCTTAGAACCACCCTGCTGTCTGAGCTAGAGAAGGTCAGGGAGGATGAGGGGAGTAAAACTCTAAAGATCCCCAGAATTCCAAGTCAGAGAAGGGGGTGAAGCGTCACAAAGTAAGGACGCATTCCACAGGGCAGGTGAGTGCAGGAGTGGACAAGGAGCCAGGGCGAGTCTTTTTCCCACTCTTATGCGCCCCTGCCAGTTCTGGAAGCTGGGGGCTCCTCCCCGGGAGGAGATGGTGGATGAGGTGTGTGAGGACGAGCTGGACCTGCAGCACTCAGGCTCCTACCTTGGCAGCAGCATCGCCTCAGCCTGGAGTGAGCACAGCCTGGACCCTGGAGACATTCGGGTATGTGCCACCCTCCCTGCCTCCTTTCAATGCTAGCTTTTAGGAACTGGGCAGAGGGAGGACTGGGCCCTGCCACCTGGGCTATGTGCCACTGCAAGTCCTCTTCCCTCCAAGACCTGCCCTCTCCCTTCTCCACTGGCCTAAACTGATTCCCCTGACTCTATTCAAAGGAGGCCACACACACCCAAGTGGGAAGACCCCAAAGCCCCAGAACCAGATCCCGGAGGCTCAGGCCATGTGGCAAGCTAGAGGCAGGGCCGAGAGTGGAGCCCTACTCCTTCGCATCCTCCACTCTCACTCAGCAGGGGCATCAGGTCGGGGGCAGTCTAAGAAACCCCTCAGCTGGCTGGGCACAGTGGTTCATGCCTGTAATCCCAGCATTTTGGGAGGCCAAGGCAGGCGGATCACTTGAGGCCAGGAGTTTGACCAGCCTGGCCAAATGGCGAAATCTCGTCTCTACTAGAAATACAAAAATTAGCCAGGCATGGTGGTACATGTCTGTGGTCCCAGCTACTCAGGAGGCTGAGGTGGGAGGAGGATCACTGGAGCCTGGTAAGTTGAGGTTGCAGTGAGCTGAGATCGCACCACTGCACTCCAGCCTGGGTGAAAGAGTAAGATTCTGACACACACACACAAAAAAGCCTCAGCCCCCAGCAAAGCAGGATGGTTGGTGCCTAGGGCACCTAGGGCCAGCCTAGGGCCAGCTGTGGGGCTGGGTAGTTCAGGCAGTGAGTAGCCACCAGGATCCCCTTTCCCTGGACCTGGCAGGTCTTAGAGGAAGTTCTTCCTGGGTCTACACTGGAAAAGCATGCTTATTCTCATTTCTGTGCTCAAGGGGATCATTATAGTCACCAGAACCCTAACAAGAGGCTCAGTGGGTAAGATACAAGGAGAGCTGATAATCTAAGCCCATTGTTTTATACAATCCAGAGTCTAGGAACCATCATGGGAAGCCATTCTGTCCACCCCCTCCACCTCTACTGGGGCCGTCTTCACACCTGACTTGTTTACAGGCCCACAAAGCAGAGTCCTCTGCATCTCCTGAGTCCTTCCTTGTTCCAGTGCCTCTGCCCGTTTCCCCCTTGTGTCCTCACCCTCTGAGCTCTGCCTGCCCTGCCTCCTGAGACCCCAATCCAGCTGAAGGGCCAGGGAGTATGGAGGGGCAGCTCCACCCCTGACCCTCCACTTTCTGGAACACAAGCCAATCTGCGGCCCCTATGCTGGATCTGGGGAGAAACCCAGAACAGAAGACTTCTAAAGCCCCGTTCCATCATTTACACCTGAACACTGCATATTTCAAACCCACTAGTCTCATCAATCTCATATAATGCTCTTAAGGAAGTTAACACTGGTCACCCAGGTAACATTGCTTTACAGAAGATCCAGAGGCTCAGAGGGAGGGGTCATGAAAACAGCCTCCAGGGACACAGCATATTGAGTGTCCCCAAGCTACTAACTTCCCACTAGACCACAATGCCCCAGAGAAGGGGGTACACATGAGTCCTCCGAGCTGACTGGATCTGGCTGGGACTCAGGTTGGCAACTGGTCTCACAGGAACAAAGAGGTGAATTACGAGAGTTTTAGAAGCAGGGAAGAGATACAGCTTGATGGAAAGAGATCCCTAAGGGAAAAAGGTCTAGGCAAGGGTGGAGGAACAGACAGCCAGGGGATGGAGAGAGCTCACCTGCAGCCCTGCTTTCCTCCCTGCTGCCCCACAGGACGAGCTGAAGAAGCTCTATGCCCAGCTAGAGGTCCACAAAACCAAGGAAATGGCCGCAAACAACCCCCACCTGCCCAAGAAGCGAGGCAGCTCATGCCAGGGACTGGGCCGCTCCTTCATGAGGTACCTGGCGGAATTCCCCGAGGCCCTGGCCAGGCAGCACTCCCGGGACTCAGGATCCCCAGGCCACGGCAGCCTGCCCGGCTCCTCCCGCCGCCGGCTCCTCAGCTCCAGCCTCCAGGAACCCGAGGGGACACCAGCTCTGCACAAGTCCCGCAGCACCTATGACCAGCGCAGGGAGCAGGACCCGCCTCTTCTTGACTCACTGCTGAGGAGGAAGCTGGCCAAGAAGGCCTCTCGAACAGAGAGCCGGGAGTCGGTGGAGGGGCCCCCTGCCCTGGGCTTCAGGTCAGCCAGCGCCCACAACCTGACGGTGGGAGAGAGGCTACCCAGAGCCCGGCCCGCCTCTCTGCAGAAGTCGCTCAGTGTGGCCAGCTCCAGGGAAAAGGCCTTGCTCATGGCCAGCCAGGCCTACCTGGAGGAGACCTACCGGCAAGCAAAGGAGCGGGAGGAGCGGAAGAAGGCCAAGGCAGCCATGGCCAGCCTGGTGCGGAGGCCATCAGCCAGGAGGCTGGAGCGGCCTCGAGGGGCCCCCCTGTCAGCTCCACCTTCCCCTGCCAAGAGCAGCAGCGTGGACAGCTCTCACACCTCTGGGAGGCTTCATGAGGAGGCTAGGAGAAGGCTGCCTCATCCACCCATCAGGCACCAGGTTTCTACCCCCATCTTGGCCCTGTCTGGGGGCCTGGGAGAGCCAAGGATGCTATCTCCCACCTCCACCTTGGCTCCAGCTCTGCTGCCAGCTCTAGCTCCAACCCCAGCCCCTGCCCTGGCACCAGTCCCAGTATCCCCACAAAGCCCCAACTTACTCACCTACATCTGCCCCTGGGAGAACGCAGAACTGCCAGCCAAGCAAGAAAATGTGCCCCAGGAAGGCCCCTCAGGGCCAGAGCGAGGCCACCACTCCCCTGCCCCAGCTCGAGCCAGGCTCTGGAGGGCCCTCTCTGTTGCAGTAGAGAAAAGCAGGGCTGGGGAGAATGAGATGGACGCAGAGGATGCACATCACCAGAGGGA
The DNA here is from genome assembly GCF_000001405.40 of Homo sapiens. Taxonomy (NCBI): domain Eukaryota; kingdom Metazoa; phylum Chordata; class Mammalia; order Primates; family Hominidae; genus Homo; species Homo sapiens. The sequence goes on along the minus strand of NT_187614.1, from coordinate 2,365,346 downwards.
AGCTAATGATGTGGACGAAGACAGGCCCAAGATCTTCCCTAAATCCCACAGCCTCAAGGCCCCTGTTCAGCAGGGTTCCATGCGCAGCCTGGGGCTGGCGATTAAAGCTCTGACCCGTTCTCGGAGCACCTACAGAGAGAAGGAGAGTGTGGAGGAGAGTCCCGAGGGGCAGAACAGCGGGACTGCGGGAGAGAGTATGGGGGCACCCTCCCGATCGCCCAGGCTAGGCCGGCCCAAGGCGGTGAGTAAGCAGGCCGCTCTTATCCCCTCCGATGACAAGGAGTCCCTCCAGAACCAACAGAACGCTCACACCAGCAGGATGCTCCAAGTCTGTCAACGGGAGGGCAGCAGGGAACAAGAAGACAGAGGCAGGAGGATGACCCAGGGTCTAGGGGAACGGAAAGCTGAGAGAGCAGGTAAAACAGGGCTTGCCATGCTGAGGCAAGTTTCCAGGGACAAAAACATCAAGCAATCAAAAGAAACCCCTGTCGGGTGGCAGGAACTGCCCAAAGCTGGCCTCCAGTCCCTCGGCAGCGCTGACCACAGGGTGGCAGAGGTATGCCCCTGGGAGGTCACTGAATCAGAAACGCGTCAGCCAGACAGTGGCAACAAGGCCGAAATCTGCCCCTGGGAGACGAGTGAAGGAGCCCCAGAGTCGAGGGCACTAAGACAAGACCCAGGTGACTCCCAAAAAAAGAGAGGGGAGGCCCGGGGAAAATCAGAGCCCATAGATGTGGTTCCCATGATGCGGAAAAAGCCAGAGAGGCTGGTGAGGGAGCAGGAAGCAGTGTGTCCCTGGGAGAGTGCCGATCGAGGAGGTCTGTCCCCTGGGTCAGCTCCTCAGGACCCTGGCAGAATCAGAGACAAATCTGAGGCGGGGGACAGTGTGGAGGCCAGGAAGGTGGAGAAGCCTGGGTGGGAAGCTGCTGGCCCAGAAGCTCATACCCCTGACATCACCAAGGCAGAGCCGTGTCCCTGGGAGGCAAGTGAAGGAGGCGAGGATGGGAAACCAGCCCAAGAGGCAGTGAAGGATCTCCCTCAGGAAAAGCAGAAAACCAGGAAAGCAACCTTTTGGAAAGAACAGAAACCGGGAGGAGACTTGGAGTCTCTTTGTCCATGGGAGAGTACAGATTTCCGGGGCCCCTCAGCAGTCTCAATTCAGGCCCCAGGAAGCTCAGAGTGTTCAGGGAGTTTGGGCAGTGGCATTGCTGAAGTGTGTCTGTGGGAGGCAGGAGATGCTCCTGCTATCCAGAAAGCAGAGATCTGTCCCTGGGAGCTGGATGATAACGTGATGGGGCAGGAAATGCTGAGTCTGGGGACAGGTAGAGAATCTCTTCAAGAAAAGGAAAAAGCCTCCAGAAAAGGAAGCTTTGGAGAGATGGGGGAACAAACTGTGAAAGCAGTGCAGAAATTAAGTCAACAGCAGGAGTCAGTTTGTCCCAGGGAGAGCACGGTCCCTGGGCACTCCAGCCCATGTCTAGACAATTCCTCATCCAAAGCTGGTAGCCAATTCCTATGCAATGGAGGAAGCAGAGCAACGCAGGTGTGTCCACAGGAAGATCTCAGGCCGGAGGCACAGGAAGCAACACCTGCCAAAACAGAAATCTGTCCCTGGGAGGTAAATGAAAGAACAAGAGAGGAATGGACATCAGCACAGGTGCCAAGAGGAGGAGAATCTCAAAAGGACAAGGAGAAAATGCCTGGAAAATCGGAAATCGAAGATGTCACAGCTTGGGAAAAGCCTGAGGGGCAGATCCAAAAGCAAGAAGCGGTCGGCCCCTGGGAGAGTGTGGACCCTGGCAGCTTCTCCCCACAACCACGTCCTCAAGACACAGAGAGACCCCAAACCCTTCTCCAGATGTCAGGCAGTGTGGGAAGCAAAGCTGCCGACATTTGCCCTTTGGATGTGGAGGAAAACTTGACTGCTGGGAAGGCAGAAATCTGTCCCTGGGAGGTGGGTGCTGGAGCAGGGGAGGAAAGGGCTTTGGGAGCTGAGGCCATTAGGAAATCTCCAAATGATACAGGCAAGGTTTCTGCAGATCTTGGACCCAGGGAGAGAGCTGTTACTGCTCCAGAGAAGCCACAGAAGCCAACCCCAGAGTGGGAGGTGGCTTGTCCCTGGGGGAGTGTGGGTCCAGGGGCCTGTTCTCAGCATCCAGGTACTCTAGATGCTGATGGACCAAAAGCTGGGTTCCAGGAACTGGATCATATGGGCTGCAGGCCAGGTGAAGTGTGTCCCTGGGAAGCACAGGAAGCTGCTACCAGTGAAAAAGCCAAGATCTGTCCCTGGGAGGTAAGTGAAGGAACTACTGGGAAGGGATTGGACCAAAAGGCAGGGAGTGAATCAGCAGAGCAGAGGGAGAAAGCTCTAGAAAAGGGGAGACTCACTTCCCTGGGAGAAGACGTATCAAAAGGGATGGCAAAACTGTGTCAACAACAGGAAACTATTTGTATTTGGGAGAACAAGGACTTGAGGGAATCCCCTGCTCAGGCCCCCAAGATCTCAGACTTGCCCAGCAGCATGAGTAGTGAAGTGGCAGAGGGACATTCCTTGGAAGCAACAGAGAAGGGGGACCTGAGACAAGACCCAAAGACAGGTTCCTTCCCAGAACACATAACCCAAGAAAAAGCTCCAGCTGCAGACACAGAAGAATTCACTACTGAAGATGGGGAAAAAACAAGCCATGAGCTACAATCCGTCTGTCCATGGGAGACCACTGCCCCAGCAGATTCCGTCTCTCACCTAGACAGACAGCGCCCTGACCAACCTAAAGCTAGCTCCCAGAGACTGGTCAGCACTGGGGGCAGGGCCGCTGACGTGTGCCCATGGGATGTTCCTGATGCAGGTGTGTATAAATCTGACAGCAGTGCCAAGGCTGAGACCTGTCCCTGGGAAGTGACTGAAAGAATCCCTGTCAAAGGGGTGTCAAGGCAGGATGGAAAAGGGGACTCTCAAGAAGAGAAAGGCAGAGCCCCAGAAAAATCAGAGCCAAAAGGTGTGCCAGTTCAGAAAAAGCCAGAGATGGCAGACTTCAGGCAGCAGGAGGCTGTGTGTCCCTGGGAGAGTCAAGATGGCAAGGGTCTGTCCCCACAGCCAGCCCCAGATGCTTCTGACAGAAGCAGAGGCAGTTCTGAGGCAGCAGGCAGTGTGGAGACCAGGGTAGCGGAAGTGTGTCTGTGGGAAGTGGTAGAGGCTCCCTCTGCCAAGAAAGCAGAGATCTGCCCTTGGGAGGCGGGTGGAGGAGCAGCAGAGGAAGGGGAACAGGAAAGAGAATCACAAGGGCAAGGAGAGATGTTCCTTCAGAAGGCAGGACCTGGAGGGACGGAAGAACACTTCTCAAAAGCAGCAGCAAAGCCCAGAGAGCAGGAGGCAGTCTGCCCTGGGGAAGGCACAGGCTCAGGAGGGCTCTTGCCCCAGTCAGGTGCCCTGGACCCAGAACTCAAAGTCAGCCCCAAGGAAGCAGGCAGCATGGGAAGCAGGATGGCAGAGCTGTGCCAATGGGAAATCACAGATCCAGAAGGAAATAAAATAAAGGGTACCATGGCAGACATCTGTCCTGGGGAGGAAACTGGAGTCCCATCTGAGGAATCTGGCCTCCTGGCTTTAACAGCAACTCGGAGAGAATTTTTCCCCACAGCTCCTGAAAAACCACTATGCCTTTTAGTCCATGGGCCTCTGGATCACTTCTTTCCAGAAAGCAAAATCCCCTGCCCCAAGGTAAGCAGGCCAGCCAGTACTTTCACTCTAGAAGGTGTCAGAGAACTACAAGGACCTTCAGGGCTTGAGCCAAGGACCAGCTTAGCCCCAGAGCCAAGTCTCCAGGAAGCTGAGTCTCAGTCTTCGTCCTTAACTGAAGACTCAGGCCAAGTGGCTTTTGAAGCTCAGTATGAAGAATTCACCCCTCCCACTGTCTATCCTTGGGATTGGGAGTAACAGCCTTATTAGGTGAGGTCAAACACAGAGCTAGCTTTCAGGAGCCAAGGCCCTTTCCAAGTCCAGGTGTTCCCAAAGAGCTGAATCAAAGACAGCTTGGCCACTTCCCCTCCTTGAGAAGACCAGAAGTCAACCCATCCCAAAGACAAACTGCATGAAAAGGGTACAGCTTAGACCCCAATGGGAAGGCCCACCCTCTCTTTACTTCTAACTTTTCTTCCTGTTTGAGGAAACAAAGACTGGACACTCTACTTCTAAGGACGCCTCCCATCCACCTACAGTACTCACAACACAAACCACCCGAGTCTGGACACTCACCCACAAAGCCACTGTTAGGGATGAAAAAAGTCAGTTGTGCCCAGCCTACCTTCTCTCACAGGGGGACCCAATTCTCTGAAGTCTACGATGGAGCATTTTTTGAGAAGAAACTAAACCATACAAAGTGTTGGCAACGTAGGGATGGTGGACCACAGAAGGCTATAAAGGCCACCATAGAAAGCTGAAGAGCCATTTAATTGAAGCGGAAGATAAATTGGGGGAAAAGCTAAAATGACTCAAAATAGGGGCCTGAAAATGCTTTAAGGACCTTGTCATTTTGACTTTGAATCTCCTGTTTCTGCTTTATTGCTTCTCATACCTGCCCTGCTTGACTGCTGAAGCAGAAACAATCAGGCACGCTGACACCCTTATCAGCATCTGGCATCCAAAGCAACATCAGAGAGAGAGAACACAGAAGAAAAGCAATTGCCCCAGGTCCTCCCCACAGTCAAGGGAGCTCTTCCTTCCAGACATCCTTGTGTGCCTCTTGCTAGTTTTTTAGGGGGTCTCCCCCTCTTCCTGCCCTAGCTCTCACCAGTCTCCAGAGCTCGTCTCACTGGCTCATTTCCTTCCCCCTAGCTTTTCAGCGCTGCCATCAACAGGACCTCTCTCTTTTGTCAAGGCAACTGGAGTCAAGGGGAATCTCTGGTTCTGATGCAAGACCCATCCACCCTCCCCCACCCCTCCCCGCCCAAGAATCACTTGCTCAGTAACAAGAGGCCACATCAATCTCCTTCCAGAGGAGCTCAAGAAAGGCAGTCCTGTACACAGCCAGCACTCTACTTCTTCTGCCCTCTAAAAGAGGAGTGCTACAGGGCAAGTTAGAAGCCTGAGAGCTGGGAAAAGGGCACTGTGTGAAGACAAAGCCTTCTTTCTTAGGGAGCTCTCTCTTTCTTGGCTCCCTTCTCTCGTCAGTTCAGGCTACACTTGCTTAAGCAGTACTAGATTACAAATTGCTGGGATTAGATGATAATACCAGAGGGAAAGGAAGAAGGAGAAAAACATACAAAGAAGTCCCAAGATTGGCAAAGGGAGGTGGGAGAGGGGGGAAGGGGCAGCTAGAGAAGGCAGAGCTGCACAGGGGCACTAAAGATGGCAGTAAGTCACGCCCTCTAACAGTACAACAGTACAGACATTGATGTCATTCATGGGGAGAAAAAGACAAACAGGGAGACCAAATACCCAAAGGGAAAAAGAGCCATTAACATCTAGTCTGCATGTAAATATGCTGGGCGGTTATGGGACTTCACAGAGAAAGTAAAAAAGTACTCCATTTCCAAAAGGGAACAGAGGAATGGAGTAACCTACTCTCCTTTGGGGACCAGATGTCCTCATTCTCTTACCTAGGGCCCTTATTCTGGGCTTTTGGAGCAGTAATTGAAGTGTGTTGTTGTTCTGGGCTCTGGCTAGTTAGCCTTACAGCTTCTGAGCTAAAGTGGATTTTGCTGTGCACCCCAAAACAATCCCATTGGGTCTGGTCTAGCTGGAAACAGCAAAGTTGCCGCCAAACACACTCTTGTGAAATAAACCATGGGGTGGGGGGGGCGGGGCGGAAATAAAGAATGCTTTTTCTTGACATTGCAGTTGGCTCTAGCTTATTCATGATTATCTTTTTTTAACATTTTTAAACAGTAACAGAAGATAGATAAGGAAAGAACAATGCCTGCTCCAAAGCTCAAGGTGCACTGCAGTCTTGGGACTTTGGGTTATCTGGCTAATGCTCTGCTAGTGCCCAGGTCAGTGCTGACACTGCAGATGGTCTCTGCCTGGTCCTTCTAGCCAGCCCCTCACATCTGGAGGCCATTTGCTCAGCTGGATTTAATCCCAAGGGGAAATGGAAATTGCACTCATCCTCTGGCTCTCTGGTGGCAGCTACTGCTTAGCTCCTATTTAGGATTATCTAGAGAACCCTGAGATATCCAGGGGAGTGGGATGAAACAGCTTATTTGAAGCACTATTTTTACATATTCAAAGGAATCAATGTATCATTTACCCACTAAGTGTGCTTTTTTTTTTTTTTTCATTTCTTTGCTTCCTTACCCTGCAAGGATTATTTCCCCTTCCTCCATACTCCCTGGCAGTGGGTCCTGCTCAAAAGCACGTCCCTTCTCATTTTGCCTTAATCCAGGGCTCAGGCAAATAGGATGTGACCAAACCTCACTTGGGCAGTAATTAAAGTGATGTACACTTTAAGCCAAAAAGGTTGGGACTAAGCAGCATGATGAGAGTGGTTGATGAGAGACACCAGGGCTGTCTCTTCCCTAAATATACATACCTTTGTTTCCATAGTTAACACTTAACAGGCCAGGCATGGTGACTCACACCTGTAATCCCAGCACTTTGGGAGGATGAGGCAGGCAGATCACCTGAGGACAGGAGTTCGAGACCAGCCTGGCCAACACATAGTGAAACCCCATCTCTACTAAAAAAAAAATTCAAAAATCAGCCAGGCATGGTGGCACATGCCTGTAGTCCCAGCTACATGGGAAGCTGAGGCAGGAGAATAGCTTGAATCCAGGAGGTGGAGCTTGCAGTGAGCCGAGATCGTGCCACTGCACTCCAGCCTGGGCCTGACAGAGCAAGACTCCATCTCTAAAAAACAAAATAAAACAAAAACAAAGTGATTTCTCTTGTCACACTCAGATGGCCTAGGACACATGGGCATGTGAGGTCCCACACCCTTTTAACAGCCCATCTGGAGCTAAGGAACAAGGAGGGGCTGGCCTATTTTCCTCTGCACAGGTTCATACTTTTGTACACTCACCTTCAATACTGGGCTGGAAAGAACAGTCCCCATCTCCAAATGGTGCTAGAAATCAGGGAACCAAGTACTGCAGATGAATTTTCCAAATGTAACAACCTCTCCATGGCCCCTGCCTCCCCCAACACTTCCTGATACAGCTAATAATTAAGAACACAATCAAAGGCTAAGGGATAAATTATTTCTTTGGATTTATATTTTTCCATAAAATGCAAATGCTGATTCATCAGTGAGTCAGTATATGAAAAAGGGCCTCTTAAATGTCTTATAAACACTAATTATTCTTCCCCAGTCTTCATTTCCTTAAAGTCACATCGCTCACAAGTAGGCTCATCTTCCACTTCTGCCATCTGAAGGCTGGTCCATGCCCAGCCTGAACCAGGGGAAATGTGCAGAACTCACCAAAATTTTTCCAACACCCTGACAACATTTCATTTCAAACTCTGATCCCTGCCCTGTGATTACAAAGAGGATGCTGCTGGTTGTCTCTCACAGTCCCTGCTGTGGGAAAAACTGATATCCAATGTTCTCTGAAACATACTGTCTTTCATCTAGACTCAGAAGCTAGACATAAAATTTAAAAAAGAAGAGTGTCCATGGCCATGTTATACCTGCCACCTGCTAGGGCCCAGTCATCAGTCATGGTTGCTGATGATGAGACTGCTGAAAAGACCTGAGCAGGATGGGAGAGAACAAAGGTAGTTCTTTTTATAGCATGAGGGGAATGGGAGACTTCAAAGCTTCCAGCAGCCTCATCACCCAGGCTTCACCCTAGAAGTCATTTTTGTCATCAGGCTAGCTGAGGCTTCTGGGCCTCTCCTTGTGCCTCTTCATATTCTTCTTCTGGTTTCAGCTGAGGGCCAGGGATCATCACCGTCTGCAAGAGTAGGACGCCAGGTTACCCACCAACCAAGCCCATGGCTGACCCAGAAGAGCTTCATCCCTTGCTCCCACCCACCCACCCACCCAGCCTTCCCTTCCTGGGTGGTGCATCACCCCCTCTCGCCACTAGGTGGAGCCCGACAGAGTGGCTTAGGAGACCACGAGTAGTGCCTCAGCTCTCTTAAACCATGCAAGCCACCTTACCTTAAGGATGGGCTGCTTAGGGGGTGCCCATGGGGGAACGATCTTGGTATGCATTCTCCAGCTTCCATAGGGGTTTGTCAACTGCTTTTCGAATACAACATACTCCAGGACATCCTTGGGTACATCTTCCTGTCCATACATCAACCGGCCAAACCGGTCATAGATGGCCAGAGTCTGCAAGGATAAAAGCAAATCTGGCCTCTTAGTTTTTTTGGTGTGTGAGTGTGAGTTGTTTGTTTTATTGCCATACAACCTTTTTTTTTTTTTTGAGACAGAGTCTCACTCTGTTGCCCTGGCTGGAGTGCAGTGGCATGATCTCAGCTCACTGCAACCTCTACCTCCTGGGTTCAAGCAATTCTCCTGCCTCAGCCTCCCAAGTAGCTGGGATTACAGGCACGTGCCACCACTCCTGGATGATTTTTTTGGTCTTTTTTAGTAGAGATGGGGTGTCACCATGTTGACCCAGCTGTCCAACTCCTGACCTCAGGTGATCCACCCGCTTCGGCCTCTCAAAGTGCTGGGATTACAGGCGTGAGCCACTGCACCCAGCCTGCCACACAACCATTTTTGAAACCACCATAAGAAAAATCTTTTTAAATTTTTTTTTTTTGGAGACGGAGTCTTGCTGTTGCCCAGGCTGGAGTGCAGTGGTACGGTATCGTCTCACTGCAACCTCCGCCTTCCAGGTTCAAGCGATTCTCCTGCCTCAGCCTCCTGAGTAGGTGGGACTACGGGCACACACCATGATGCCCGGCCAATTTTTCTATTTGTAGTGTACACAGTGTTTTGCCATGTTGGCCAGGCTGGTCTTGAACTCCTGACCTTGTGATCTGCCTGCCGTGGCCTCCCAAAGTGCTGGGATTACAGGCATGAGTTACTGTGCCCAGCCAGAAAAAATCTTAATGGGTAGAAAAAAAGTTATCTCGGAATTCTGAATCTAGGACTATCTGATCAACTACTGACACTTTATTCTTACAAGTTCTTTGACAGGGGGCAGAGAGACGGGGAAGTCAAGACCAAGAAGGAGTGGGGCACAATGGCTCATGCCTATAGTCCCAGCACTTTGGGAGGCTGAGGTGGGTGGATCACTTGAGCTCAGGAGTCTGAGACCAGCTTGGGCAAAATGACAAGACTGGTCTCTACAAAAAATACTAAAATTAGCCAGGCATGGTTGCGTGCCCCTGTAGTCCCAGCTACTTGGAGGCTGAGGTGGGAGGATTGCTTGAGCCCAGGAGGTTGAGGCTGCAGTGAGCCACAATCACATCACTGCACTCCAGCCTGGGTGAGAGAATGAGACCCTGTCTTGGGGGAAAAAAAAAATCAGGAAGAGTGGGAGAGAATATCCTCACACATCTTAGTAGAGCCAACATGTAACAGTGGGAAGGGGACAGCGGCACAGCAAGGAAGACAGATCACAGTGTACCTTTTATTACTGTCTACAGTCCTGGGCAACCATACCCAGCACTCCAGAGGGAGGTGCCCAAGCTCAGAGTGAAAAAAAGCTGGGAGGAAGGCAGACGAGTGCCTCTACCTGCCGGGTGTGCATGCGTACGGTGATCTGGCCGTACACGTTGCCCTGGTTCATCATACTTGAACAGCGAACTTGAACAACATGAGAGGGCTCTAAAGATTCCACAAAGCTCCAGCGGACGGTCTTATATTTGATGTCCCAAGTCATGTCCTAAGGGCAAAGGAGAACAAGTTCAACTGCATTTTTCCCTCCCTTTAAGGAAGCTGGTGCTGCCACACTGCTCTCACTTCCTGCAAGACTACAGCCAACAGGCAGCACGTTTCCCACCACATGCTCTCTTGTGCCTATTTTCTCTTGCACCTTCTCAAGTTTTGATTAAGCTATTGGTCAAGCTCACCTGACAACTCTCTCTTCATCTATATCACAACTTCAGACCCACCTTCCTCTTTGAGGACCCTTCTTTAAATCAACAAAAACCACATTCCAAACTGCCAGCATGCCCAATACACCAACATCCCTCCCATACACTTTCATAATGTGGCAATTATTGCATGTACTTGTGTTGACTGCATATATATTTTTTTTCCCCACTCACATATTAACAATGAAAAGTGGGAATTTTACAGGGCTATAAGGGCTAAACTGCTAGGACTGGGGAAGACTGATAGAAACTGAAGTTCTACTGATAGAAACCCAAGTTCTTTTTTTATTTATTTTTATTTTTGAGACGGCAATCTTGCTCTGTTGCCCAGGCTAGAGCACAGTGGCGCGGTCTCGGCTCACTGCAAGCTCCGCCTCCCAGGTTCACGCCATTCTCTTGCCTCAGCTTCCCGAGTAGCTGGGACTACTGGCGCCCGCCACCACGCCCGGCTAATTTTTCTGTATTTTCAGTAGAGACGGGGTTTCACCATGTTAGCCAGGATGGTCTTGATCTCCTGACCTCGTGATCCGCCCGCCTCGGCCTCCCAAAGCGCTGGGGTTACAGGCGTGAGCCACCGCACCCGGCCCCAAGTTCTTATTCTTGGATCTCTAACTGAACCACAAAGTTCTTATCCTTGGGGATCCCTCCAAGTGCTTCACACTCCTGTTACCACTCAATATAAGCCTCATGAACTCTTGTTAAATCCCTCATGATAGTGCAGGCGTGTGGAGATGTGGCCTAGTATGGCCCATATCCAAGCCTCAGGACCTATGCTCCTGCAGTGTCATTACTGCTTGTTGAGGGACTTCTTTCATTTGCCAGGGCCCTTACCAGAGTCTGTGTCAAGACATTGTCATTCAGCTACAAGCAATGAACCTTCAGCCTGTGCCTTAAACTTCCTACACTCTCAAAACTGATCCTTCTTAAGAAAAACCAGGCAGGGCGCAGTGGGGTTCATGCCTGTAATCCCAGCACTTTGGGAGGCCGAGGCGGGCGGATCACCTGAGGTCGGGAGTTGGAGACCAGCCTGACCAACGGGAGAAACCCCGTCTCTACTAAAAATACAAAATTAGGCCAGGTGCGGTAGCTCACACCTGTAATCCCAGCACTTTGGGAAGCCGAGGTGGCCGGATCACGAGGTCAGAAGATCGAGACCATCCTGGCTAACACAGTGAAACCCCGTCTCTACTAAAAATACAAAAAATTAGCCGGGTGTGCTGGCGGGTGCCTGTAGTCCCAGCTACTCAAGAGGCTGAGGCAGGAGAATGGCGTGAACCCGGGAGGCGGAGCTTGCAGTGAGCCGAGATAGCGCCACTGCACTCCATCCTGGGCGACAGAGCGAGACTCCATCTCAAAATAAATAAATAAATAAATAAATAAATAAATAAATAAATAAATAAATAAAAAATTAGCTGGGCATGGTGGCGCATGCCTGTAATCCCAGCTACTTGGGAGGATGAGGCAGGAGAATCGCTTGAACCTGGGAGGTGGAGGTTGCGGTGAGCCAAGATCGCACCATTGCACTCCAGCCTGGGCAACAAGAGTGAAACTCTGTCTCAAAAAAAAAAAGAAAAGAAAAGAAAAGAAAAACCAGAGACGCCATCTAGAATCTGCCCACTCAGTCACCCCACAGTTCTAAGGAGGATGAGAACTTACTGGAAAACAGTGTTCAGTTACCAAGGTATGAAGTCGGTCATGGTCTGAGCTAGAAAAGAAAGCAATAAATATCATTGACTATTGCTCTTATAATACCCTGTATGAAGACTGAAAATGGTCCTGAAAATGGAAAACAATTCATTTTTACAAATGTTTTCGGCACATCTAGTATAAGCCAGGTATAAAATATGCTAAATTCTAGGGGCACAAACACGAACAATAATGTGATTTACCAGAAAACCCTAAGATCTAGTAGCAGAATAAAATTATATTACAAATAAAAAATAAATTTAAAAAAAATTATGTTTAAATCTAAGGAGTAGGAGGCAATTTCTCTAAAATTACCATATATCCTTAAGATGGGTACCCTCACTGGGACATAGGACCTAATTTTTGCTCTAAGCTGGTATGAGCAACAAAGTTCAACACAAGTAACAATCAAAAGCTTGTTTTATCTCCTCTTGCCTCTGAGCCAGCATCAGTACCATCTGGCTTGGCCTTATATCTTTTTTTTTTTTTTTTTTTTTTGAGACAGAGTCTCGCTCTGTCGCCAGGCTGGAGTGCAGTGGCGCGATCTCGGCTCACTGCAACCTCCACCTCCCAGGTTCAAGCGGTTCTCCTGCCTCAGCCTCCTGAGTAGCTGGGACTACAAGTGCACGTCATGACGCCCACCTAATTTTTGTATTTTTAGTAGAGATGGGGTTTCACCATGTTTTTAGCCTTATATCTTACACGCTCATCTTTGAACCTAGTCAAAGATAATCATGTCTTTCCTGGTCTATTTTCTCTCCTTTATCTTGTTGCTGCCAGAGTGGCCGAGTCATGCTGACTCTATATAGTAATGGTTAAAAAAACACAAAACAGCCGGGCATGGTGGCTCATGCCTGTAATCCCAGCATTTTGGGAGGCCGAGGCGGGTGGATCATGAGGTCAGGAGATCGAGACCGTCATGGCTAACAAGGTGAAACCCCATCTCTACTAAAAATACAAAAAAAATTAGCCGACAGTAGTAGCAGGCGCCTGTAGTCCCAGCTACTCAGGAGGCTAAGGCAGGAGAATGGCATGAACCCGGGAGGCGGAGGTTGCGGTGAGCTGAGATCACGCCACTGCACTCTAGCCTGAGTGACAGAGCGAGATTCCGTCTCAAAAAAAAACAAAACAAAACAAAAAAAACACAAAACAGACAACAAACCCTAGCTCCTATAGATACAAGATTTTAGGAGGGTTCCTAGCTGATGAGTCTCAAACCTAAGGCCATAGATTAGCTTCTTTCAGATACACACGACTTTTCCCCAGTTTACTATGAGCAGTTTAACTCTTTGTCCCCTTTGAAAAATCTTGCTCTCTAAGCCCAGAATGGGTAAGGGATTAGTTCTAACATGTCTATCTGCTTCCCTTTCATCTCTATTCCTAATAGGAAAGATTCCAAGTCATTTCCTCTACTGTAGGAACAGACTGAGCTGTGGTGACAACTACCATGATGACCATCACTGGCACCTCTGAGTGAACTCTTCCTCCCCACTATCCTGGCATAGAAGTCTTCAGTGGAAATAAACTCCATTTTCCATGAGTTCACTTACTATTTTGCAATAATGTAATACTACTTCTACTATAAACATTTAGAAATGGTGGATTTATGGGCCGGGTGCGGTGGCTCATGCCTGTAATCCCAGCACTTTGGGAGGCCAAGGTGGGCAGATCACGAGGTCAGGAGATCAAGACCATCCTGGCCAACATGGTGAAACCCTGTCCCTACTAAAAATACAAAAATTAGCCAGGTACAGTGGCACACACCTGGAGTCTCAGCTATTCAGGAGGCTGAGGCAGGAGAATCGCTTGAACCTGGGAGGTGGAGGTTGCAGTGAGCCAAGATCGCGCCACTGCACTCCAGCCTGGCAACAGAGCAAGACTCCGTCTCAAAAAAAAAGGAAATGTTGGATAAAATGTAAAACAGACAAATACACTTTTGCTTTTTTTTTTTTTTTTTTTTTTTTTTGGATTGCACCACTGCCCTCCAGCCTGGGCTACAGAGTGAGACTCTGGGACTACAGGTGCACGCCACCACACCCAGCTTTTTTTGTATTTTTAGTAGAGTTGGGGTTTCACCATGTTGGCCAGGCTGGTCTCGAACTCCTGGACTCAAGTGATCTGCCCGCCTCGGCCTCCCAAAGTACTGGATTATAGGCATGAGCCACCACACCTGACCAAAAAATAATTTGACAGAAACCACCCCTAAGGAAACCCAGACATTGTAATTATTAGTAAAGACACAAATCAATTGTCCTAAATATGTCCAATGAGCTAAAGGAAACCATGGACAAAGAAGTAATGAAATCAGAAAAACAATGTGTGAACACATTGGAGACAGAAATTATACAAGGGAACCAAACAGAAATTCTGGAGCTAAAAAGTACAATAAATTTTAAAATTCACTAGAGGGGTTCAACAGCAGGTTTGAGCAGGCAAAGTATCAGTGAACTTGAGGATAAGGTAATTAAAATTACATAGTCTAAAATGCAAAGAGAAAAAATAATGGAAAAAAAATGAACAAAACCTTGAGGGACCTGTGGGACATCATCAAGTATACCAAATACACATCATAGGAGTCCCAGAAAAAGAAGAAAGAAATGGATAGAAAAAAAATTTGAAGAAATAATGCGGCCAGGCACAATGGCTCATACCTGTAATCCCAGCACTTTGGGAGGCCAAGGTGGGTGGATCACCTGAGGTCAGGAGTTCGAGACCAGCCTGGTCAACAGGGTGAAACCCTATCTTTACTAAAAAATACAAAAATTAGCCAGGTGTGGGTGGCAAGTGCCTGTAATCCCAGCTACTTGGGAGACTGAGGCAGGAGAATCACTTGAACCTGGGAGGCAGAGGCTGCAATGAGCCGAGATCGGGCCACTGCACTCCAGCCTGGGAAACAAGAGTAAAGCTCCATCTCAAAAAATAAAATAAAATAAAAATAACATGCAAAAAAAAAAAAAGAAAGAAAAAGAAATAATGGCTGCAGACATCCCAAATCTGATGAAAGACATTCATATGTACATCCAGGAAGCTCAAAAACCTCCTAGCAAGATAAACTGAAAGAAATTCATACCAAGAAACATTAAAACCAAAGTGTCAAAACCCAAACACAAAGAATGAATCTTGAAAGTGGCAATAGGCTGGGCACAGCAGCTCATGCCTATAATCCCAACACATTGGGAGGCAGAGGCAAGAGGATCACTTGAGGCCAGGAGTTCGAGACCAGCCTGGGCAACAAAGCGAGACCCCTGTCTCTACAAAAAAATTAGAAAAAAAAAAAAAAAATTAGCCAGGTGCTGTGGCACACACCTGTAGTCCCAGCTACTCAGGGGCTGAGGTGGGAAGATCGCTTGAGCCCAGCAGGTTGAGGCTGCAGTGCAGCTATCATTGCACCACTGTGCTCACTCCAGCCTGGCTGAAAAAGTGAGACCCTGACTTTAAAATAAAAAAGAAACAAACAAAGGCTAAAGGGGATCCTTCAGGCTAAAATGAAAGGACACCAGAAAGTAACTCAAAACCACAAGAAAAAAACAAAAAACATGTATGTTTTACTACTATGTAGGAAAAGTAACTACATAGATAAATATAAAAGCCTGTATTACTGTACTTTTGGTTTATAATTCCTCATTTTTCATCCTGTATGATTTAAAAGGCAAATGCATAAAACAATAATTATGAATTGATGTAATGGGCACCCAAGGTATAAAACTGTAATCTGTGATAATGAAGCAGGAGAGACATAATGAAGTGGGAGGGAGAGACATATAGGAGCAGAGCGTTTGTATATTATTGAAACTAAGTTGATATTATTCAAACTAGGTTGAACTAGCCACCACGCCTGGCTGTGTTTCTCTATTTCTGCAAAAACCACTGTTGAGGACAGGCGGTGGCCCATGCCTGTAATCCCAACGCTTTGGGAGGTCAAGGCGGGTGGATCATCTGAGGTCAGGAGTTTGAGACCGGCCTGGCCACTTAATGGGAAAGCACAGTCTCTTCAATAAATGGTGCTAGAAAAATGAATATTCTCATGCAAAAAAAAGCAAAAACATCACATAGTTTTCACTATATACAAAAACTAACTCAAAATGGAGCAAAGACCTAAATGTGAGAGCTAAAACTATAAAAATCTTAGAGAAAAAGGAAGGGGAAATACTTCATGACACTGGATTTGGCAATGATTTCTTGAATATGACACCAAAAGAAAAAACTCGATATGGTAACAAAAGAAAAAAACTTGAAAAACTGGATTTCATCAAAATTTAAAACTTTTTTGCATCAAAGGATACTATCAAGAGTGAAAAGACGGCAGGCGCAGTGGCTCACGCCTGTAATCCCAGCACTTTGGGAGGCCGAGGCAGGTGGATCACCCGAGGTCGGGAATTCAAGACCAGCCTGTCCAACATGGTGAAACCCTGTCTCTACTAAAAATACAAAATTAGCCAGGCATGGTGGCGCATGCCTGTAATCTGAGCTACTCAGGAGGCTGAGGCAGGAGAATTGCTTGAACCCAGGAGGCAGAGGTTGCGGTGAGCCGAGATCACGCCATTGCACTCCAGCCTGGGCTTCAAGAGCAAAACTCCATCTCAAAAACTAATAATAATAAAAGAGTGAAAAGACAAACCATAAAATGGGGGGAAATATTAGCACAGCATATATCTGATAAAGGATTAATATCCAAAATATATAAAGAACTCCTATAACTCAACAACAAAATAACCGCCTAATTTAAAAATAGACCTTTCTGGGCTGGGTGCAGTGGCTCACGCCTGTAATCCCACCACTTTGGAAGGCTGAGGTGGGTGGATCATCTGAGGTCAGGAGTTCGAGACCAGCCTGGCCAACATGGTGAAACCCCGTCTCTACTAAAACTACAAAAATTAGCTGGGCATGGTGGTGCATGCCTGTAATCCCAGCTACTCGGGAGGCTGAGGCAGGAGAATCGCTTGAACCCAGGAGGCAGAGGTTGCTATGAGCCGAGATCGTGCCACTGCAGTCCTGTCTGGGCGACAGAGCAAGACTTCAACTCAAAAAAAAAAAAAAGACCTTTCTTCAAAGAAGACGTACAAAAGGCCAATAGCACATGAAAAGATGCTCAATGTCACTAGCTATTAGGGAAATACAAAGCAAAACCATAATGAGATACTACACTTCACACCCATGAGGATGCCTATTATAAAAAGAAAAAGGCTGGGCATCGTGGCTCACACCTGTAGTCCTAGCATTTTGGGAGGCCGAGGCAAGAGGATTGCTTAAGCCCAGGAGTTTGAGACCAGCTTGGGCAATACAGTGAGACCCCATCTCTCATATATATATATATATATATATTTTTTTTTTTTTTTTTTTTAATAGAAAGGAAAGTGGCTAGGCGCAATAGCTCACGCCTGTAATCCCAGCACTTTGGGAGGCCAAGGCGGGTGGATCACGAGGTCAGGAGATTGAGACCATCCTGGCTAACACATGAAACCCCATCTCTACTAAAAATACAAAAAATTAGCCGGGCGTGGTGGCAGGCGCCTGTAGTTCCAGCTACCCGGGAGGCTGAGGCAGGAGAATGGCTTGAACCCGGCAGGCGGAGCTTGCAGTGAGCCAAGATTGTGCCACTGCACTCCAGCCTGAGCAACAGAGCGAGACTCCATCTCAAAAAAAAAAAAAAAAAAAACCAATAAAAAGGAAAGTAATAGGTATCAGTGAGGATGTAGAGAAACTGGAATCCTTGTGCATTGGTCATAGGAATGTAAAACAGTGTAGCTGCTAAGGAAAACCATATGGTGGTTCCTCAAAAAGTTAGGGTTTTTTTTTTTGAGACAGTCTCACTCTGTCATTGAGGCTGGAGTGTAGTGACACAATCATAGCTCACCACAGCCTCAAAAATCCCTGAGCTCAAGCAATCCTTCTGCCTTAGCACCTCAAATAGCTGGGACTACAGGCATGCACCACCATGCCCGGATGATTTTTTAAATTTTTTATAGAGATGGGGTCTTACTCTGCTGCCCAGAAACAATCCTCCCACTTCGGCCTCCAAAAGTGCTGGATTACGGGTATGAGCCACCACCCAGACCTTCAAAAAGTTAAACATAGAGTTATCATGTGATCCAACAACTTCAGTTCTGAGTATATACCCAAATGAATTGAAAGCACGAGCTCAAACAGATACTTGTACACCAACAATCACAGGAGCATTATGCCACAATAAAAGGTGGAAACAACCTGAATGTCCATCACTAGATGAATGGATAAACAAAATGTGGTGTATATACATACAATGAAATATTATTCAGCCTTAATAAGGAGACATACGTGGCTGGGCACGGTGGCTCACACCTGTAATCCCCGCACTTACGGAGGCCGAGGCAGGCGGATCACCTGAGGTCAGGAGTTCGAGACCAGCCTGGCCAACATGGTGAACCCCGTCTCTACTAAAAATACAAAAATTAGCCAGGTGTGATGGCAGGCGTCTGTAATCCCAGCTACTTGGGAGGCTGAGGCTGGAGAATCGCTTGAACCCAGGAGGCAAAGGTTGCAGTGACTGGAGATCGAGCCATTACACTCCAGCCTGGGTGACAAGAGCAAAACTCCATCTCAAAAAAAAAAAAAAGATAAAAAAATAAAAATAAAATTAAGGAGACACATGCTACAATATATATGAGCATTGAAGACATCATGCTAAGTGAACTAAGCCAATCACAAAAGGTCAAAAACTGTAAGATTCCACTTATGTGAGGTACCTAGATGCCTTCATCTGTTCAGGATGCTGTAACAAAAATATCATAAACCAGGTGGCTTATAAACAACATTTATTTCTCACAGTTCTAGAGGCTGGGAAGTCCAAGATCAAGACACTGGCAAATTTGGTGTCTGGTGAGAGCCCGTTCCTCATAGATGTTGACTTCTTGCTGTGTCGTCAGTGGGTGGAAGGGGTGCACAAGCTCCCTCAGGTCTCTTTTTTTTTTTTTTTTTTTGAGACGGAGTCTCGCTCTGTCGCCAGGCTGGAGTGCAGTGGTGCGATCTTGGCTCACTGCAACCTCCACCTCCTGGGTTCAAGCAATTCTCTTGCCTCAGCCTCCCAAGTAACCGGGACTACAGGTACACGCCACCACACCCAGCTAATTTTTGTATTTTTAGTAGAGATGGGGTTTCACCATGTTGGCCAGGATGGTCTCGATCTCTTGACCTCGTGATCTGCCTGCCTCAGCCTCCCAAAGTGCTGGGATTATAGGCGTGAACCACCACACCTGGATCCCCGGGTCTCCTTTATAAGGGCACTCTTCCCATTCATGAGGGCTCCACTCTCAGGACCTCATCACCTCCCAGAGGGCCCCCCACAGCCTATACCATCACCTTGGGGGTTAGGATTTTGACAAATGAATTTTCAGGAGACACTAACATTCAGACCATAGCATCAGGATGGGTAAATTCATAGAGAAATAAAGTAGAATGGAGGTTACCAGGTGATAAGGGAAGAGGGCAATGGGGAATTACTGCTTAATGGGTATAAAATTCCTGTCTGAGATGAACAAAATCTGGAAATGGATAGTGGTAAGAATTGTACAACATTGTGAATGTACTTAATGCCACTGAATTATATACTTCAAAATGATTAAAATGGTAAATTGTATATTATGTGTATTTTACCATAAATATATAAAAGCTATTATTAATCTTATAATTTTTAAAATAAATGATTGTCTTAGATTTTTCTAAAATATCTATTTGTTTAAAAAAAAATGCAGGAATACAAAATGGCAAGAAAACTGTACCAACACTTTGGGAGGCTGAGAGGACTGCTTGAGGCCAGAGTTCGAGACCAGCCTGGGCAACATAGCAAGACCCTGTCTCTACAAAAAATTTAAAAATTAGCCAGGTATGGTGGCATGTACTAAGTCCCAGCTACTTTGGAGGCTGAAGTGGGAGGATCACTTGAGCTTGGGAGGTCAAGGCAGCAGTGAGCCATGATCGAGCCACTGTACTCTAGCCTGAGTGACAGCGCAAGAGCCTGTCTCAAAAACCAAAAACAAGGCCAGGTGCAGTGGCTCATGCCTGTAATCCCAGCACTTTGGGAGGCTGAGGCAGGTGAATCACCTGAAGTCAGGAGTTCGAGACCAGCCTGACCAATATGGTGAAATGCCATTTCTACTA
Source organism: Homo sapiens (assembly GCF_000001405.40). Lineage (NCBI taxonomy): Eukaryota > Metazoa > Chordata > Mammalia > Primates > Hominidae > Homo > Homo sapiens. The sequence continues at coordinate 2,345,536 of NT_187614.1, read as the reverse complement.
AAAATACAAAAATTAGCTGGGCATCATGGTGTGCACCTGTAGTCTCAGCTACTCCAGGGACTGAGAAGGGAGAATTCCTTGAATCCGGGAGGCAGAGGATGCAGTGAGCGGAGATCACACCACTGCACTCCAGCCAGGGTGACAGAGCAAGACTCCATCTCAAAAAAAAAAAACAAAAACAAAAACAAAAATGACAAGAACTAACCAAAACCCAAAAGAAACAAATAAGACAAGAGAAAATGGACCTATTGAAGACATAGATTTTGAAGTTATCAGACACAGGTTTTAAAATAACTGTGATTAGCATGTTCAAGAAATTAGATGACAGAATGGAGAATTTTACCAGAGATCTGGACACACTAAAAAAAAAAAAAAAAAGAAAATTCTAAAAGCGAAAAACAGAAAATAAATAAAATAAATATAAAATTAAGAACTCGATAGGTAGGTTAACAGCAGATTAGCTACAACTGAAAAGAGGACAGGAAGATAGATCAGAGAATATCCAGACTAAAGCTGGAGGGGGAAAAAAAAAGGTTGGAAAAATATAGAAAAGAGCTGAAGACACATTTGGCACACAGTGAAAGATCTAACATATGTGTATTCAGAACTACACAAGGAGACGAGAAAGTGGAGCAGAAGCAACATCTGAAGAGATGAGTTCTGACTGAGAATTTTCCAACACTGACAAAAAAAGCACCTAAAGATTTAAGAAGCAATATGAACCCAGAGCAGGATAAAAGACACACACATGGCCCAGTGTGGTGGCACATGCCTATAATCCCAGCATTTTGGGAGTCTGAGGTGGAAGGATTGCTTGAAGCCAGGGATTCAAGACCAGCCTGGGCAACAAGGCCAGACCCTGTCTCTACAAAAAAAACTAAAAAAAAAAATAAAAATTTAAGAAGACAGATACCCATAGATAAATCATAGTAAATTGCTGAATACTAAAAAGAAAGAAAAAAATCTTTTTCTTTTTTTTTTTTCTGAGACGGAGTTTTGCTCTGTTGTCGTGGCTTGAGTGCAGCTGCACGATCTCGGCTCAAAGCAACCTCTGACTCCTGGGTTCAAGCGATTCTCCTGCCTCAGCCCCTCCCAAGTAGCAGAGATTACACACATGCACCACCACACCTGGCTAATTTTTTTTTTGTATTTTTAGTAGAGACAGGGTTTCACCACATTGGCCAGGCTGGTTTCGAACTCCTGACCTTGTGATCCACCAGTCTTGGCCTCCCAAAGCGCTGGGATTACAAGCGAGAGCCACCACACCCAGCCTGAGAGAAAATCTTCAAAGCACACAAAGTCAGCTGGGCACAGTGGCTCACACCTGTAATCCCAGCACTTTGGGAGGCCAAGGTGGGCAGATCACAAGGTCAGGAGTTCGAGACCAGCCTGGCCAATATGGTGAAACCCTGTCTCTACTAAAAATACAAAAATTAGCTGGGCGTGGTGGCAGGCACCTGTAGTTCCAGCTACTCAAGAGGCTGAGGCAGCAGAATCGTTTCAAACTGGGAGGCGGAGGTTGCAGTAAGTCGAGATTGCGCTACTGCACTCCAGCCTGGTGACAGAGCGAGACTCTGTCTCAAAAAAAAAACATAAATAAAAGCACACAAAGTAAAAATAAACTTTAACAAAATGAAAAAAAAAAAAGTTAATTTCTCAACAGAAACAACAGTAACGCTGAGGAGGGCAGATCACCTGAGGTCAGGAGTTTGAGACCAGCCTAGCCAACATGGCAAAACCCCATCTCTACTAAAAATACAAAAATTAGGCCGGGCGCGTTGGCTCACGCCTGTAATCCCAGCACTTTGGGAGGCCGAGGTGGGCGGATCACTTGAGGTCAGGAGTTCAAGACCAGCCTGGCCAACATGGTGAAATCCGTCTCTATTAAAAATACAGAAAATAGTCAGGTGCGGTGGTGCGTGCCTGTAATCCCAGTTACTTGGGAGGTTAAGGCAGGAGAATTGCTTGAATCTGGGAGGCAGAGGTTGCAGTGAGCCAAGATCACGTCACTGCACTCCAGCCTGGGCAACAGAGCAAGAGTCTATCTCAAAACAAACAAACAAACAAAAAAAAAACAATGTTTTGAGAAATAAAACAAGGCTGAGCATAGTGGCTCACATCTGTAATCCCAGCACTTTGGGAGGCTGAGGTAGGCAGATCACCTGAGGTCAGGAGTTTTAGACCACCTGGCCAACATGGTAAAAACCCATCTGTACTAAACATACAAAAATTAGCTGGGTGTGGTGGCATGCAGTTACTTGGGAGGCTAAGGCAGGAGAATTGCTTGAACCCAGGAGGCACAGGCTGCACCACTGCACTCCAGCCTGGATGACAGAGCTAGACTCCGTCTCAAAAAGGGGGAAAAAAAAAAATGACTGGCTTGCATAGCCTGGGCAACATGGTGAAATCCCATCCCTACAAAAAATATGAAAACTAGCAGGGTGTGGTGGTATACCCCTAGAGGTTCCAGCTACTCAGGGGGCTGAGATGGGAGGATCGCTTGAGCCCCGGAGCTGAGGCTGCAATGAGCTGTGATTGCACCACTGCCCTCCAGCCTGGGCAACAGAACAAGACCGTCTCAAAACAAAAAACAAAAACAAGAACAGCCTGGGCAACATCGCGACATCCCATCTCTATTCAAAATAAATAAATTTTTTTAAAGAAATAAAAGTAAAATTAAATAATTAATGGATTTTAGACTACAGGTTTTGGGTCCCACCTGAAGCCTAGCCACAGCAGCCACAGATCAAAGAATGCCAGCAACAGTCCACGGCTAGTACTTAAGATATTCCAGCCTCCTAATGTTGATTCTTCATCTTCCTAGGAGCCCTAACTTGGATGAATCAAGAAAAAGCTGGGTGGCCAGGTATGGTGGCTCATGCCTATAATTTCTTCACTTTGGGAGGCCAAGGCAGGAGGATTGCTTGAGCCCAGGAATTTGAGACCAGTCTAGGCAACACAGCAAAACCTTGTCTCTACAAAAAAAAGTTTATTTTAATTAGCTGGGTGTGGTGGCAGATGCTGGTGGTCCCAGCTCTACTTGACGGACTAAGTAGATTCCTTGAGAGAACCACTTGGGTCCAGGAGGTCAAGGCTGCAGTGAGCCACGATCATGCCACTGCATTCCAGACTGTGCAACAGTGAGACTCCATCTCAAAAAAAAAAAGGGGGCCGGGCGTGGTGGCTCATGCCTGTAATCCTAGCACTTTGGGAGGCCGAGGCGGGCAGGTTGCCTGAGGTCAGGAGTTCAGGACCAGTCTGGCCAACATGATGAAACCCCGTCTCTACTAAAAATACAAAAAAATTAGCTGGATGTGGTGGCGTGCACCTGTAATCCCAGCTACTTGGGAGGCTGAGGCAGGGGAGTTGCTTGAACCAGGGACGTGGAGGTTGCAGAGAGCCAAGATTGCGCCATTGCACTCCCAGCCTGGGCGACAGAGCGAGACTCCATCTCAAAATAAAAAATAAAAAAATAAAAGTGGAGGGAGAGCTGGAAATTTTCACAAGAAATATATTCAAAATAACCAAGGAAAGGGAAATGAAGATACGTAAGACAAACACACAAAAAAGATCAGAATGAATTCAGGGATCAGATAGGGTGAAAAAGGCAGCTATTCTGGCACAAGGTCCCAACACTTGCAGGTGGAACTGAGACAGACCAAATGGTAGAAATTCCCAGAAGCAGAGAGGGGAGTGAAAGACAGCGTCAGTCACTAATTACTTCCAATATAGGAAGTTCTCTCACTCTAGATCTCTTACCTGAAGGCAGAAAACAAATTTGTGCAAAACAAAAACAAACAAACAAAAAAACTGTGCCTAAAATAATAGCTAACTGCTGAGAACAGAATGGGTAAAGATAGGGAGTTCACTTACTTATTTAGACAAAGGTGAGCTTCAATAAAGATATCCTTAGCTTTTTCAGGGAAGTCCTTTATTTTAAAGTTGGCATCATAGTCTTTTATCCTCCGGATTCTGTAAAATTAAGCCTGAGTATTACTTCTAAAGGTCTTACAATTCCATAATTCACAGCCTACACTGACCTCCATTCATGTCCATCCACTTACTCAATAACTGTTTAGCTTTTTTTTTTTTTTTCTTTTTTTGAGTCTCGCTCTGTCACCCAGGCTGGAGTGCAGTGGCATGATCTCGGCTCACTGCAAGCTCTGCCTCCCAGGTTCACGCCATTCTCCTGCCTCAGCCTCCTGAGTAGCTGGCACTACAGGCGCCCGCGACCACACGCGGCTAAATTTTTGTATTTTTAGTAGAGACGGGGTTTCACCGTGTTAGCCAGGATGGTCTCGATCTCCTGACCTCAGGATCCGCCCGCCTCGGCCTCCCAAAGTCCTGGGATTACAGGCGTGAGCTACCACGCCCGGCCAATAATTGATTTTTTAATGTGTCAAGTCCTGGAAATTCAACCTTCTCCCTCTTAAATTAAGCACTCTAAAGAAAGACTAAGACTTCTCATAGTGAAATTTCAGAATTCTAGAATCAAAGATAACATCTGATATGCACTAAAAACAGAAAAAACGGGTTTCTTACAAATGCTCAAGAGTCAAAATAGGCCAGGCGCGGTGGCTCACGTCTGTAATCCCAGCACTTTGGGAGGCCGAGGCAGGTAGATCACTTGAGGTCAGGAGTTTGAGACCAGCCTAGCCAACAGGGTGAAACCCCATCTATACTAAAAATCCAAAAATAAGCTGGGCATGGTGGTGCACACCAGTAATCCCAGCTACTCCGGAGGCTGAGGCACAAGAATCGCTTGAACCCAGGAGGCAGAGGTTGCAGTGAGCAGAGATCGCACCACCGCATTCCAGCCTGGGTCACAGAGCGAGACTCCATCTCAAAAAAAAAAAAAGCTGGGCATGGTGGTGCTGTCTGTAATCCCAGCTACTTGGGAGGCTGAGGCAGGAGAATACTTGAACTTAGGAGGCAGAGGTAGTGATCGCGCCACTGCACTCCAGCCTGGGAAACAGAGCGAGACTCCATCTCAAAAAAAAGAGTCAGAATAACACTGGGCTTCTTTTTTTTTTTTTTTGAGACAGAGTCTCGCACTCCGTCGCACAGGCTGGAGTACAGTGGCGCAATCTCGGCTCACTGCAACCTCTGCCTCCTGGGTTCAAGCAATTCTCCTGCCTCAGCCTCCCAAGTAGCTGGGACTACAGGCACACATCACCCCGCCCGCCTAATTTTTGTATTTTTAGTAGAGATGGGGTTTCACCATGCTGACCAGGCTGGTCTCGAACTCCTGACCTTGTGATCTGCCTGCCTCGGCCTCCCAAAGTGCTGGGATTACAGGCCTGAGCCATGGCACCTGGCAACACTGGGCTTCCTAACAGCAACATTAGAAGTTACAAAGACAGGCCGGGTGCAGTGGCTCACGCCTGTAATCCCAGCACTTTGGGAGGCCAAAGCAGGCAGATCATGAGGTCAGGAGCTCGAGATCATCCTGGCCAACATGGTGAAACCCCGTCTCCACTAAAATACAAAAAATTAGCCAAGCGTGATGGCACGTGCCTGTAGTTCCAGCTACTCGGGAGACTGAGGCAGAAGAATCACTTGAACCCAGGAGGCAGAGGTTGCAGTGAGCTGAGATCCTGCCACTGCACTCCAGCCTGGGTGACAGAGCGAGACTTCGTCTCAAAAAAAAAAAAAGGAAGTTACGGCCGGGCGCAGTGACTCAGGTCTGTAATCCCAGCACTTTGGGAGGCCAAGGTGGGCTGATCACAAGGTCAGGAGTTCGAGACTGGCCTGGCCAATATGGTGAAACCCTGTCTTTACTAAAAATACAAAAATTAGCTGGGCGTGGTGGCAGGCGCCCGTAGTCCCAGCTACTCAGGAGACTGAGGCAGGAAAATTGTTTGAACCCAAGAGGCAGAGGTTGTAGTAAGTCAAGATCGCGCCACTGCAATCCAGCCTGGGCGAAAGAGTGAGACTCCGTCTCAAAAAAAAAATAAAATAAAAAGTAATTACAAAGACAACAGAGCAGTGCTTTTATTATTCATTCACTCATTCATTCATTCATTCACTGAGACAGGGTCTCACTCTGTCACCCAGGCTAGAGTACAGTGACGCCATCAGGGCTCACTGCAGCCTTGACCTCTGGGACTCATGCAATCCTCCCACTTCAGACTCCCAAGTAACTGGAACTGCAGGTGTGCACTACCACGCTTGGCTAATTTTCACTTTTTTTTAGTTTTTGTAGAGACAAGGTCTCACTGTGTTGCCCAGCTGGTATTCAACTCCTGCTCAAGTGATCCTCCTGCCTCAGCCTCCCAAAGTGTTGAGATTACAGGCATGACCCACCATGCCCAGACTTTGAGCAGTACTTTTAATTGAGGAAAAAATTATTTCTATCACAGAATTAAATACCTGGGCAAATTATAAATGAAGTGGGAGAATAAAATATTTCTTTTTAGACTTGCAAGATCTTATTTATCCACCATGCAGCCTTTCTCAGGCAGCTGCTAGAAAATGTGCTCCACCAAAGTAATGAAATAGACTATGAAAACATAAAGACATAGGATCCAAGCAACAGGGAATACAACGTAAGAGGGAGGCAATCAGCCTGACCAACATGGTGAAACCCCATTTCTACTAAAAATACAAAAATTAGCTGGGCGTGGTGGCGCACACCTGTAATCCCAGCTACTCAGGAGACTGAGGCAGGAGAATCGCTTGAACCCGGGAGGCGGAAGTTGCAGTGAGCTGAGATCGCACCACTGCACTCCAGCCTGGGCAACAGAGCAAGACTCAGTCTCAAAAAAAAAAGAAAAGAAGACGGAGGCAAGAGGAATCTTAGATCCTAAGACGTACAGTTGGCCTTAAGAGCAACTAGTCCAGATTAAAACAGGTAAGAAGACTCCAGGAGGGATTTCTTGAAAAAGATGAAATTAATAAAATATTTAATGTTGCAGGGCGTGGTGGCTCACACCTGTAATCCTAGCACTTTGGGAGGCTGAGGCAGGTAGATAATGAGGTCAGGAGTTCGAGACCAGCCTGGCCAATATGGTGAAACCCCGTCTGTACTAAAAATACAAAACAGCCAGGTGTGGTGGCACACACCTGTAGTCCCACCTACTGGGGAGGCTAACACAGAAGAATTGCTTGAACCCAGGAGGCAGAGGTTGCAGTGAGCCAAGATCATACCATTGCACTCCAGCCTGGGCAACAGAGTGAGACTCCCTCTCAAAAAAAAAAAAAAAAAAAAAAAAATTTAATGTTTTGAATGCACAGAGAGGAAATTACATAACCCATAGTTCCATAAGCAAATGAGCAAATTAAGACACTACACTTCAGGAAAAAAAAATATATTATGCAGGAAAGAAAAAGTGTTCATAATGTACTATATAACTCAGCTGTCAACAGCATTTTCCAAGTTATAACAATATAGAGAATTTGATTTAATCAAAGTATTAATTTAAGTGTGTTAAAGGAATTTATCCCAGGGATGTGAGGTTGGTTTAATATTTGAAAATCAATTAATAAGGCTGGGCACGGTGCCTCACGCCTGTAATGCCAGCACTTTGGGAGGTCAGGAAGGTGGATCACCTGAGGTCAGGAGTCCAGGCTGGCTAACATGGTGAAACCCTGTCTCTACTAAAAATACAAAAATCAGTGGGGCATGGTGGCGCACACCTGTAGTCTCAGCTACTCGGGAGGCTGAGGCAGGAGAATCACTTGAACCTGGGAGGCAGAGGCTGCAGTGGGCCGAGATGGAGCCACTGCACTCCAGCCTGGGTAACAGAGCAAGACTCCATCTCAAAAAAAAAGAAGAAAAGAAAAGAAAATCAATTAATATGTCATCATATCAACAGAATAAAGAACAAGTATCACATGATCATCTCAATAGACACAAAAAAGCATTTGACAAAATCTGACACCCCTTTATACTCTTTTAACCTCAAAGCCTTGCTTGTACTGTTCTGTTTCCCTAGAATGCTATTCCTCACCACACTTCTCCACCTGGCTAACTCTAAAAAAAAAAAAAAAAAAAAAACTTTTTTTTTTTTTTTTTTGAGATGGAGTCTCACTCTGTTGCCCAGGCTGGAATGCAGTGGTGCAATCTGGGCTCACTGCAACCTCCACCTCCTGGGTTCAACCGATTCTCCTGCCTCAGCCTTCCGAGTAGCTGAGATTACAGGTATGTGCCACCATGCTTGGCTAAATTTTGTATCTTTAGTAGAGATGGGATCTCACCATGTTGGCCAGGCTGGTCTCGAACTCCCGACCTCTCAGGTGATCCACCAGCCTTGGCTTCCCAAAGTGCTGGGATTACAGTTGTGAGCCACCTCATCCAGCCACAATCCCAACTTTAAATATCATTTCCTCAGGCAAGTCTTCTCTGATCTCCCAGACCAAGTTATCTTTTTTTTTTTTTTTTTTTTTTGAGACGGAGTCTTGCTCTGTCGCCCAGGCTGGAGTGCAGTGGTGCAATCTCGGCTCACTGCAAGCTCTGCCTCCTGAGTTCACACCATTCTCCGGCCTCAGCCTCCTGAGTAGCTGGGACTACAGGCGCCCACCACCGCACCTGGCTAATTTTTTGTATTTTTAGTAGAGACGGGGTTTCCCTGTGTTAGCCAGGATGGTCTCGATCTCCTGACCTCGTGATCCACCCGCCTCGTCATCCCAAAGCGCTGGGATTACAGGCGTGAGCCACCTCGCCCGGCCATTATCTTTCCCTGTCATATGCTCCCATGGCACTCCTACTTCACTACACCTATAATTATTTGTGTGCGATCAGTATTTAATGACTGTTTTCCTCCCCTAGAAGAGAACTGCATGGTAAAACCGTATGTGCTTTGTTCATCATCACCATGGACCCTGCTCACAGTCCAGGAGAGAAATACATGAGAGGAAACATTGCAGTACAGAGTATTAGGAGAAATAAATACAAGTGTGCAATTACAATCACAGCAAAGGCAGCACCAAAAATAGTCATGGAGGCCTTAGAAACAAACATGATAGCCCAGCGTGGTGGCTCACGCCTGTAATCCCAGCACTTTGGGAGGCCTGAGTCTGGCGGATCACCTGAGGTCGGGAGTTCAAGACCAGCCTGACCAACATGGAGAAACCCCATCTCTATTAAAAATACAAAATTAGCCAGACGTGGTGGCACATGCCTGTAATCCCAGCTACTCGGGAGCTGAGGCAGGAGAATCGCTTCAACCCAGAAGGCAGAGGTTGTGGTGAGCCGAGATTGCACCATTGCACTCCAGCCTGGGCAACAAGAGTAAAACTCCATCTCAAAAAAAGAAGAAAAAAAAAGTAGGAGGGGAAAAAGACATTTCAGGCAAAGGAAAGGATGTGCAAAGACAAAGAGGAATGGTACAGTACTGGCAAGGAATTGGCAATTAGTTTGGAAATGCTAAAATTTAGGATGAGAAAAATGGAATAAGGACAAAGAATGATGGTGGAGAAAAAGGCAAGGACCAGATTATAAAAGCTTTGTATACCACTGAAGATATCTGGATTTTATTCTTTGGTTAACAGGAAGCCATAAAAGAGTTCTAAGCAGGGAGGTAATATGATAAAATCTTTTTTATTATTATTTTTTTTTGAGACAGAGTTTCGCCCTTGTTGCCCAGGCTGGAGTGCAATGGCACGATCTCGGCTCACCGCAACCTCCGCCTCCCGGGTTCAAGCGATTCTCCTGCCTCAGCCTCCTGAGTAGCTGGGATTACAGGCATGTGCCACCACGCCCGGCTAATTTTGCATTTTTAGTAGAGATGAGGTTTCTCCATGTTGGTCGGGCTGGTTTTCGATTCCTGACCTCAGGTGATCCACCCACCTCAGCCTCCCAAAGTGCTGGGATTACAGACGTGAGCCACCGCACCCAGCCAATAAAATCTATATGTAGAGAAATAAGTCATGGCCATGTGAAGAATTCATACTGACTCAATATACTTATGCACATAAACCTATACATGATTTACATATAGTGACAGCGGCTACTCTGGGCACAGTGGCCTATGGGGTAGCCCTGCTCTGCAATGAACAGTACAAATTTAAAAAAAAAGATAGATACAGTCAGAGCTAGACTGGCTGGGTGTGACGGGTCACACCTGTAATCCCAGAATTTTGGGAGGCTGAGGTGGGAGGACTGCTTGAGCCCAGGAGTTCGAGACCAGCCTGGGCAACATAGTGATAACCCGTCTCTACAAAAATTTCTTTTAAAAATTAGCCAGGTCGGCTGGGCGCAGTGGCTCACGCCTGTAATCCCAGCACTTCAGGAGGCCGAGGTGGGTGGATCACGAGGTCAAGAGATCGAGACCATCTTGGCCAACATGGTGAAACCCCGTCTTTACTAAAAATACAAAAATTAGCTGGGCGTGGTGGCATGCGTCTGTAGTCCAGCTACTCGGGAGGCTGAGGCAGGAGAATCTCTTGAACCCGGGAGGCAGAGGTTGCAGTGAGTTAAGAGTGAAACTCCGTCTCAAAATAAATAAATAAATAAATAAATAAAGGGCTGGGCGTGGTGGCTCTCACCTGTAATCCCAGCACTTTGGGAGGCCAAGGCGGGCCTCCTGAGGTCAGGAGTTCAAGACCAGCCTGACCAACAGACCAACATGGAGAAACCACATCTCTACTAAAAATACAAAATTAGCCGGGCATGGTGGCACATGCCTGTAATCCCAGCTACTCAGGAGGCTGAGGCAGGAGGATCATTTGAATCCAGGAGGCGGAGGTTGCGGTGAGCCAAGATCGTGCCATTGCATTCTAGTCTGGGCAACAAGAGCGAAACTCCATCTCAAAAAAAAAAAAATTAAATATATGATTAAAAAAGGATCCTATACACTCCAAAGTCAACTCCCTAACTGATATGACAAAAATTACCAATAAAGGCAGGGATGCTGAGAATCAGGAAGCCCACATTATTCTGCATTAAATACAGACTCTAGTACAAAGGAGAAAATACCATCATGTTATTAAGAGAATGACACCCAACCCAATTAACCCAAAAAGGTCTCTTTGGGATAAAGTAGCAACAAAAAATTGTTATTCTAATACCAATACCCAATTGTCTCAGACACCTACGACACTTGTGATGCCATAGTCTTCTTCATTCGTTCAGTTCTCTCTATCAGTCCCTCCTTTGAAAGAGATGATATGCGTGCATCACCCTCAGGAGGAACATAGGCATCAAATATACCAGCTGTAATAAAGGAAGAAAAAAATTAAGAAAGTGTTGAAAGATTGAGAAAAACTCATAAAATTGAAGTAATGTAAAATTGGGAAGGATTGTGGATATGAAGTAGACTAATGAAACAGACTTCCATGTAGAGAGAACTATGTTACACTAGAAAAAAACAAAACAAGGCCGGGCACAGTGGCTCACACCTGTAATCCCAGTACTTTGGGAGGCCGAGGCGGGCGGATCACAAAGTCAGGAATTCAAGACCAGCCTGGCCAAGATGGTGAAACCCCATCTCTACTAAAAATACAAAAATTAGCCGGGCATGGTGGCAGGTGCCTGTAATCCCAGCTACTTGGAAGGCTGAGGTAGGAGAATCGCTTGAACCCAGGGGGGCAGAGGTTGCAGTGAGCCCAGATTGTGCCACTGGGCGACAGAACGAGACTCTGTCTCAAAAAACAAAACAAAACAAAACAAAAAAAGCCAGAAAGATTTAAGTCTTCTCTCAGAGCCTCAGTTTCTACTTCCACAAAATGGAGAAATTTCACTCTTGCCTTCTAGGGACAGTGTGAAAGTAAGTTCAAAGAACAACTTCATGATATATAGTGTATATAAGGTTAATCATTATTGAGGTTGAACTGACTTCGTGCTTAATTAAATATTATCAATCATAGTCCAAGTCATCCCAAGTTCCAGAAGATCTCTGACAGAAGGATCCCAGGTCAGGGTCCCAGAAATACCTCACCTGTACAGGCCAGATGTATGGAACGGTCCGATTTTTCTGGAGGAATAACCAATCCTGCTTTCCGGGCATGTTGCATAAACTCCTTTTCTGTTTTAAATTTAGGTTGATAAATAGGAGGTGTGAAACGTTTTTTAGTTCTTACTGGAACTATAGCTGCGGACTGAGTCACCAGAACTGGCTGGAAGGTAAAGGAAAGGTTAGGAACCTAGAAAAAAGATCTACTATCTTTTACAAACTCTAAGCAAAGCACTATAGAGAGGGAATATCCAAAGAATGCTTCAGGAACAATTATAAAACAATATCACAGGGAAAAAATGCATTAGGACCTTAATACTTATGGGTGTCTCTAAATAGAAGACAGTTAGCAACCTTTATTAACATCACATTTACTAAAGGCTTTCCTTTAGAACTTCCCACAGTACAGGACTATGCTAACTCCTACGGATACTGAGTTGATCAAAGCAAGTTTCAAAAACTGATGGTGATGGGGAAACACCAACTCAATACTGAAATGGGCAGAATACTATTCTTTATTATTTTTTGAGGCAGATCGCTAGCCTGGAGTGCGATGGCACGATCACGGTTCACTGCAGCCTTGACCTCCTGGGCTCTAGCTATCCTCCCACCGCAGCCTCCCAAGTCGCTGGGACTAAGGAGTGCGCCATCGCATCTGGCTAATTTTAAAATTTTTTTGTAAAGACCAGGTCTTATATGTTGCCCAGGCTCATTTCGAACTCCTGGGCTCAAGCCATCCTTCTGCCTCGGACTTTCAAAGTGCTGGGATTACAAGTGTGAACCACCGCGCCGGGCCCTGAATGCTATGCTTAAAGCATAAGCAAAGTCCTCTTGTAGGCATCTGCTCCATATGTACTCGTGATATTTTGCTCATCCTATCGGGAGTCTCGCTGTAAACTTTATTCTGTCGTTTTAGCACCCAACTGACCAATAAACCCTCGAAAGATCAGGAGATCTTTTCTCTCTGATCATGAGGTTTGCTCAGACGGGGCAGTGACAATATGGGACGCCCTCATTTTCGGCTACTCTTCAACGTAGTTCACTTATAAGAATCGAAGATTAGGGAGTCCACCTTCCAACCCATTACTTGTCTCTCCTTTAATATCTCCTCGCCAGACAGACCCAAACCAATCCGGAAAAACTTAATATCCGTTAATTCACTCGCTCTCATGGCCCTGTCTAGGCTATCCCCATTCGACCACTGAGCTCCGCAGCTAGGTCCTGTCCACCTAAGCCTCTTCCCCGGCCTAGGTATGACTCGTATTGTCCCAGCTCACCAAGGACAATTGCACAGAGAGTATTTCCCTCGACTCTGTCCTCTCCTGTAGCCCCTAGGGTCCTATCGGCCCCGTCCCTACCCACCTGCCGAAACCACCAGCCCAAAAACCTCGATAAACAAGAGAACCCTTGAGGTATGGGGGCTGCCATCTTGTTCCCGCAAAGGCCGCCGGGAAGGGAGCTGAGAGTGAAGAGCGTCGGGTAGGAGAAAAGCCGCATAGGGTGGAGCTAGCACAGGAGTGGAATTTTCCAGGGAGCGCGCCCTCCGCCGAAATGTGAGCAGCGAGGACGCGCACGTGCTCGCGGGAGTGGGGGAGGGTGGAGTAAGGAGGGCGGAGTACGGCCGCGCGTGCGCAGGGAGACAACGTTGGGCGTAGGGTGGAACGAACTGTTGTACCCCGCCAGCGAGAGAGCGCTTGAACGCGAGCTGCGCCTGCGCCCGAGGCTTTCTGAAGGCCGGGGAATGGGCATTGCTGTATGCTTGGCACATTGCCGTTTATTCCATTAGTTAAAAAAGGAAAAGGAGGCCGGGCGCGGTGGCTCACGCCTGTAATCCCAGCACTTTGGGAGGCCGAGACCGGTGGATCACCTGAAGTCAGGAGTTCGAGACCAGCCTGGCCAAAATGACGAAACCCCGTCTCTACTAAAAATACAAAAATTAGCCGGGCGTGGTGGCACACGCCTGTAGTCCCAGCTGCTTGTAAGGCTGAGGCAGGAGAATCGCTTGAACCCAGGAGGCAGAGGTTGCAGTGAGCCGAGATCGCGCCACTGACTCCAGCCAGAGCTAGACTCCGTCTAAAAAAAAAAAAAAAAAAATTAGTCGTAGGGTGGAACGCACGGTTGTCATGCGCCAGCAAGAGAGCGCCGGGCTTGGTGGCAGGCGGCTGTAGTCTGAGCTACTTGGGAGGCTAAGGCAGGAGAATCCCTCGAACACAGGAGGCGGAGGCTGCAGTGATCCGAGATCCCGCCACTGCACTCCAGCCTCGGTGACAGAGAAAGACTTTGTCTCAAAAAAAAACAAAAAAAGAGATTGACTACTGTCTTCTACTATGTTTACTAAAGCAGAAGACACGTGAATTGACAAAAACATTTGTGATTTGTCATTTCGGAAAGGAGTCACAGAGCAATTACGTAATTTACTTAAGGTTAGATAGATGATAACTGGCAGAACCGAGATTTGAATCTAAGCAGTCTAATTCCAGAACCCATGCAGGTAACTGCTACGTGCTGCTTCATGTTAAGTTGTTAAAGGATTCGTGATGTTGGGATCACCCTGGTAAATTCAGTAGTGTAAACGTTGCTGAAAGGCAGACACTTTCCACACTTAGCCGTTGGTTATTATTCTGCCAATTACAGCTTACAGAGTTCTCATCTACAATATTTTGCAATAAGTTAGGAGCTACAGGCTGTACATACAAGAAATTTCAGGCTGAAGTAGAATTGCTACAAAGGTCGAAGCAAAGTGCTGGGGACTATCAGAAGAACTGAAAGATTACTTTTGGGTTTGGAGATCACGTGTTGTTGTTGTTTTTGGAGACGGAGTCTCACTCTGTCACCCAGGCTGGAGTGCGGTGGCACAATCTCGGCTCACTGCAACCTCTGCCTCCCAGGTTCAAGCGATTCTCCTGCCTCAGCCGCCAGAGTAACTGGGATTACAGGTGCACGCTGCCATGCCCGGCTAATTTTTTCTAGTTTAGTAGAGACGAGGTTTCACCGTGTTGCCCAGGCTGGTCTCCAACTCCTGAGCTCCGGCAATCCGCCCACCTCGGCCTCCCAAAGTGCAAGGATTACAGGCGTTTTTTAAAGCTTGACTTCGCAGCTATATCGTACATTCTTATGTGGTAAGTATTTCCCTACAAGTTCCAGCCACAGTATTGAACCTATAGCACGACACATTAATAGTGACATGAAATTAGTGCTGTATGTATGTGTTGAAGAGTATGTGGGGTCGTGTGGGGTGGCTCACACTTGTAATCCCAGCACTTTGAGAGGCGGAAGTGGGTTAGATCCCTTGAGTCCAGGAGTTCAAGACCAGCCTGCCCAATATGGCAAAACCCTATCTCTACAAAAAAATTAAAAAATTAGGCCGGGTGCGGTGGCTCACACCTGTAATCCCTGCACTTTGGGAGGCCGAGGCAGGCGAATCACGAGGTCAGGAGATTGAGACCATCCTGGCTAACATGGTGAAACCCCGTCTCTACTAAAAATACAAAAAAAATTAGCCGGGCATGGTGGCAGACGCCTGTAGTCCCAGCTACTCCAGAGGCTGAGACAGGAGAATGGAGTGAACCTGGGAGGCGGAGCTTGCAGTGAGCCGAGATTGTGCCACTGAACTCCAGCCTGAGCGACAGAGCAAGACTCCGTCTCAAAAAAAAAAAAAAAAAAAAAATAGCTGGGCATGGTGGCCCCAGCTACTGGGGAGGCTGAGGTGGGAGGATGGCTTAAGTCCAGGAGGCAGAGGTTGCAGTAAGCCAAGATCCCACCACTGCACTCCAGCCTGGGCAACAGAGCTATTCAGTGCCTATAGAAGCATAGGGAAACAAGAAAAAAGAAAAAAATAGAATATATGTTATTAAGCATTTAAATAAGCTATATCTGATTATTTAACAGACTCCTGTCCACCTACTCTAATCCCTAGAAAATAAAACATGATTTTTTTTTTCTCTTGAGACAGTTTTCACTCGTCAGCCAGGATGGAATGCGATAGCGCAATCTTGGCTCGCTGCAACCTCCATCTCTCGGGTTCAAGTGATTCTCCTGCCTCAGCCTCCCAAGTAACTGGGATTACAGGTGCCCACCACCACGCCCAGCTAATTTTTTGTATTTTTAGTAGAGATGGGGTTTCACCATGTTGGCCGGGATGGTCTCAAACTCCTGACCTCAGGTGATCCGCCCACCTCGGCCTCTCAAATTGCTGGGATTACAGGGGTGAGCCACCGTGCCCGGCCAAAACATGAATTATTTTTACTGGTATTCCCAACCAAAGTGAGGAAAGTTTACTCCATGGATGAGAGGTGTTTTTTTTGTTTGTTTTTTTGTTTTTTTTCAGATGCAGTTTCACTCTGTCATCCAGGCTGGAGTGCAATAGCTCGATCTCAGTTCACTGCGACCTCTGCCCCCTGGGTTCAAGCGATTCTCCTGCCTCAGTCCCCCGAGTAGCTGGGATTACAGGTGCCTGCCACTATGCCTGGCTAATTTTTGTATTTTTAGTAGAGATAGGGTTTCGCCACATCGCCAGGCTGATCTCTAATTCCTGACCTCAGGTGATCCATCTGCCTCGGCCTCCCAGAGTTCTGGGATTACAGGCGTGAGCCACCGCGCCTGGCCAAGATTATTGATTAATGCAGAACATTAATATAATTTATCTTAGATTACTTCCTCCACCATTGAGTTTTATGTTAGCCTCACACAGTAGCCAACACATCCCAGATCATCTCTGCCCACCCTCTGATCAGTTTCTCAGTTAATACAAACTTGTTCCATATCAGCCTGGATGAAATAATGATAGGGGAGTCAATATCATTTAATTGCTTAGAGATGAGCTATAAGTTAGTTTTGTTGTTGTTTGATGAGCTACTGTTTTGGAAAATTCATATCTTCCTACCTCATCAGCTTCATGGAAAATTGGGAGCTGGCCAGGCACAGTGGCTCACGCGTGTAATCCCAGCACTTCGGGAGGCTGAGGCAGGCAGATCACCTGAGGTCAGGAGCTCAAGACCAGCCTGACCAACATGGAGAAACCCCGTCTCTACTAAAAATACAAAAAATTAGCCGGGCGTGGTAGCGGGCGCCTGTAATCCCAGCTCTTCGGAAGGCTGAGGCAGGAGAATTGCTTGAACCCGGGAGGTGGAGGTTGCGGTGAGCCGAGATCATGCCATTGCACTCTAGCCTGGGCAACAAGAGCAAAACTCAATCCCCCCCCAAAAAAAAAAAAAAAAAAAAGAGAAGAAAATTGGGAGCTGTCTGTTAGAGAAGTAACACCAAAAGGATATTTCTTTTCTTTCTTTTTTTTTTTGAGATGAAGTTTCACTTTGTTGCCCAGGCTGGCGTACAGTGGGACGATCTCGGCTCACTGCAACGTCGGCCTCCAGGTTCAAGTGATTCTCCTACCTCAGCCTCCGAAGTAGCTGGGATTACAGGTGCCCGCCACCAAGCCTGGCTAATTTTTTCTATTTTTAGTAAAGATGGGGTTTCACCGTGTTGGTCAGGCTGGTGTCGAACTCCTGACCTCAGGTGATCCACCTGCCTCATCTTCCTAAAGTGCTGGGATTACAGGCATGAGCCACCGTGCCCAGCCAAAAAGGGTATTTCTTAATCCTACAATCTTAGTAATTCACATTTCAGAAAAAGCAAGATAAAAAGATCTTGTCACGATGATGGGAGCAAGAGAAGAGAACTCATTGTGCAAGTAGAGGAAGGAATCGATTGTTAGGGGCTCAGTCTTGGCAAAGAACACTCTTGCACATAGTAGACACTCCAATATTTATTTATACAATAAGCAGATGTGAAGAATTCCAGTTGAAATATGATGGGGCAGGCTGGGCGCGGTGGCTCACGCCTGTAATCCCAGCACTTTGGGAGGCCGAGGCGGGTGAATCACGAGGTCAGGAGATCGAGACCATCCTGGCTAACACGGAAACCCAATCTCTACTGAAAATACAAAAAATTAGTCGGGCGCGGTGGCAGGCGCCTGTAGTCCCAGCTACTCAGGAGGCTGAGGCAGGAGAATGGCATGAACCCAGGAGGCGGAGCTTGAAGTGAGCAGAGATCTGGCCACTGCACTCCAGCCTGGGCGAAAAAGCGACACTCCATCTCAAAAAAAAAAAAAAAAAAAAGAAAAGAAAAAGAAATATAATGAGGCAGAAGGAAAAGTTGATTTCCTGTTTTTCCCAGTGAAGTGGGTTACTGGAATCCCTTGTTGTCGTATTGAAATTTCTAAATGGAGCCCGAAGAGGGCTGGGTGTGGTGGCTCACACCTCTAATCCCAGCACTTTTGGAGGCTGAGGCAGGCGGATTGCTTGAGGCCAGGAGTTCGAGACCAGCCTAGCCAACATGGTGAAACCCCATCTCTACTAAAATTACAAAAATCAGCTGGGCGTGGTGGCATGAGCCTGTAGTCCCAGCTTCTTGGGAGGCTGAGGCATGAGAATCATTTGAACCTGGGAGGCAGAGGCTGCAGTGAGCCAAGATTGTGCCACTGTATTCCAGCCTGGGTGACAGAGTGAGACTCTGTCTCAAAAAATAAATAAATAAAATAAATGGAGACCAAAGAGAATGAGACTCTTCCTATGTAAGCAGTGGAGCACACACTTACATTTTTTCCCCTCCCAGTGGCAGATGACATCAGAGATGGAAACTTCAGAAATTCTGCGTAGTGACCTACTTTCTAGGAGAAGCACAGCTGATTTGAACCAGGAAAATTCTTCTGGAGAACTGGGAAGAACCCAATTCTAAACAATATGATACTAGAATTGGAGCAAGTACTAGGCTTGCCATGTATTTATATTGTACTTCCCTTCCCTAAAGTGAGACTATGGAGAGCAAAATAAGTGAATTGTCCAAAATAAGGTGCTGTAGAAGAAACAAGGATCCTGACTTTCTAAGAAATATTCTCAACTGAGCTTTAGTTAATTGGTTAGTTACTTAGAGATGGGGTCTCGCTTTGGCACCAGGCTGGGGTGCAATGGTACCATCACAGCTCACTGCTGCCTCAAATTCCTGGGCTCAAGGGATCCTCTTGCTTCAGTCTCCCTAGTAGCTGGGACTACAAGAGCATGCCACCATATCCAGCATTTTTTTTTTTTTTTTTTTGTAGAGACAAGGTCTTGCCATTTTGCCCAGGCTGGTCTCAATCTCCTGGGCTCAAGCAATCCTCCCCTCTCAGTATCCCAAAGTGTTGGGATTACAGGTGTGAGCCACCACGCTCGGCTTCAGCTGATCTTTAGCAAGCAATATTAGTAGAGCTTGTTTGTCACTCGAGTTGACTGTATATGGCTTTCACATAGTGAAAGTGGTTAAGAATGCTATAGTGCCTGAGTTTACATCTTAGCTTCACCTTTTTTCCTCACCTATAGAAAGGGGGTTATTGGCCGGGCGCAGTGGCTCACGCCTGTAATCCCAGCACTTTGGGAGGCCAAGGCGGGCAGATCACGAGGTCAAGAGATTGAGACTATCCTGGACAACATGGTGAAACCCTGCCTCTACTAAAAATACAAAAATTAGCTGGGCGTGGTGGTGCATGCCTGTAGCCCCAGCTACTCAGGAGGCTGAGGCAGGAGAATCGCTTGAACCTGGGAGTTGGAGGTTGCAGTGAGCTGAGATCGTGCCACTGCACTCCAGCCTGGGCGACAGAGTGAGACTCCGTCTCAAAAAAAAAAAGAAAAAGTAGGGGGCTGGGCACGGTGGCTCACACCTGTAATCCCAGCACTTTGGGAGGCTGAGGTGGGTGGGTCACGAGGTCAAGAGTTCAAGAACAGCCTGGCCAACATGGTGAAACCCCATCTCTACTAAGAATACAAAAATTAGCCAGCTGTGGTGGCACGTGCCTGTAGTCCCAGCTACTCGGGAGGTTGAGGCAGGAGAATCCCTTGAACCCAGGAGGCGGAGATTGCAGTGAGCCGAGATCGCACCATTGCACTCCAGTCTGGGCGACCGAGCAAGACTCTGTATCAAAGAAAAAAAAAAGTAAGAAAGGAAGGGGGTTATTAAGTAGAATTTAAGTAGAATTGTTGTTAACTCATAAAGTGAATTCATATATGGTCCCACTCTGGTTAGTTATAATTACTGCTTCCAAGCCCCATCATAGCCCTGAAAGGGATATAAGGAGCCTAGCAGAAACCTGGAAAGTGTAACTGCTCTTTGTGCTGGACATAGATAACATCCCTGCCCCCAGAGTCCACCCCAGTGCAGCGTGCCTAAAGCAAGAGAGTTCCTGTTGGATGGATGAACAAGAAGTCCACAGGAAGCCCTGAGCGTTAGCTCTCTTCCCCTAGAGAGCAGTTCTCGCCTTTGTTGAAGCTAAGACCACTGAAATGCAGGTAGCTTCCAAGCCCAAAAGTCATTCCTTATTCCTGTGCTGAAGGTCTTTCTTCTCTTAGCTGCTGTTCTTTCCCATCTATCCTTCCACTCACCCCTGCTGCTGGGGACAAATCCTTTTCCTTTACCTCTTTCTGCTTCCTTGCCCTAGATTCCTTATTCTAAAGACAGGTTTCGGAAGAGATGTTGCTTGCTCACCTTGGCTGAGCCAGAAAAGAAGCCCATGCATCCCATTGCTCAAGCTAGGTCTAGAATTAATCCCTCACCTCTTCTTGCTCCACTTTCACCCCAGATAGCTAAATCAAGCAATAATCCTAAAAGGGAATTTCAGGCTATTTTCAACTCCCCACATCCCCCACCTCCCACACCATGTTTAGGGAGGAGAGAGCAAAGCCCTTGGATCAGAGTAATCTGTTTCTAACCCACTTCCATTCCCAGGGATTACCTCTCCAGGGGGAGGGAGACAGAAATAAACCTAACAATTTAGTGCTAGAAACTTGGGAAAGAAGCTCCAGGAGTGCCTTGGAGGGCTGTAGGCATGGGGTTCCAGTAGCCTGGGAACTTCTTCTCATATGCTGGAGTACCCTGTAAAAGGGTCCACAAACTTGAAAAGCAATGCCTAGTGTGGCAAGAATAGGCACTCTATAAATGTGCCCATTGGATGAAAGAATGAAAAATGTATGGATTGTGGGCAGATGAAGGCAGAAACAATTTCCTTGTTATACCTACAACCTTTATGTCCTTGTATGCACACCAATTTATGGCTAAAATCAATCAACCAACAAATAAGGAAGTGCGATAGAGTGGAAACACCTCTGGATTGGGAGACAGGAGATATGGATTCTAGTACCACCATTGCCGACATTGATTTGCCCTTTGGCCTTTGGCAAATTGCTTTGCCCAAAGTCAGTTTGTTCTCTGATCACTAATTTTCTCCATTAAAAAAAAAAAGTCTCAGCCGGGCACAGTGGCTCACACCTGTAATCCCAGCACTTTGGGAGGCCAAGGCGGGTGGATCACGAGGTCAGGAGTTTGAGACCAGCCTGGTAAAGATGGTGAAACCCCGTCTCTACTAAAAATACAGCTGGGCGTGGTGGCATGTGCCTATAGTCCCAGCTACTCAGGAGGCTGAGGCAGGAGAATCACTTGAACCCGGGAGGTGGAGGTTGCAGTGAACCGAGATCATGCCACTGCACTCCAACCTGGGCGACAGAGCGATACTCCGTCTCAAAAAAAGTCTCCCTCTAGAGCCCTAAAGGCCTACAGTCCTGTGTTATGTATATTGAGCCCCTATTAATAATGTACAAAGTCCTAAGCTCATTTATATACTGACAGTGACTCATTTTGGGGGTCCCTTGTGAACCAAGTGCTTGGCACACATTTTCTCTAGTCTGTATTCCTTCCTCTACCCTGCATGACCCTGCTATACAAAAATCTACCTTCCGGGCGGGCACGGTGGCTCACGTCTGTAATCCCAGCACTTTGGGAGGCCGAGGCAGGTGGATTGCCTGAGCTCAGGAGTTCAAGACCAGCCTGGGCAACATGATGAAACCGTATCTCTACTAAAATACAAAAAATTAGCCGGGCATGGCGGCGTGCATCTGTAGTCCCAGCTATTTGAAAGGTTGAGGCAGGAGAATTGCTTGAACCTGGGAGGCGGAGGTTGCAGTGAGCCAAGATCGTGCCATTGCACTCCAGCCTGGGCAACAGAGCAAGACTCCATCTCAAAAAAAAAACAACAAAAAAAAAATCTATCTTCCAGCTAACCATTCTTTTGGGATGCTCTCCTGTGGCTGGGTGAAGGCTTCCTTCTCAGCTCTTTGGGATTGGAAACAGGGAAGCTGTGCGAATGCAGAAAACTTCCACTAGAGGGTACCAAGGCTGCACCGGATCTCAGACTGCAGGGAGGCCTATGTAAACCCAATTCCTGGATGTTTAAATACCTATGTTGAGAGATTCAGGGATCTCCATTAATTCCTCACTACCGGTGGGAGGTGGGCGAGAGATAAAAAAACTACATATTGGGTACAGTGTACACTACTTGAGTGGCTGGTGTATTAAAATCGCAGACTTTACCACTATACAAATCATCCATGTAATCAAAACCACTTGTACCCCAAAAGCTATTGAAATAAAAAATAATAATTTAAAAAAATTGCTCAGCCGGGCGCGGTGGCTCACGCCTGTAATCCCAGCACTTTGGGAGGCCAAGGCGGGCGGATCACGAGGTCAGGAGATTGAGACCATCCTGGCTAACGTGGTGAATCCCCGTCTCTACTAAAAATACAAAAACAAAAAATTAGCCGGGCTTGGTCGCGGGCGCCTGTAGTCCCAGCTACTCGGGAGGGTGAGGCGAGAGAATGGCGTGAACCCAGGAGGCGGAGCTTGCAGTGAGCCGAAATCGCGCCGCTGCACTCCAGCCTGGGCGACAGAGCGAGACTCCGTCTCAAAAAAGGCTTTTTTTTTTTTTTTTTTTTTGAGAACGGAGTTTCACTCTTGTTGCACAGGCTAGTGTGCAATGGCTCGATCTCGGCTCACCGCAACCTCGGCCTCCCAGGTTCAAGCAATTCTCCTGCCTCAGCCTCCCGAGTAGCTGAGATTACAGGCATGCACCACTACGCCCGGCTAATTTTGTATTTTTAGTAGAGACGGGGTTTCCCCATGTTGAGGCTGGTCTCGAACTTCTGACCTCAGGTGATCCGTCTGCCTCAACCTCCCAAAGTTCTGGGATTACAGGCGTGAGCCACCGCGCCCGGCCCCTTGAAAAGCTTTTAAGAAGTCTCTACTATTTGGACATCATTTTGCTTTCTTCATTTTGATTACTTCAAATCAAAGAAAACTTGGCATAATGAAATTCGTGGGGGCTCTGGCAACTGATGTAGATCTTGCTCCACTATTTCCAAACTTTATTAGCCAATTACTTAAGTCATCTGCATTTCAGTGCAAACCCATCTGTGGAATGGAGATAATTTCGCAGATGGGTACACTGAAATGCAGAGAACTTACCTCATAGAGGGGTTGTGAACGTAAGTAAAATCATATATGGAAACAGGTAACTCGGTAGATTGTAGGTGCCTAAAACCGTTTTTGCACTGGCCTATTATAAACTGGGAATTGAGATGTTGAGGAGAGAAAGATGGATTTGCAGGCACTGAGTACCTCCAAACAAGAGACGTGACCTTTTGTCATTTTGCTCTTAAGGCTTGCAGGTTTCCAGGCTAGCGCTGCAGGGCATGCCCCAGCCTTATCCTTCAGCTGTGTTCTATCATCTGCAACAGCCCAGCCATGTCGTTCTGCCCTTTTCCCATCCTGATTTCTCTGGAGGTGAGTTTAGTTTCTACTTCCTACTCGCCTCCTGGATGAAAAGTCTCATGTACGGTGTTTTGCCCTGTGCTTTCTGAAGTGTCACATCTCCACCTAGCTCTGCTCTGCCCTTTTCCTCTCATCTCTCCAACAGTCACTTCTGGGGTGGAATGTGCCATCTGTTTCTGAAACTGAGCAGAAGTTTGGGAAAGGGGGAGGGACAGCCGTGTCCAGGGCTTGCGTGTCAGCAGACACGTTACAGCTGCTGCAGGGCAAACCAGGGTGAAACCACAAGCCAGAGGACCCAGGGCAGGCAGCCGTGAGGCCCGCCCCTCGGCTTCTCTCTCATCTGTCTCACCCAGAGGTTTCCTGGCAGGAGTGGGAGAGGTTGGTATCGAGTCCTTGAGCCCTGACTCATTCCCTGACCTAGTTGGGTGGTACCCAGTTATCTCCTAAATCTCTCTCCAGGGCCCTCTGTTAGCAACACAACAGTATCATCCTAGACAGAAGACGCGGGAGGAAAGCAGACTACCTATTTATCTCATTCCCTTCTGAGGGTCCCAACAACAACCAGGAGGTTTACAGGTTACATTGCTTATAAAATGACCAAAATCATCCCATAGAGCTACACTAAGAGATTGGCTACTTTCCAGATTTCTCTATAGAAACAATCATGCTTAACTTTCTCAAAAAAAAGAATAAAATCATTATTTTATTTTACTTGGGCAGGGGAAGGGACTGAAACACTGAACCAGGAAGTGACTGGTGATTATCACACAGTTAATCAGGGGCCTAACTAGGGACATAACTCAGGTTTCCTAACCCCACCCCAAATTCCATTCTTTCCCTCAGCTTAGTTACTTATGGACTACAGTAATGTCCTGGGCTTTCTGGACTTTACCAAAGTTCTTGTAATTGTCAAATTCCTGAGGGTTGGATAGGAAGCTGATTCTGTGATGCTTCTGGGCTTCACATGTATCTCTTTCACAGTTTGTCCTGTAGAAAACGTGAGATATATATTTGTTGCCTCCTGGACAGGTTGCCAAAAACACTTTAGATGTTATTCTTAGATTCAAAGAAGACCAATGTGATCCTAAGGTTAGATCTCAGAGACAGAATATTCCATTTTTAAATCATTTGTTGCTGTTCAAGATCCTCATATCTTTATGAGTCACTGTACCAGTAGATGCTGAAAATTATTTTCTTACCCTCCCTTTATTCAGAGGTCCCCATCTGGGCTGGGTGTGGTGGCTCGCACCTGTAATCCCAGGGCTTTGGGAGGCCAAGGCAGGTGGATTGCTTGAGGCCAGGAGTTCGAGACCAGCCTGGCCAACATGGTGAAACCCTGTCTTTACTAAAAATACAAAAATTAGCCAGGCGTGGTGGCAAACGCCTGTAATTCCAGCTACTCGGGAAGCTGAAGCATGAGAATCACTTGAATTTGGGAGTTGGAGGTTGCAGTAAACCGAGATTGTGCCACTGCACTCTGTGTAACAGAGACTCTGTCTCAAAAAAAAGATCCCAGTCTCAGCTGGGCACGGTGGCTCACGCCTATGATCCCAGCACTTTGGGAGTCTGAGGTGGGCAGATCACCTAAGGTCGGGAGTTTGAGACCAGCCTGACCAACATAGTGAAACCCAGTCTCTACTAAAAGTACAAAAATTAGCCGTGTTTGGTGGCCGGCACCTGTAGTCCCAGCTACACGGGAGGCTGAGGCAGGTGAATTGCTTGAACATGAGAGGCGGAGGTTGCAGTGAGCCGAGATCGCGCCACTGCACTCCAGCCTGGGCGACAGAGCGAGACTCCATCTCAGAAAAAAAAAAAAAAAGGTCCCAGTCTCTCCTTAACTAGGGTCATGCTTCTAAAGACATTAGCTGGTTTCCAAGAAAGCAGATTTTAGCTTTATCCATTGGCAGAGAAAACAGTCATTGCACATAGGCCAGAACATTCTTTCTGCCAGAGCTCCCCATCTGGAAGAAAAGAGAAAGAGTTTCAGAGTTTCCATAAGGGCTGCCTAAAGGGGAGGAAGAGAGAGGGAGCCATAGGGAGGGAAGAAGAACGTTACAGGGCTGCAATCCCAAGCCTAATAGTCTGAAAAGAAAATCAGATACTGCAGGCCTGAAAACCTGAGTCAGCATTGCCACACCTCTCCCCTCTACCTAACCCTTAGTCGGGATTTCTTTTGTTCTTCACTCTTTGATTTTTCACATGTACGTATCTATCCTACCTGTCTCACCTCAAAATTTTCTTTCCATTCTTTGTTCTTTATGTAGCTCCCCTCCAAATTTGTGCTCTCCCTATAGATGATTAATAGAGGTTTGAGGTTCCAAGACTAGGTCTTTTTTGGGGTTTTTTTGAGATGGACTTTCGCTCCATCGCCCAGGCTGGAGTGCAGTGGCGTGATCTTGGCTCACTGCAACCTCCGCCTCCTGGGTTCATGCAATTCTCCTGCCTCAGCCTCCCGAGTAGCTGGGATTACAGACGCGTTACCATGCCCAGCTAATTTTTGTATTTTTAATAGAGGTAACTGTATATTTTTAATAGAGGCGGGGTTTCAGCACGTTGGTCAGGCTGCTCTCAAACTCCTGACCTCAAGTGATCCACCCACCTTGGCCTCCCATAGTGCTGGGATTACAGGTGTGAACCGCCGCACCCAGCCCCAAGACTACTTCTTAATACTTTTTGTTTTGTTTTGTTTTAGAGAGATTCTTGCTATATTGCCCAGGCTGGTCTCATATTCCTGGCGTTCAAAAGATCTTCCTACCTCAGCCTCCTGAGTAGCTGGAACTACAGGTACTCACCACCATGCCCAGCTCCCAGCTACCTAATTTTTTTTGTTGTTTTTTTTGAGACAGGGTCTTGCTCTGTTTCCCAGGCTGAAGTGCAGTGGCACAATCATAGCACAGTCTCACTGCAGCCTTGACCTCGAGCTCAAGCAATTCTCCTGCCTCATCCTCCCAAGTAGCTGGAACCCCAGGCACATGCCACCATGCCCAGCTAATCTTTTATTTTTTGTAAAGGCAGGGTCTCACCAGGTTGTCCAGGCAGGCCCAACTACTTTTTAATACTTCTCAGAAAAATAGGATCATAGAGTTAGAAGGAACTTTCTCATAACCTGTGATTCTCAGAAGGAGTTTGGTGGGTCCAAGGAGCCCCTGAAATTGAATGTCAATTTTAGTACACGTATGCATCTTTCTGGCAAGAAGGCCCATAGCTTCCATTGGGTTCTCAAAGGGTTCCATGATGATACCTTCCATTCAAATCCCTGCTGTGGACCATACAGTTCAGTGTTTTTCAGAATAAGGCTGGGAACCCAAGTTAATTTTGGAATCTAGGTCATGACTTACATTTAAAAAAATGAATAATATAGAATAGAAAATATAATCGTGCATCACACATAGTAAAGACATTAATTTTTTATTAACTAATAATATTTGATTCAAAATTCATATTTATAACTTTTTGATGTTACATATATATAAAATCAAAATGTCGAACCTCATTCATTTAATGAATTTTTTATTGAGTATTTGCCATGTAGCAGATATTGCTGAAATCACTGGGGAATATAAAAATGAAAGAGAAATGTTTCTGGTCCACAAGCAGCTTATATTTGGTAGGAAAGAGAAAAATACACCAAAAATAACAAAAGAACCATAACAGCCACTACAGAAGTAAGCACAAGGTACAAGGTGGTGCAGAGGAGAGCATGAAAGACCGTTTTGAGAATTCAGGTGGGGCCACACTGGAGTTGAGTCACACTTGAAATGAGCAGGAATTTGCAGGGAGGCATAAAATTCTAGCCAAGGGGCTGGGCATGGTGGCTCGCGCCTGTAATCCCAGCACTTTGGGAGGCCGAGGTGGGCGGATCACGAGGTCAAGAGATCAAGACCACCCTGGCCAACATGTGAAACCTCATCTCTACTAAAAATAGAAAAATTAGCAGGGCATGGTGGTATGTGCGTGTAATCCCAGCTACTTGGGAGGCTGAGTCAGGAGAATTGCTTGAACCCGGGAGGCGGAGGTTGCAGTGAGCAGAGATCGCGCCATTGCACTCCAGCCTGAGCAACAGGGCGAGACTCTGTCTCAAAAAATTAATTAATTAATTAATTAAATAAATAAAAATAAAAATTTGGCCAGGTGCAGTGGCTCACTCCTGTAATCCCAGCACTTTGAGAGGCCAAGGTGGGCGGATCACGGGGTCAAGAGATCGAGACCTCCTGGCCAATGTGGTGAAACCTCGTCTCTACTAAAAATACAAAAATTAGTGGGGCGTGGTGGCATGCACCTGTAGTCCCAGCTACTCACGAGGCTAAGGCAGGAGCATCTCTTGAACCCGGGAGGCAGAGGTTGCAGGGAGCCGAGATTGCGCCACTGCACTCCAGCCTAGTGACACAGCGAGATTCCGTCTCAAAAAAAATAAAAAACATATAAAAATAAATAAATAAATATTCTAGGCAAAGGGATTGACATGCATGAAGACACAGCAGTGTAAAACAACTTGGGAACTTGGGATGGCCAGGGTGCCCTAAGTGGTCTGGTATGTTGTCCCTGTACTGTGGGGTCCAGTTGGCCAGGTAGCAATTGCAGGCTGGATCATGGAGAGTCTCCCACTGAATGCAGAATATTTTAAATATCCCCAACACACTGTCACCCAGCTCTGCCTGGGCTCTCTCAGACAAAGAACCTAGATCTTTGTAAGGTACTTAATTCTGTTTCTGAGCATCCGATTGTGACAAATTCCTTCCTATATTGATGTAACATTTGCTTCCTTCTTTCACCCAATGATTCTGGTTTGCCCTCTGCAGCATTAAAAAATAAGTCTACATCCTCTTCTATTAGGTTGAACCAAATGAAAATGCTATTTTTATAGATCAAACCAGTTGAACATTGACAGTTTTATATTGTCAGCCTTATTATACCTGTTTGAGGACATTAGTCTTCTCTTCCCCATCAATAATATCTCCAAACTCCATCAAATTCTTTCTCACCTGGTAAAGTTATGAGATCTTTTTCAAATATGATCTCATATTTAGGCATATTCTAGTTCCTCAATATTTTTCTTTCTTTTTAATGTTTGATTTTTGTTTGTTTGTTTTGAGATAGGGAGTCTCACTCTGTCGCCCAGGCTGGAGTGCACTGGTGCAATCTCGGCTCACTGCAACCTCTGCCTCCTGGATTCAAGTGATTCTCCTGCTTCAGCCTCTCGAATAGCTGGGATTACAGGCGCCAGACCCAGCTAATTTTTGTACTTTTAGTAGAGACGAGGTTTCAGCACGCTGGTCAGGCTGGTCTCGAACTCCTGACCCCAAGCGATCCACCTGCCTTAACCTCCCAAAGTGCTGGGATTACAGGTGTGAGCCACCACACCTGGCCTGTTTTTTTTTTTAGATGGTGTCTCGTTATGTCACCCAGCCTGGAGTGGCGCAATCTCGGCTTACTGCAATCTCCGCTTTTTGGGTTCAAGCGATTCTTGTGCCTCAGCCTCTCAAGTAGCTCGGATTACAGGTGTGTGCCACCGTGCCCAGCTAAATTTTGTAGTTTTAGTAGAGATGGGGTTTCGCCATGTTGGCTAGGCTTGTCTCCAACTCCTGACCTCATGTGATCTGCCCACCTCAACCTCTCAAAGTGCTGGGATTATAGGCGTGAGCCGCCACACTCAGCCCTCAATATCTTTCTTAATATGGGACAGTCAGAACCAGTCAGTTTAAAATGCAGGGAGACTATTCTTTCTCTGGATCTGACAGTGTGTCTTTTCATGAAACTCTGACTGCATTGGGTTTCATGAGACCTGAACCTTTTTCACACAAGATACTGTCAAACCAGTCCTACTCCTACCTGTGCAATTAATTTTTTTTTTTAAGTAGAGATGGGGTTTCTCCATGTTGGTCAGGCTGGTCTCAAACTCCCGACCTCAAGTGTGCCCACCTCGGCCTCCCAAAGTGCTGGGATTACAGGCGTGAGCCACCATGCCCAGCCCATTTAGTTTTTTTTTTTTTTTTAAATCAACTGCACCGGGCGCAGTGACTCACACCTGTAATCCCAGCACTTTGGGAGGCCGAGGTGGGCAGATCACCTGAGGTTGGGAGTTTGAGACCCGCCTGACCAACATGGTGAAACCTGGTCTCTACTAAAAATACAAAAAGCAGCTGGGTGTGGTGGCGCCCGCCTGTAATCCCAGCTACTTAGGAGGCTGAGGCAGGAGAATCACTTGAACCCAGGAGGTGGAGGTTGCAGTGAGCTGAGATCGTGCCACTGCATTCCAGCCTGGGCGACAGAGCAAGACTCCGTCTCAAAAAAAAAAAAAAAGAAAAGAAAAGAAAAAGAAATACAAACCTCAGCCAGGTACAGTGGTTTACGTCTGTAATCCCACTACTTTGAGAGGCCGAGGCAGGTGCATCACCTGAGGTCCGGAGTTCAAGACCAGCCTGGCCAACATGGGGAAACCACATCTCTACTAAAAACACAAAAATTAGGCCAGGTGTGGTGGCTCACACTTGTAATCCCAGCACTTTGGGAGGCCGAGGTGGGTGGATCACCTGAAGTCAGGAGTTCAAGACCAGCCTGGCCAACATGGCAAAACCCTGTCTCCACTGAAAAAATACAAAAATTAGCTAGGCGTGGTGGCAGGTGCCTGTAATCCCAGCTACTCGGGAAGGCTGAGGCAGGAGAATCGCTTCAACCCCAGAGGTGGAGGTTGCAGTGAGCCAAGATCACACCACTGCACTTCAGCCTGGGCGACAGAGCAAGAGTCCATCTCGGAAAAAAAAAAAAAAAAAGAGCTGGGCACGGTGGCTCACGTCTGTAATTTCAGCACTTTGGGACACCGAGGCGGGCTGATCCCAAGGTCAATAGATAGAGACCATCCTGGCCAACATGGTGAAACCCCATCTCTACTAAAAATACAAAAAAAGTAGCTGGGCATGGTGGTGTGTGCCTGTAATCCCAGCTACTCAGAGGCAGAGGCAGGAGAATTGCTTGAACCCGAGGGGCAGAGGTTGCAGTGAGCCAAGATCACGCCACTGCACTCCAGCCTGGGTGATAGAGCAAGACTGCATCTCAAAAAATAAAATAAGGGGCTGGGCGCAGTGACTCACGCCTGTAATCCCAGCACTTTGGGAGGCCAAGGTGGGTGGATCACCTTAGGTCAGGAGTTTGAGACCACCCCGGCCAACATGGTGAAACCCCATCTCTACTAAAAATAAAAAATTAGCTGGGCATGGTAGGGGGAGGAGCCTGTAATCCCAGCTACCTGGGAGGCTGAGGCAGGAGAATTGCTTGAGCCCAGGAGGCAGAGGTTGCAGTGAGCCAAGATCGTGCCACTGCGTTCCAGCCTGGCAACAGAGCAAGACTCTGTCTCAAAAAATAATAATAATAATAATAAAATAAAATAAAAGAGCCAGACACGGTGGCTCATGTCTGTAATTTCAGAACTTTGGGACACTGAGGTGGGTGGATCACAAGGTTAAGAGATAGAGACCATCCTGGTCAACATGGTGAAACCCCATCTCTACTAAAAATACAAAAAAATTAGCTGGGCGTGGTGGCGTTCGCCTGTAATCCCAGCTACTTGGAGGCTGAGGCAGGAGAATCAGTTGAATCTGGGAGGCGGAGTTTGCAGTGAGCCGAGACTCCGCCACTGCACTCCAGCCTGGGCGACAGAGTGAGACTCTGTCTCTAAAAAAAAATAAAAGAAATACAAACCTCAACATAGTAAACTTGCTGCTATTCAAGAGCCATTCTCCTCAGTAATAATATTGAGCACTAACATGGTTTTATCCTTATTTTTAAATTAAATTATTTTTAGTGTATTTTATTTTATTTTAGAGAGAAAGCCTTTTGTTGTTGTTGTTGTTGTTGAGACGGAGTCTCGCTCTGTCGCCCAGGCTGGAGTGCAGTGGCGCCATCCCAGCTCACTGCAAGCTCCGCCTCCCAGGTTCACGCCATTCTCCAGCCTCAGCCTCCTAAGAAGCTGGGACTACAAGCTCCTGCCACCACGCCTGGCTAATTTTTTGTATTTTTAGTAGAGATGGGGTTCCACCATGTTAGCCAGGATGGTCTCGATCTCCTGACCTCATGATCCGCCCTCCTTGGCCTCCCAAAGTACTGGCATTACAGGTGTGAGCCACCACGCCCAGCCAACAAAGTCTTACTTTGTCATCCAGGCTGACGTCTAGTGGTGCAATCATGGCTCACTGCAGCCTTGACCACCTGGGCCCAGGGAATCCTCCCACTTCAACCCCTTGAGTAGCTGGGACTACAGACCCATGCCACCATGACCAGTTAATTTTGTCAAAATTTTTTGTGGATACAGGGTCTCACCATGTTGCCCAGACTGGTCTGGAACTCCTGGCCTCAAGGAAACCTCCTGCCTCAGCCTCCCAAATCGCTGGGATTGTAGGTGTGAGTCACAATACCCAGCCCTAGCACTAACATGTTTTAACTCATTTAATCCTTTGGACAATCTTGTGATACAGGTACTGTTATTATCCCTATTTCTTTTTCTTTTTTTTGAGACGGAGTTTCGCTCTTGTTGCCCAGGCTGGAGTGTAATGGCGTGATCTTGGCTCACTGCAACCTCCGCCTCCCAGGGTCATGCTATTCTCCTGCCTCAGCCTCTCAAGTAGCTGCGATTACAGGCGCCCCCACACCCCGATCATGCCCAGATAATTTTTGTATTTTTAGTAGAGACGGGGTTTCACCATGTTGGCCGGGCTGGTCTTGAACTCCTGACCTCAGGTGATCCACCCACCTTGGCCTCCCAAAGTGTTGGGATTACAGGTGTGAGCCACCGTGTCTGGCCTATTATCCCTATTTCATGAGTGAAGAAACTGAGGTATAGGGCAGTTAAGTAACTTGTGTAACTTATGGTTAAATGTGTAACAAATGGTTAAAAAGTTGCACTGACACTATTTGAACCTAGACATTAGGTCTCTAGAGCTTCACACTCTCAATCCCTACAGACACGTCTCAGACTAGTCTACTTAGGTTCATATCAAATTCTAATCTAACGCCAGGCACAGTAGCTCATGCCTGTTATCCCAATACTTTGGGAGGCTGAGGCAGGCGGATCACCTGAGGTCAGGAGTTCAAGACCAGCCTGGTCAACATGGTGAAACCCCGCCTCTACTAAAAATACAAAAATTAGCCAGGTGTGGTGGCACACACCTGTAGTCTCAGCTATTTGGGAGGCTGAGGCAAGAGAATCACTTGAACCTGGGAGGTGGAGGTTGCAGTGAGCCGAGATCACGCCACTGCACTCCAACCTGGGGACAGAGCGAGATTCCGCCTCAAAAAAAAAAAAAAAAAAAAAAAAAAAAACAACCCAACACAAACTAATCTAACTTTCTTAGTGATCCCTACAATAAAATTCAGGCTCTGATCTCTACCCTGAACCCTATCTAATACACAGCCTGTTCTATTAGCAGCTCTGCCACATAAAATGGCCTGGATCATTCTGGGGGGTTGGGGTGGGGGGGTAGGCGTTCCAGGACTGCCTTAGCCTGTGACAGAGGAAGGAGAATGGGGTGGGATCACAGGCGGAGGAGGGACATCAGTCAAACCCTCTCTGTCTGCAGAGGTGGAGCTTCCCCTTTCTGCTCTGTGGGTGGGTCCTCCCAGACAGGAAGGGAGCAGTTGGCTTAGTCGGTCTAGTTTTCCCTGGAATTCAGCATACTGTGAAATTTAGGAGATGCCTGAGGCCAATTTAGGCAAGTTCTATTCAACAAACATTTGCTGAGTCCCAACAATGGGGCAGACACTGTGCTGGATTGGAATAGAACATAAACATGTCACATATTGTCAAAATAAAGATAAGCACTTCAATGGCCAGTTACCTCCTAAGTGTGATAAGAGCTTGGATCGCTACAGACCTGAGTGTATTGTTTGGAATGAGGGATGGCAAGAGGAGAAAGGAAAAAGGGGAAGTAGGGATAAGGCACCTATTACTGGGGTTTTTGGTTTCAAGGAAACAATCCAGATTAGGGAAGGAAAGAATAACTGAGTAAGGATTGCTGGCAGAAGGGAGGCGCCTTCAAGAGTACTGAGTTATTCAGCTGCAGGTGAGTCAAGTACCTTACCTGTTTATCTGGAATGCTTGAGGGAAGGAAGATATGAGGGCAAAGAGCAGTCAGGAAGATCCATTGTGTGTGTGTGTGTGTGTGTGTGTGTGTGTGTGTGTGTGTGTGTGTGTTTAGGGTTGTGTGAAATGCAAATTCCTGCTTTTTCTTGGCAGCTTTTCTGGAAATTATGATGACAGCTGGTGGTGGGAAACATCACTGAAATACTGAAATTACTAGTGACCACAGCTTTTTCTCTGCTCCAGGTGACTGGCTATCACCTGAGCCATTCCAGATGGCGCCTACTGTGGATTTTCTTTTCTTTTCTTTTCTTTTTTGAAACGGTCTCGCTCTGTTGCCCAGGCTGGAGTGCAGTGGTGCAATCTCGGATCACTGCAGCCTCCGCCTCCCAAGTTCAAGTGATTCTCCTGCCTCAGCCTCCCGAATAGCTGGGATTACAGGTGTGTGCCACCATGCCCAGCTAATTTTTGCATTTTTAGTAGAGACAGGGTTTCACCATGTTGGCCAGGCTTGTCTTGAACCCCTGACCTCAAGTGATCCACCTGCCTCAGCCTCCAAAGTTCTGGGATTACAGGCATGAGCCACCGCACCTGGCCAGATTCATTTTTTTTCCTCTTGCTCATTTAGTAAAGTGAGGGTATTATTGTTTTTCTGTGTTTTTGTGTGTGTTTTTTTTTTTTGAAGTAGGAAGGGAGGAAGAGACAGGTTCATTTTCCAAGAGCAATTAATGAGCATTCCACATTCTGTACATTAACCAGAAAGCTTACTGTGGATAAAAAGCCTGGACAAGAGACCCAGTCAGCAGAGAGATCCACTTTCTCATTTTAGATCTACTCCCACTTACTGTGAGTTTTAGAAGTGCACGACCTAGGCGGGGCGTGGTGGCTCACACCTGTAATCGCAGCACTTTGGGAGGCCGAGGTGGGCGGATCACGAGGTCAGGAGTTTGAGACCAGCCTGGCCAACATGTGAAACCCCGTCTCTACTAAAAATACAAAAAATTAGCCGGTGTGGTGGCATGCGCCTGTAGTCCCAGCTACTCAGGAGACTGAGGCAGGAGAATCGCTTGAACCCAGGAGGCAGAGGTTGCAGTGAATGGACATCCGCGCCATTGTACTGCAGCCTAGGTGACAGAGCAACACTCCATTTAAAAAAAAAAAAGTGCACGACCTATCTGTATGTCCAGTTTCTCATTTTTGGTGGATGAATAATACCTTCTTGTGTCTCAATGACATTGTGAGAAAGGAAAATATTCAAAGTAATTAGGAAAGAGTACTCTGTAGAGATTTTATTGTTATTAATAATTTCCCAGACTGTGTTGGAAAAGTAAAAAGGCCATGGATGATATGCCATTTTTACCTTTTTATTAGAAACAGGGTCTTGCCACATTGCCCAGGCTGGTCTCAAACTTGGGGGCAAAAGTAATCTGCCTGCCTTGCCCTCTGGAAGTACGGGGATTACAAGCATGAGCCACCATACCAGGCCGGGAATTTCCTAAACTTTTCAAACTGTGGAGTGCAGCCCTCATTAGCCAAAGCTGATGGACCTGAGCATAATAATTTTTTTCCACAGAAAATTAGTAGAATAAAATAATTTTAGAGCTAGAAAGAACTTTGAAGATGATCTAATCCATTACCTAATTTTACAGATGAAGAAACTGAAACAGCAAGGGGTTCTAGACAGATAAAGGATTTGGGTGGCACTGTTGGAAAGCCAGAAGATTCTGATAACCATCAAGGGAAAATAATGTCTTTTAATAGTTCTTAATATTTAAACAAAACAGGTGATGGAAACTCATCTGCTCTTGAATGGGCTAAGTTATGTACCACCTGTCAGGGAAGAGCTAAATGGAAACTCAAGCTTTATTTCTCTTTGTCTTATTCCAGTTTATTCTTTGGGTTATATTACATCAGCCCTGGGAGTTCCAGAAAGAGATCATGGGAAGACCAAGTATTAGGAAAGAGTGCCTGTTCTGAGTCAAGGTAACCTGGCTTCTGCCACTGGCTCTGCCACTTACAAGCCACTGAGTGGCACACACTAGGTACTCAATAACTGCTTGATAAACAAGTCGTGGCACATCCCTGTAGTCCCAACTACTCAGGAGGCTGAGGCAGGAGGATCACTTGAGTCCAGGAGTTTGAGGCCAGCCTGGCCAACATCATGAGACCACGTCTAAAACAAGAAAAATCACACGAAGAGGAAATGATTTTTCTAAAGAACTAAATTATTAATGATTATAGAAAAGATTTCTCTCCTGTGGGTTATGGTAAAATGTGAAACTCTGTTGGGATACCTTTTTTTTGAGACAAGAGTCTCACTCTGTCGCTCAGGCTGGAGTGCAGTGCAATGGTGCAATCTCGGCTCAGTGCAATCTCGGCTCACTGCAACCTCTGCCTTGCAGTTTCAAGCCATTCTCCTGCCTCAGCCTCAGCCTCCTGAGTAGCCGGGATTATAGGCACATGCCACCATGCCCGGCTAATTTTTGTATTTTTAGTAGAGACAGGGTTTCACCATGTTGGTCAGCCTGGTCTTGAACTCCTGACCTCGTGATCCGCCCGCGTTGGCCTCCCAAAGTGCTGGGATTACAAGCACGAGCCACTGCACCTGGCTGGGATACTTTTTTTTTTTTTTTGAGACGGAGTTTCACTCTGTCACCCAGGATAGAGTGCTGTGGCGCAATCTTGGCTCACTGCAACCTCTACCTCCTGGGTTCAAGAGATTCTCCTGCCTCAGCCTCCCCAGTAGCTGAGATTATAGGCACCTGCCACCACGTCCGGCTAATCTTTTTTTTTTTTGAGACGGTGTCTTGCTCTGTCACCCAGGCTGGAGTGCAGTGGCACGATCTCAGCTCACTGCAAACTCCACCTTCCAGGTTTGTCATTCTCTTGCCTCAGCCTCCCAAGTAGCTGGGATTACAGGTGCCTGCCGTCACGCCAGGCTAATTTTTGTATTTTTAGTAGAGGCGGGGTTTCACTGTGTTAGCCAGGATGGTCTCCATCTCCTGACCTCGTGATGTGCCCGCCTCAGCCTCCCAAAGTGCTGGGATTACAGGCATGAGCCACCGTGTCCGGCCAATGCCTAGCTAATTTTCATATTTTTAGTAGAGGCGGGGGTTTCACTATGTTGGCCAGGCTGGTCTCAAACTCCTGACCTCAGGTGATCTGCCTGCCTCGGCCTCCCAAAGTGCTGGGATTACAGGCATGAGCCACTGCGCCTGTTGGGATACTTCTGGATTAAAATCCTATGAATATTTATTCTTCAGAGTGTTTTTTTTTCCTCCCCATTAAAATGTTTAAGCTTTGATATTTGCAGGAGTGGCAGAATCAGGTTTATAATATCTGCCTGCATCATTTTCAGGTGAGTGGAAATACTAAAAGTATATTAATATAGTAACAGTGGCAAAAGAAAGAAAGAAAAAAAATCATTGGTTTGACAGTGTGGTATATCAGCCCTTGGCTGCTACTTGACATAATCTTGCCAACATCACTCTCAAAGTAATTTCTCTTATTAATACAGCATAATCACCACCATATTCTGAACATGGATATTTAATATTGGAAAAACTATTTAAAGTATTTGATATATTTAAAGGGACAAGTTGATTTTTATGGAGCCAGTTGATATTAACCTATGCTGTTTTCCACTAAAGTGAATACCCTAGGGAATAAGAAAAGGAGAAGAGAGTTAGATATCCCTTTTAGCGGTCTCCTAGCCTAAAAAATTAAACATGACAGAATGTCATTCCACTCTCCAGAAAAAGATATTTGCCAGCACACAAAGCTATTTTAAAATCCCTATTTACCCCGGGTGTGACGGCTCATGCCTGTAATCCCAGCACTTTGGGAGGCCAAGGCGGGTGGATCACCTGAGGTTAGGAGTTTGAGACCAGCCTAGACAACATGGTGAAACCCCATCTCTACTAAAAATACAAAAACTAGCCAGATATGGGCCTGGTGCAGTGGCTTGCGCCTGTAATCCCAGCACTTTGGGAGGCCGACCTGGGCAGATCACGAGGTCAGGAGATCGAGGCCATCCTGGCTAACATAGTGAAACCGCATCTCTACTAAAAATACAAAAAAGAAAAAAACCCCACAAAATTAGCCGCGAGTGGTGGCCGGTACCTGCAGTCCCAACTACTCGGGAGGCTGAGGCGGGAGAATGGCGGGAACCCAGGAGGCGGAGCTTGCGGTGAGCCAAGATTGCGCCACTCCACTCCAGCCTGGGCGACAGAGCGAGACTCCATCTCCAAAAAAAAAAAAAAAAAAAAAAACTAGCCAGGTATGGTGGCACGTGCCTGTAATCCCAGCTACTCAGGAGGCTGAGGCAGGAGAATGGCGTGAACCTGGGAGGTGGAGGTTGCAGTGAGCCGAGATCGCACCACTGCACTCCAGTCTGGGCAACAAGAGTGAGACTCTGTCTCAAAAAAAAAAAAAAAAAAAAAACCTGAAAGCAGGCCGGGCGAAGGTAGCTCACGCCTGTAATCTCAGCACTTTGGAAGGCTGAGTTGGGTGGATCACCTGAGGTTAGGAGTTCGCGACCAGCCTGGACAACATGGTGAAACCCCGTCTCTACTAAAAATACAAAAAAAAAGCCGGGCGCAGTGGCTCACGCCTGTAATCCCAGCACTTTGGGAGGCTGAGGTGGGTGGATTGCCTGAGGTCAGGAGTTCAAGACCAGCCTGGCCAATATGGTGAAACCCCGTCTCTACTAAAAATACAAAAATTAGCCAGGCGTGGTGACAGACGCCTGTAATCCCAGCTACTCGGGAGGCTGAGGCAGGAGAATCGCTTGAACCTGGGAGGTGGAGGTTGCAGTGAGCCGAGATCGCACCACTGCACTCCAGCCTGGGCGACAAGAGTGAGAGGCTGTCTCAAAAAAATATATATATATATATAGCTGGGCGTGGTGGCGGGCGCCTGTACTCTCAGCTACTCAGGAGGCTGAGGCAGGAGAGTCACTTGAACCCAGGAGGTGGAGGTTGCAGTGAGGCGAGATCATGCCGTTGCAATCCAGCCTGGGAAACGAGCAAAACTCCATCTCAAAAAAAAAAAATCTGAAAGCATAGTACTGGTAGGGTTACTATATTTAGCAAATAAAAATACAGCATGCCCAATTGCATTTGAATTTCGGACCAGGCTCAGTGGCTTACACTTGTAATTCCAGCACTTTGAGAGGCCGAGTTAGGCAGATCATTTGAGCCCAGAGTTTGAGACGAGTCTGGACAACATGGCAAAGTCCCTTCTCTAAAAAAGAGAAGATACAAAAATTAGCCAAAAGGCTGGGCGTGGCGGCTCACAGCTGTAATCCTAGCATTTAGGGAGGCTGAGGCAGGTGGATCACCTGAGGTCAGGAGTTCAAGACCAGGCTGGCCAACATGGTGGAACCCTGTCTCTACTAAAATACAAAAATTAGCTGGGCATGATGATGGGTGCCTCTAATCCCAGCTACTCGGGAGGCTGAGACGGGAGAATCGCTTGAATCCGGGAGAGGGTGGTTGCAGTGAGCCGAGATTGCGCCATTGCACTCCAGCCTGGGCAGCTGAGCGAGACTCTGTCTCAAAAAAAAAAAAAAAAAAAAAAAAAAAAAATTAGCCAAATGTTGTGGTGCATCCCTGTAGTACCAGCTATTTGGGAGGCTGAGGTGGAAGGATCACCTGAGTCCAGGAGATCAAGGCTTCAGTGAGCTGTAATCGCCACTGCACTCCAGTCTGGACCACAGAGTGAGGCCTTATCTCAAAAAAAAAAAGAAAGAAAGAAAGAAAAAAGAAAACTTGTAATCTCAGCACTTTGGGAAGCCGAGGTGGGTGGATCACAAGGTCAGGAGATCGAGACCATCCTGGCTAACATGGTGAAACCCCGTCTCCACTAAAAAATACAAAAAACAAAACAAAACAAAAAAACAACCCAGCACTTTAGGAGGCCGAGGCGGGTGGATCACTGGAGGTCGGGAGTTCGAGACCAGCTTGACCAACATGGAGAAGCCCTGTCTCTACTAAAAATACAAAATTCGCCAGGCGTGATGGCGCATGCCTGTAATCCCAGCTACTCGGGAGGCTGAGGCAGAAGAATCACTTGAACCCGGGAGGCAGAGGTGGAGGTTGCGGTGAGCTGAGATCGCGCCATTGCACTCCAGCCTGGGCAACAAGAGTGAAACTCTGTCTCAAAAAATAATAATAATAATTGAATTTCAGATAAACAATGAATAGTTTTTAGTATTTAGTAACCTAACTTGTAACTATTGCTTTTTTTTTTTTTTTTTCTGAGACAGAGTCTCACTCTGTTGCCCAGGCTGGAGTGCAATGGCACAACCTCGGCTCACTGCAAGCTCTGCCTCCCGGGTTCACGCCATTCTCCTGCCTCAGCCTCCCGAGTAGCTGGGACTACAGGCACCCGCCACCACGCCCGGCTAATTTTTTGTATTTTTAGTAGAGACGGGGTTTCACCGTGTTAGCCAGGATGGCCTCCATCTCCTTGACCTCGTGATCCGCCTGCCTCGGCCTCTCAGAGTGCTGGGATTACAGGCGTGAGCCACTGCGCCCGGCAAACTATTGCATATTTTTAGTCTAAGCATGTGTCTAAGCATGTCCCATGAAATAGTTGAGACTATTTACACTAAAAAACTATTCATTTTATCTGCAATTCTAATTTAACTAGGTGTCCTGTTTTTTTATCTGGCCACCCTATTACTGGGGAAAGATACTTGGTCTAACTCCTTCATTACTCTGTAGAACAAGGGGCTCTAACCTGGCTGATGAGAACGTGCCCTTAGGGTTTACTACATGGAATTATAAAGTTATCATGATCATGGTAAAAGGAGAAGAACTGAGCCTTTCTTCTGCTCCATGGATTTCCATTCTGTCTCTCACACTATGAAAAGCATTTAAATATATTTCCAATTATTCAGAGTGGTAATAGATTAATCGTACTAAATAAAGAGAATATTTCATTTAGATCTCTAGGGTTAGGATTTGTTTAAGTAGGGGCTAAGAGCCTAGGATTAACCATATAGATGTATAAACCTAGAGAACTTGTTTCTCTTGCTAGGTTTGCTCTTCCTAGAGAGGAATGAACAGACTTGATTTCATAAAGCAGTTTGAGGACTTGAAAAATGCTGAATGAACATATTTTTTCCTGATGAAGTTATCACCCACAATGAAGTAACCTACAAAGGATGACCTCATTGTTTGGCTTTGTAGGACTTGTCATACTATGTCAGATCTCCAGGGTGGAAGCCTGACTAATGGAGGCTGGAGTACTAGTACTCCAGAGGTGGGTTGAAAACAGCAACTTTTCTCTGAGTCTGCTTTAAGCACTCATGGAAAGAGCATTTTTTTTACCATCATGATGCTGTGCTGCACAAGATTCTATTACCCTCATTTGAGCTGCCTGGTTATTCTAGCAATCAGATCTTTCTGTCTCCTTCCTGTTACCTGGCCTTGACACCAACTATCATGTGCCCTTTTTGCCTTGACTCCCAGGCATGCAGTTCTTCTTCCATTTTCTTTAACCCAAAATGCTAGAATATTGGAATTTCTAGGACATTTATTTACATGGGTTCTGATGACAGTGGAGAATATTTGCCATCAGGACTGTCCTGGAAAATCTAGGGTATGTGTGGTCCTCCTTGTCAACACTTGTCAACACATTTCAACACTTGTCCTCTGACAGTTATCTAGGACTGCTAGGATATTCAGAAAGAAGAGAGGCCTGGGAGTCAGAAATTCTTCTCATCATGGCTTTTAGTCATTGCTTTGCAGTTAACTCTGGGCAATGACTGCATCTATCTTTGTCCTACGTCAGTTTTTGACCCCTTGTATTTGAAGCCCCCTAAAACAATTATAAAGAATGAAACAATAGGAAGTAATCTTCAACTTACTTTGGCTATCCTTAAAATGTAAGTTATGA
This sequence comes from Homo sapiens, assembly GCF_000001405.40. Taxonomy (NCBI): domain Eukaryota; kingdom Metazoa; phylum Chordata; class Mammalia; order Primates; family Hominidae; genus Homo; species Homo sapiens. The sequence goes on along the minus strand of NT_187614.1, from coordinate 2,304,043 downwards.
ATCCTAGCGTTAGTAACATAGCACACTGGACTTCTTTACCATGAAGGGGAGGAAAAATTAGGGAAAACAAGGGCCTTAAAGATTTTACCATTTTAGGGCAGACACAGTGGCTCACATCTATAATCCCAGTACTTTGGGGAGGCGGGAGGATCGCTCGAACCAGGAGTTTGAGATCAGCCTGGGCAATATGGTGAAATCCCATCTCTACCAAAAAACTCCACACAAACTAGACGGACCTAGTGGTGCATGCCTGTAGTCCCAGCTACCTGGGAAGCTGAGGTAAAGGATCATTGAGCCTGGGAGGCAGATGTTGCAGTGAGCTGAGATCACATCACCACACTCCAGCCTGGGTGACAGAATGGGACCCTGGTATCAGCTCTAAGAACTGCAACTTGTACAATTCAAGTCTGAACCAAACCTGGATAGAACTAATGTTCTAATTTCTGGAAAAAATAAAAGGAGGTAGGGCTTATAAACTAAAGAAAACGATTTACCTTGTCAGACACCAATAATGGCACTTTTTCTGTAAAATAGTGACGCCTTTTTCTCTTCTTCCACCTCCTCCACTCCTTTGATTCTGTCACCCTCTCCTGCATCTACTGATATCCTCTTACATTGAGATAAGACAGTAATGAATCACTTTAGCAAAAGTACATAGAGCTAAACAAAGATGACATCGTTTGGCATCTCTTGGCACTGAGACACATTGGGATAGGGCACAACAAGAGTTCAGGGTTTCCTGATGTAGAGTTGCTAAAACTGTGGCCTCCACTTAACAGCTAATGTAGGTTTGGGGCAACAGGAATATAAATCTCTCTTGAATGGTTTATACTGTGCCTTTTTGCCTGAAGAATTTTGTCTTGGCCAGGCACAGTGGCTCAAGCCTATAATCTCTGCACTTTGGGAGGCCGAGGGGGCGCGGATCACCTGAGGATGGGAGTTCGAGACCAGTCTGACCAACATGGAGAAACCTCGTCTCTACTAAAAATACAAAATTAGCCAGGCGTGGTGGTGCATGCCTGTAATCTCAGCTACTTGGGAGGCTGAGGCAGGAGAATCGCTTGAACCCAGGAGGCAGAGTTTGCAGTGAGCCGAGATTGCACCATTGCACTCCAGCCTGGGCAACAAGAGTGAAGCTCTGAGTTTTGTTCTTTTTCTTTTGTGACCTGCCCTAATTCCTGATGTCAGGTCCCTAGGGTATTTGTGCTATGCCTCATTCTTAGTGACTTTATATTTTATACAGTGTGATTGCACTTTGAACTAAAATAGACCATATCCAGAAACCTGCCGGTGCAGGCTTCCCAGGGCTAAAGAGTATGAGCAGTTTGAATTGCTTTTTGTCTCTTTGCCTTTTTCTTGAATCAATTTACCAAAATAGAGATGTTACCATCAGATTTTTTTTCAAGGCACTAGATCCCAAAGGCTAGTCTCCGTGCCAAGACAATTTTTCTAAAGCATGTATATCTGAAAATGAAAGGATCTTAGATGCTTACCTTATGGTTTCTCTTTAGCTCTAGCATTATTTGTTTACTGGGGACACTATGACTTTTGGTTCAGTCCTATGAATAAGCAGGTCACAAGCCAATTTTTAGCTCCCCTTACACTTTTTAAGTATTTATTAATCTTGACTCCTATGCAAACTGTAGGGAGGCTGGCAGCAGAAGATTCTTATCCTTAGTTATTTATGTGGCTAAGACTCCAAGGCAAATTGCTCTCTCAAACTGTAGGGAGGCTGGCAGCAGAATATTCTTATCCTTAGTTATTTATGTGTCTAAGACTCCAAGGCAAATTGCTCTCATAAAATCACACCCCATGAGATGTGATTCTGCCAGATTAGTAGGCCTTAATGTCTTGGGTCTCTTCTCTTCACCCAACTCTTAACCTGGGTTAAGCTTATTCTCTTTGCTAGGCCTTGGATAGCACATTGGGTGAGGACTATTCTGATGTCAATTCTTCTTGTCAAGGATTTAAGAAGCAAACAGAAATAGAGCCAAGGATGGAGAAACTGAGGCCACCTGACTTGCCAAGCTGCGACTTCTAATCCTCTTGGCTACCCCACTGGTCTGGTTCAACCTGAGCTCGCACTGATTTTTTTGGATTTGACGTCAAGGCAAACATCATTGCAAACTCAATTCCAGCATGCCAGCTCCAGAGCACCGTAACCTTTAAAAACTTGGGATTTCGCCGGGCGCGGTGGCTCACACTTGTAATCCCAGCACTTCGGGAGGCCGAGGCGGGTGGATCACCTGAGGTCAGGAATTTGAGATCAGCCTGCACAACATGGTGAAACCCCGTCTCTACTAATAATAAAAAAAAAGCCAGGCATGGTGGCATGCGCCTGTAGTCCCAGCAACTCGGGAGGCTGTGGCAGGAGAATTGCTGGAACCCGGGAGGTGGAGGTTGCAGCGAGCCAAGATCGCACCACTGCGACAGAGAGAGACTCCGTCTCAAAAAAGAAAAAAAAAGACTTGGGATTTCAGGAGAAATGTTATAGTAGCATTCCAGAGGCCCACGCATCAGACACAGACATATGCACTCTTTGCAGCAGAGGGTATTGGCTTCACCCTATCATATAAGTTGGCTCCCTAACTTATATTCTGCAAAGCCCTGGTGGCTAATCCTTTACAACCAAACAGGTCACAGCCAAACAGGTCATCTCAGTTTGAAGATCATCAACAAAGGGGTTAGGTTTGCTCTTGTAGTTGTCACTCCCTTGGGATTGGTAAACAGACCTGCAGAAGTAGTTGTGAAAAGGGAAGCAGAAGTACTGAAAAAAAAAAAAAAAAAAGGAGGGCTAGAAAGGAAGTGAGAAAGGTGGAAATGTATGACTTTTTCAACTTCCTGATGGAAAGATACCAAGAGAAATAAAACTATGACCAGATAGGACCTTCCTTTGGCCACATTTTTATGTGCATAATGTCATATTGCTATCCCCACATAAATAAAACTATGTATCTATCCATCAATCTATCCAATCTATAGCTCACATATTATTATGACAAATTAAGTTATCCATCAGTATAGCAAACATTTTAAAGCATGTGAAATTAATCTACTTTCCTTTCATGAAGAACACAGGATGGGTAGGCAGCATTCCATCTACTCACATTTCCAACTGTCATTTCAACATCCATTTTAAGTTACGGAAGAGTCAAGGCTGGGACCTCATGGCATCATTTTCCATGGATTGCTCTCCAAGTTTTTGTGTTCCTGGCCTTTGGAACCCCTTCATCATATTCCGCAGGTAAGACACATATTAGTGGAATTCGAGTTATAATTTGTATGCTTGAAATTGACATTGAAGGCCATAATTTGTAAGTCAGAGAGGCTAAACAGTAACTGTAATGCTTTGTTTTGATCTAACTTGGTGGTTTTGTAATGGTTCTCTCAAACGCTCCACATCTTTCTCTTTCTGTGTTCCATAGCTGGGGTTTCTCTCCTTCCTGCCTGAATATTTTGCCTCCCTAATCCAATTCCTTTACATTATCTTTGCTCTGAAATACTTCTTTCGATGACTTACATTTGCTCTCTATAATTTTACTTCAACTTTTTACTAGTCCTGCTACAAAGACCATTCTCACATTAAGAAAATAATAGGCTTTTTTTTTGTTTTTTTTGAGACGGGGTCTCGTTTTGTCACCCAGGCTGGAGTGCAATGGCGTGATCTTGACTCACTGCAAACTCCACCTCCTGGGTTCAAGCAATTATCCTGCCTCAGCCTCCCAAGTAGCTGTGATTACAGGCACCCGCCACCACACCCGGCTAATTTTTTTGCATTTCTAGTAGAAACGGGGTTTCACCATGTTCGCCAGGCTAGTCTTGAACTCCTGACCTCAAGTGATCTGCCTGCCTCGGCCTCCCAAAGTGCTGGGATTACAAGCATGAACCACCATGCCCGGCCCAATAATAGGCTTTTTAAGAAATTCTCAAACCACTGGAGAAATCATACTTTTCTTTGAGATAAGCGTGCATTATGCCCATATCTGCTTTACAGATGGGGAAACTGAGGCAGAGAATTGCTAGGACTTGTTTTAGGTCATAAAGTCAGTGATGATATTGAAACTATTTCTTTTTGTGTCCTCATATTTGTCAGGCTAGTACTTGAAAACTGAAAACAATAGTGGCTCTGGCTAGAATGACTGATTGTTTTTTTTTCCTTTCTTTTTTTTTTTTTTTTTTTTTGAGACGGAGTCTCGCTCTGTCGCCCAGGCTGGAGTGCAGTGGCGGGATCTCGGCTCACTGCAAGCTCCGCCTCCTGGGTTCACGCCATTCTCCTGCCTCAGCCTCCCAAGTAGCTGGGACTACAGGCGCCCGCCACTACGCCCGGCTAATTTTTTTGTATTTTTAGTAGAGACGGGGTTTCACCGTTTTAGCCGGGATGGTCTCGATCTCCTGACCTCGTGATCCGCCCGCCTCGGCCTCCCAAAGTGCTGGGATTACAGGCGTGAGCCACCGCGCCCGGCCTTTTTTTTTTCCTTTCTTAAACTTTTTTTTTTTTTTTTTTTAAGAGACAGGATTTCGGCCGGGCGCAGTGGCTCATGCCTGTAATCCCTGCACTTTGGGAGGCTGAGGCGGGTGGATCACCCGAGGTTAGGAGTTCGAGACCAGCCTGGTCAACATGGTGAAACCCCCTCTCTACTAAAAATACAAAAAATTAGCTGGGCGTGGTGGCAGGCACCTGTAATCCCAGCTACTTGGGAGGCTGAGGCACGAAAATCGCTTGAACCCCCGGGAGGCGGAGGTTGCAGTGAGCCAAGATTGTGCCACTGTACTCCAGCCTGGGCAACAAGAGCAAAACTTTGTCTCAAAAAAAAAAACACAAACCAAACCAAAACAAACAGAGACAGGATTTCACTCTGTTGCCCAGGCTGGACTGCAGTGATGCAGTCATAGCTTACTGCAGCCTCAAACTCCTGGATTCAAGGAATCCTCCCACTTTAGCCTCCCAAGTAGCTAGGACTACAGGCATAGGCCACCACACCCAGCTAATTAAAAACATTTTTTTTTTTTTTTGAGATGGAGTCTTGCTCTGTCGCACAGGCTGGAGTGCAGTGGCGTGATCTCAGCTCACTGCAAGCTCCGCCTCCCGGGTTCACACCATTCTCCTGCCTCAGCCTCCCGAGTAGCTGGGACTACAGGCACCCGCCACCAAGCCCGGCTAATTTTTTGTGGTTTTTTTTGTATTTTTAGTAGAGACGGGGTTTCACTGTGTTGGCCAGGATGGTCTCGATCTCCTGACCTCGTGATCCGCCTGCCTCGGCCTCCCAAAGTGCTGGGATTACAGGCGTGAGCCACCGCGCCCGGCCAATTTTTTTTTTCTTTTTTTGTAGAGATGGGAGTCTCACTATGATGCCCAGAGTGGTCTTGAACTCTTGGCCTCAAGTCATCCTCCTGCCTCAGTCTCCCAAATCTTTGTTAACTTTTTATTGATATATATGGACTTCCATAGGTTTTTCATTTGCAGATTTTCAAAGGTGTGGTAAACAGAGAAGCCTAGAAGCCTGTTAAAAGTAGGGCTAAGGATCTTGGGACATTACTGACTTTCCCATTCCTTCTGAAGCACCATGGAGGGAAATGAATTTCCAAGGGCCCTTGTGTTCTAATTTCTGTTATTTCAGAGAAGCCTGTATGGAGCATATGTTAAGTGGTCATCCAGTCATATTTAAGGGAACTGTGTGTTACCTTCCATTCCTGTAGCCCAAGTTCTAAGTGTGGGTTTATTCTTGACTTGCTGCATTGGAATCTCTTGGATCATAGGACCAAGGATGGGGCCAAGTAAGGTTCTCTTCTTTCTCCTCAGCAGGATCAAAAATTACTGCTGCCATGAAGTCTGTGGCCCTAGTGTTTTGTTTTTGTTTCTGTTTTTGTTTGAGATGGACTTTCACTCTTGTTGCCCAGGTTGGAATGCAATGGCGTGATCTTGGCTCACTGCAACCTCTGCCTCCTGGGTTCAAGCGATTCTCCTGCCTCAGCCTCCCGAGTAGCTGGGATTACAGGCATGCAACACCACGCCCAGCTAATTTTGTATTTTTAGTAGAGATGGGGTTTCTCCACGTTGGTCAGGCTGGTCTTGAACTCCCAACCTCAGGTGATCCGCCCACCTTGGCCTCCCATAGTGCTGGGATTACAGGCGTGAGGCATGGTGCCTAGCCTGGTGTTTTGTTTTTAATCTTTTCTGTGATTTTATAAAAGAAAGTTGCCTCCAGTCTTAGGTTCACGTAGTTTCTCTATGGGGCACACATCTTGTACATACAGGAAAGGCTACAGACTGGGTAAAATATTGTCTCTTGGTTAATTGGTTAGTCAGCTCAATAATAATTGAGATGTACTTTGTGCAGGGTCCAGTACTGAGAGTAATAAAGGAATTAGGAAACAAGCTCTTACTAGTAGTACATCTTGCGAAGATACACATATAAAATAAATTTAAACACAATTATAGGCCGGGCACGGTGGCTCACGCCTGTAATCCTAGCACTTTGGGAGGCCGAAGCGGGCAGATCACCTGAGGTCGGGAGTTTGAGATCAGCCTGACCAACATGGAGAAACCCCATCTCTACTAAAAATACAAAAAATTAGCCAGACATGGTGGCGCATGCCTGTAATTCCAGCTACTCAGGAGGCTGAGGCAGGACAATCGCTTGAACCCAGGAGGCGGAGGTTGCAGTGAGCCGAGATTGTGCCATTGCACTCCAGCCTGGGCAACAAAAGCAAAACTCCATCTCAGAAAAAAACCAGAATAAAACAAAAACAACAACATAATTACAGAGTAACAGTCAGAACAAGTACAAATAAATCAGCAAAAGCCAGTACTTGTGAACTGATGGGAAAAGAGAGTTGGGTGGAGTTAGTCAATGAGGACTTTCTGGAAAAGGTGAGTGTTGAAGGAAGGGAGGGGCCCCGGTTTGCCGAAAAAGATGAGGAGGTCATACCAGCAATAATGCCTGAGCAATGGTAGAGAAGAGAAGAATGAGCAAGCTGTAAGGGCCAAGCATTAAACTGGTTAGCTTGTTAAGACTGGAGAATATATGTTAAAGGATAAGAAAAAACAAGTCTGGGAAAATGATAAGGACAGTTCATGGAGAGCCTTAAATGGTTATGAATTAAATTTGCTTTAACAGACATAATGAAAATAACATTTTGAGAAGCTGAGAAACAGACGAACTATAATAAAATACAACTGGAGAGTTAGGGCCAGGCGCGGTGGCTCACGCCTGTAATCCCAGCACTCTGGGAGGCCGAGGCGGGCGGATCACGATGTCAGGAGATCGAGACCATCCTGGCTAACACGGTGAAACCCTGTCTCTACTAAAAATACGAAAAATTAGCTGGGCTTGGTGGCGGGTGCCTGTAGTCCCAGCTACTCGCGAGGCTGAGGAAGGAGAATGGCTTGAACCTGGGAGGCGGAGCTTGCAGTGAGCCGAGATCGTGCCACTGCACTCCAGCCTGGGCGGCAGAGCGAGACTCTGTCTCAAAAACAAAACAAAACAAAACAAAACTGGAGAGTCAGAACAACAGGGAATCTGCTGCAAGATTCTCAGGAGAGAAAAAAAAAATGCCTAGGTCCTAACTGTGGCTCTACCAATTATTAGTGTATGACCTTAGGCAAGTCCTTGAATTTCTGTGTGCCTGTTTCCTCAAATGTGAAATGGGGATAATGGTGTCCACCTCACAGAGTTGTTGAGAATAATTAAATGAATTAATATATGAAAAGTGTTGGCCAGGCATAGTGGCTCACACTTCTAATCCCAGCACTTTGGGAGGCCGAGGTGGGCGGATCACTCGAGGACAGGAGTTCGAGACCAGCCTGGCCAACATGGTGAAATCCCATCTCTACTAAAAATACAAAAAAATTAACCGGGTGTGGTGGTGGGCACCTGTAATCCCAGCTACTTGGGTGGCTGAGGCAGGAGAATTGCTTGAACCCAGGAGGTGGAGGTTGCAGTGAGCCGAGCTCACACCATTGCACTCCAGCCTGGGCAACAAGAGCGAAACTGCATCTCAAAAAAAACCCAAAACAAAAGAAAAAAAAACAAAATGTTTAGTAAGCACTCGATAAACATTCAATTACAGTTAATTAAATTATTATTATATGGGCTGGGCGTGGTGGTTCATGACTGTAATCCCAGCCCTTAGGGAGGCCTAGGCAGGTGGATCACCTGAGGTCAGGAGTTTGAGACCAGCCTGGCCAACATGGTGAAACCCAGTCTCTACTAAAAATACAAAAATTAAAAAAAGAAAAAGAAATAAAAAGAAAAAAAGAAAAAATAAACAAGAAAAACAAAACAAAACAAACAAACAAATAAAACTAAAAATACAAAAATTAGCCAGGCATGGTGGCGGGCACCTATAATCCCAGCTACTTAGGAGGCTGGGGCAGGAGAGTCGCTTGAACCCGGGGGGCCGAGGTTGCAGGAGCCAATATCATGCCATTGCAATCCAGCCTGGGCAACAAGAGCGAAACTCCATCTCAAAAAAAAAAAAAGTGTTTAGTAAGCACTCGATAAACATTCAATTACAGTTAATTAAGTTATTATTATATGGGCTGGGCACAATGGTTCATGTCTGTAATCTCAGCCCTTTGGGAGGCCTAGGTGGGCAGATCACCTGAGGTCAGGAGTTTGAGACCAGCCTGGCTAACATGGTGAAACTCCATCTGTACTAAAAATACAAAAATTAGTCGGGCATGGTCGTGGGCGCCTGTAATCCCAGCTACTGAGGAGGCTGGGGCAGGAGAATTGCTTGAACCCATGAGGTGGAGGTTGCAGTGAGCTTAGATCACGCCACTGCACTCCAGCCTGGGTGACAGAGGAGACTCCAGCTCAAAAAAAAAAATTATTATATGTTATTTAAATTATTATTTCTCTGACCAGTAAGTGGTCATAGAACTACATATATATAAGAAAAGGCCCCATCTCACACCTTAGTTTGAAAGGATTGCAGATTTTCAATCTGCCTTTCTGAAAAGTATGTAGGATTCAGAGGCTAAGAGGCCAGGCCCAGAGTCCAAAATTGTGCTGCCCAGTACAAGAGCCACTAACCACACGTGACTACTGATCACGTGAAATGTGGATAGTCAGAATTTAGATGTGCTATAAATGTAAAATACACGCTGGATTTCAAAGTTGGTGTGAAGAAAATAAGTAAAATATCTCATTAATTTTTTTTTTTTTTTTGAGACGGAGTTTCGCTCTTTTTGCCCAGGCTGAAGTGCAGTGCTGTGATCTCAGCTCACTGCAACCGCCGCCTTCTGGGTTCAAGTGATTCTTCTGCCTCAGCCTCCAGAGTAGCTGGCTAGGATTACAGGCATGCGCCACCATGCCTGGCTAATTTTTGTATTTTTAGTAGAGACGGGATTTCACCATGTTGGTCAGGCTGGTCTTGAACTCCTGACCTCAGGTTATTCACCTGCCTTGGCCTCCCAAAGTGCTGGGATTACAGGCGTGAGCCACCGTGCCCGGCCTCATTAATATTTTTTATATTGATTACATGTTGAAATGATAATATTTTGGATATGTTGGGTTAAATAAGATGTGTTTTCATTTGTTTCCTTTTTACTTTTTTGTGATGTGGCTACTGTAAGATTTAATACTACCTAGTGGTTCACAGTATGTTTCTGCTGGACAGTACTGGTCCATTACAACATACTACATTCAGTTTTGGAAATTACAGGGTTCTATCTGAGAAATTTCTATAAAGAAATATGAAGATTATGGATAAATCTCCTTGCCTTTGACACTTTAAATAACATTTTTTAAATTGTTATTTCATTTTTATTTTTTTAGAGACAGGGCCTCACTCTGTCATCTGGAGTGCAGTGGCACCATTACAGCTCACTGCAGCCTCCATCCACCTCCTGGGCTCAAGTGATCCTCCCGTCTCAGCCTCCCGAGTAGCTGGGATCATAGGCACACGTCACCACACCTGGGCCCACTGTTTTTTTTTTTTTTGAGACAGAGTCTCGTTGTAGCCCAGGCTGGAGTGTAGTGGCGTGATCTTGGCTCGCTGCAACCTCCGCCTCCCGGGTTCAAGCGATTCTCCTGCCTCAGCCTCCCTAGTAGCTGGGACTACAGGCACATGACACTATGCCAGGCTAATTTTTGTATTTTTAGTAGAGATAGGGTTTCACCATATTGGCCAGGCTGGTCTCGAACTCCTGACCTCGTGATCCACCTGCCTCAGCCTCCCAAAGTGCTGGGATTACAGGTGTGAGCCACCGTACCTGGCCCTGGCCCCCCTTTTTAAAGATAATTTCAGTTACTATATATATATATATATATATATATATATATATATGCATTTATATATATACCTCCTCAATTTGCAAGGTATCTACAGAACTGAGAGAGCCACAGATAGTTCACCATTAAAGAGGCCATGATTGCTGAAGGATCTTTTAGTTTAAAAAGAAACAAAGATGAAAATGGGGAAAAGGTGAAACATCCCATTTTATTTTATTATTTATTTATTTTTTTTTTTTTGAGACAGAGTCTCACTCTGTCGCCCAGGCTGGAGTGCAGTGGCGCAATCTCGGCTCACTGCAACCTCCACCTCCCGGGTTCAAGCGATTCTCCTACCTCAGCCTCCCGAATAGCTGGGACAACAGGCGCCCGCCACCAAGCCCGGCTATTTTTTTTTTTTGTATTTTTAGTAGAGACGGGGTTTCACCATATTGGCCAGGCTGGTGTTGAACTCCTAACCTTGTGATCCGCCCGCCTCGGCCTCCCAAAGTGCTGGGATTACAGGCGTGAGCCACCGCGACCGCCCGAAACATCCCATTTTAAACATTAAATCATGGAAACAAAAATATAGTTTTTGAAATCACTCCCTCAAAAGTCCAGATCTCATTGGTTGAAGTAACCTAGATTATTAAAGGTTTTTTTTTTTTTTTTTTTTTTGAGACGGAGTCTTGCTCTGTCGCCCAGACTGGAGTGCAGTGGCGCGATTTCGGCTCACTGCAAGCTCCGCCTCCCGGGTTCACGCCATTCTCCTGCCTCAGCCTCCTGAGTAGCTGGGACTACAGGCGCCCGCCACCACGCCCGGCTAATTTTTTGTACTTTTAGTAGCGACGGGGTTTCACCATGTTAGCCAGGATGGTCTCGATCTCCTGACCTCGTGATCCGCCCGCCTCGGCCTCCCGAAGTGCTGGGATTACAGGCGTGAGACACCGCGCCCGGCTATTAAAGGTTTTATAACAAAACTTTCAAATCATCCTTTGAATTTGCTACTAACAGGAACTGAGGCCAGAGAGCCTCAAGTCAGGGCTTTTCGCTGACCTGGAGGCAGAATCCAGTTTGGGGTTTTGCTTGTAACTGGTATTTTATGCATGCGACCCTGGCTGAACTGACCAACTGCGTAGGCTTCAGTTTCCCGAGGGCCCCTTATGCCTTTCCTTCCTCTGATCAAGCCCTTCCCGGCTCCTTCCAGTTGGAAGGCCGCCCCCAGTCCTGAGCGGCGCCGACAGGTGCAGCGCCCGCCTCCCGCCCTGCGCTCGCGCGGGCAACCCTACGCCCTCCCGCCCCGCCGGCCGCGCCCTCGTCCTCGCCGCTCCGCCCTCTGCCCCGGCGTGCGCGCGCACTCCACGGGGGCGCGCCCGGCCGGCGGGGCCGCGCACGCAGCCGCCGCCACCACTTCCCCCTCTCCATCCCTCCTTGCTGGCCCTCCTCCCCTTCCCTCCCCTCCGCCCCCTTCCCCGTAGGCAGCTCGCCCGCCAGTCCGCCCGCACCGCCTCCTTCCCAACCCCTAGCGCTCCGGCTGGGTCTCTCCCCCGCCCCCCAGGCTCCCCCGGTCGCTCTCCTCCGGCGGTCGCCCGCGCTCGGTGGATGTGGCTGGCAGCTGCCGCCCCCTCCCTCGCTCGCCGCCTGCTCTTCCTCGGCCCTCCGCCTCCTCCCCTCCTCCTTCTCGTCTTCAGCCGCTCCTCTCGCCGCCGCCTCCACAGCCTGGGCCTCGCCGCGATGCCGGAGAAGAGGCCCTTCGAGCGGCTGCCTGCCGATGTCTCCCCCATCAACTGCAGCCTTTGCCTCAAGCCCGACTTGCTGGACTTCACCTTCGAGGGCAAGCTGGAGGCCGCCGCCCAGGTACAGCGACCCTCGGGCCCCGGGGCAAGCTGCGGGGCGAGCAGTTAGGCCGCGCCCGCGGGCTGGACTCAGGGCCCGGCCGGGAGGGCGGGCGGGCCTCGAGTCGGGGCTGGGCGGCCGCAGGGCGCCGGGTTCGGCGTGCTCTGCCTTTCTCTGTTGGGGCTGGGGCTGGGGCTGGGGCTGGGGCTGGGGCTGGGGCCGGGGCAGGGACCGTGGCCGGAGCTGAGGCTGGGGCTCGGGCTGAGGCCGCGCTGCGGGAGCTCTGGGGAGCCGGCGGCCCGGCCATTGCGCCCCTCCCCGGCGAGCACACCTGTGTGGGGCTTTCCCCCCCGCCCCGGACCCTTCTGGGCTTGATAGTGTTCCGGGGGAGGCTGGAGGGTGTTGGGGGAGGACGGAGAGGTCATGGGAGTCCCCGCTCTGCCTAACCACCTGACTCAGTTCTTTCTTTGGTTTCTCTCTACACCTCTCGGGTGATAGATTGGAGGGAGTGGTCATTTGGGACTCTGGCCGCCGCGTTGGAGCGAGGAGGGGAGCTTCTAGAAGGGCGGGAGAGGGTGAGAACGAGAATGTTAATCCTAGGCAGCCTCTCTGACTTCTCCCCGCCTGCTCCAGCCCAGGGGCTGGGTTTCCAAGATGATCCGCCCCCTCCCCCTTTCCCTCAAGTGACAGTGCAGCAGTGACTTTGTTCTCTCCTAACCTCTAGAGAAGCTGTGGGAGGACCCCATCTCCGCTTTTCCACCTATCTTCCTAGCTTTTCGGCCTTCGAAGCTGGTGGATTTATTGCTACCGTGATGGTTGCTTAGCAGTACCTTCCTCTCCCAAGAAGCTGGCTGGGCGCAGTGGCTCATGCCTGTAATCCCAGCACTTAGGGAGGCTGAGGCGGGCGCACTTGAGGTCAGGAGTTCGAGACCAGCCTGACCAACATGGTGAAACCCCCGTCTCTACTAAAAATACAAAAATTATCGGGGCGTGGTGGCGGGCCCCTGTAATCTCAGCTACTCGGGAGGCTAAGGCAGGAGAATCACTTGAACCCGGGGGGCAGAGGTTGCAGAGTCGAGATCGCGCCACTGCATTCCTGCATTCCAGCCTGGGCGACAGAGTGAGACTCCGTCTCAAAAAAAAAAAAAAAAAAAAAGGAAAGAAAGAAGCTATTAGTTATAACATACCACCGGTGAAAATATTCCATTACTCTTCACTGCAGTTTTTGGTGAATCATACTCCCCTCCCTCCTCCCGCAGCATTATCTGAAGTATTGTTTGATTTTGGAGACCATCAGTATAGATGCCCGACAAACATCCTGCACAATAGGCATTTATGATACTATGTAACAGGAAGCCTGTAATAAAAATGGGAACTGTTTGATAGTTATCTGTAAACAGAATGTTAGTAAATATATTTTGTTTCATTTCTTTTCCTACTGCAGTCTGGGGTCGGGGGAAATCAGTAGGCTCCCACCTTAAAGAACATGGTGTATATAGTAATGAAATGAAGTGAAGACTGGTGCTCGAATGAATTGAATGTTGGTAGTTGTCTTTGAAAACCAAGAGGGTACGGTACTCAGATTAAAAATATGTCTAAAAGTACAGAATTTAAAAGTATAGTTATCTATACTTTATACTTATCTGTGATAGATAACTATAGCTGTCACATTTGGGGCATTGGTGTGAAAGCAAGAGGGCTCTAGGATTTGGCAGCATCAAAAGGCAGAACTTAGTGAAAATCAGGTGATTTAAAATTTTTCCATTAAGAATATGAATCAGAACGAATGCATCTTGGGTCTAAATTAGAATTTGAGAAGGTTATTTGGGAAACTGTGGCTTAAGCCAAGTGACTAGAGTGTTTGATATATATTGGCAAGGGGCAGATGGGAGGGATTGTAAACAGTAGTGTGTCTTGTGACTTGGCAAACCTTTGGGAAAGAGAACCTAGTGATGAATGAGTTCGCATTATGTGAAAAGACTAACATTAAAAAAAACATTTGTTTCTTTACCCCATTAGTTGCCAAAATGGATTCATAATTTTTGGAGGCAGACATATTTTGGGAAAAGTCTAGAAAAAAGTACAGATTTTTAAATAATTACTTATTAAAGAAGTGAGTTTGATTTAAGTATCGGGATAGAACAACAAGCAGTGACATGTTTCTCCTTACCTCTTTTCTACTTTAGTGGAAGACTGGTTTGTGCCATTGAGTGAGCATATGGTAATATACTAGATATTAGCAGGGACTTGTTAATTTGATGCAAGGAAATAAATAAAAAATAAATAAATTTTGTAAGTAGCATGAACTTTTCAAAACACTTTTTTTCCAGAAATTCTTTTCAGGCTAGATGGCAACACAAAGATGATGCAATAGTGAATTCCAACAGGTTTTATTAAAGGATGATTGGACTTTTAAATTGTACTAATTGACATGTTTGGAAGGGTAAAAAAATTAACATTGGTAAGAAGTAAAAAGCATATATTAATGTTTTTGAAATCCATGAATTAGAGCAATACGTTTAAATTGTGGCATTAGGTGGTATCTTGTGGGAATTTTAAAATATTCACAAAATTCTTTTTTTTTTTTTGAGATGGAGTCTCGCTCTGTCGCCCAGGCTGGAGTGCAGTGGCACGATCTCGCCTCACTGCAAGCTCTCTGCCTTCCGGGTTCACGCCATTCTCCTGCCTCAGCCTCCCAGGTAGCTGGGACTACAGGTGCCCGCCACTGCGCCCAGCTAATTTTTTGTATTTTTAGTAGAGATGGGGTTTTACTGTGGCCTCGACCTCCTGACCTCGTGATCTGCCCGCCTCGGCCTCCCAAAGAGCTGGGATTACGGGCGTGAGCCACTGTGCCTGGCGACAAAATTCTTTTTTTTTTTTTTTTTTTTTAAATTTATTTTTTTACTGATAATTCTTGGGTGTTTCTCACAGAGGGGGATTTGGCAGGGTCATGGGACAATAGTGGAGGGAAGGTCAGCAGATAAACAAGTGAACAAAGGTCTCTGGTTTTCCTAGGCAGAGGACCCTGCGGCCTTCCGCAGTGTTTGTGTCCCTGATTACTTGAGATTAGGGATTGGTGATGACTCTTAACGAGCATGCTGCCTTCAAGCATCTGTTTAACAAAGCACATCTTGCACCGCCCTTAATCCATTTAACCCTGAGTGGACACAGCACATGTTTCAGAGAGCACAGGGTTGGGGGTAAGGTCACAGATCAACAGGATCCCAAGGCAGAGGAATTTTTCTTAGTGCAGAACAAAATGAAAAGTCTCCCATGTCTTCTACTTTCTACACAGACACAGCAACCATCCGATTTCTCAATCTTTTCCCCACCTTTCCCGCCTTTCTATTCCACAAAGCCGCCATTGTCATCCTGGCCCGTTCTCAATGAGCTGTTGGGCACACCTCCCAGACGGGGTGGTGGCCGGGCAGAGGGGCTCCTCACTTCCCAGTAGGGGTGGCCGGGCAGAGGCGCCCCTCACCTCCCGGACGGGGCGGCTGGCCGGGCAGGGGGACAAAATTCTTATCTGTAGAAACCTATATTTATGACTGATATTGGATCAGTTTCCTAACAGTTGGAATCACATAACACAAAATATGCAAGTTGCTTAGTTGCTTTAGTTACAAAATTTTACGATAAGCCCAGAGTATTTGTACAGGTTACATATTAGAAACTTAGTGGATTTATTTTATTTTTTATTTTTATTTTTTTGAGACGGAGTTTCGCTCTTTCTCCCAGGTTGGAGTGAAGTGGTGTGATCTCGACTCACTGCAGCCTCCACCCTGTCCCCCTGCCGGGTTCAAGTGAGTCTCCTTGCCTCAGCCTCCTGGGTAGCTGGGACTACAGGTGTGTGCCATCACGCCCAACTAATTTTTGTATTTTTAGTAGAGATGGGGTTTTGCCATGTTGGCCAGGCTGGTCTCGAACTCCTGACCTCAGGTGATCCCCTTCCCTTGGCCTCCCAAAGGGCTGGGATTATAGGCATGAGCCACCATGCCCGGCCAACTTAGTGGATTTTTAACCTGGCCTGGGGTGTGGACTGCTGCAGAAGGTGAAGAAATTAGTCCATGTTCAGTGATTTAAAAATTAGTTGTCTTGGCCGGGCACGGTGGCTCACACCTGTAATCCCAGCACTCTGGGAGGCCGAGGCGGGCGGATCACGAGGTCAGGAGATCGAGACCATCCTGGCTAACATGGTGAAACCCCATCTCTACTAAAATACAAAAAATTAGCTGGGCGTGGTGGCGGGAGCCTGTAGTCCCAGCTACTCAGGAGCCTGAGGCAGGAGAATGGCGTGAATCTGGGAGGCGGAGCTTGCAGTGAGCTGAGATTGCGCCACTGCACTCCAGCCTGGGCGACACAGCAAGACTCTGTCTCAAAAAAAAAAAAAAAAAAAAATTAGTTGTCTTTCACATTAGTGTGGTCTAGCTGGTTTTGAAAATTTGTTATTATACAGAAGTTTCTCTAGGCCCAAAATTTATTTCATTCCCTGTCCCCTCCCTTTACACTGGATACTTGAGAGCAGTGGACTTTTGTAGATATTTCATATTTTGATCCTCTCCGTTTGTGGATAATTAATTAAAATGAATTATAAGTTTATGTGTGTGACTACTATTTATGATTATGAGTGTGTAGTGGTTGGTACAATAATTGGGTATTCTTTTTTTTTTTTTTTTTTTTGAGATGGAGTCTTGCTCTGTCACCCAGGCTGGAGTGCAGTGGTGCGATCTTGGCTCACTGCAGCCTCTGCCTCCCGGGTTCAAGCAATTCTCCTGCCTCAGCCTCCTGAGTAGCTGGGACTACAGGCACGCGCCGCCATGCCTGGCTGATTTTTTTGTATTTTTAGTGGAGATGGGGTTTCACCATATTAGCCAGGATGGTCTTGATCTCCTGACCTCATTCCATCTTCCTCGGCCTCCCACAGTGTTGGGATTACAGGCGTGAGCCACCGTGCCCAGCTGGGCTTTCTCTTATGGAAATACTTTACCTGTGCCAGAGAAACTAAGTTTATCATTCAAGGCCAGAAATCAGGATATCCTAGCCAACCCCTGGCCTCTACTAACAAAATATTCATGTTGGAGATAACTAAATTGGCACTAAGTGAAGAGTTGCCAATATAGAAGTTTGTTTGGCATATTAAAAATTTGGCACCTGAATGGTTATTGTCAATTCTGTGTTACAAATTTTTTGCCCAAATTCTGCATATTTTCTCTTTTTTTTTTTTTTTTTTTTTTGAGATGGAGTTTCGCTCTTGTTGCCCAGGCTGGAGTGCAGTGGCATGATCTCAGCTCACTGCAGCCTCCACCCCCCCAGGTTCAGGCAGTTCTCCTGCCTTAGCCTCCCAAATAGCTGGGATTACAGGCATGTGCCACCACGCCCAGCTAATTTTTTCTGTTTTTAGTAGAGACGGGGTTTCTCCATGTTGGTCAGGCTGGTCTCGAACTCCTGACCTCCGGTGATCCACCTGCCTCAGCCTCCCAAAGTGCTGGGAT
Organism: Homo sapiens; assembly: GCF_000001405.40. Taxonomy (NCBI): domain Eukaryota; kingdom Metazoa; phylum Chordata; class Mammalia; order Primates; family Hominidae; genus Homo; species Homo sapiens. The sequence goes on along the minus strand of NT_187614.1, from coordinate 2,286,498 downwards.
GATGGGCGTGAGCCACCGAGCCACCGTGCCTGGCTTCTTTTTTTTTTTTTTGAGACGGAGTTTTGCTCTTGTTGCCCAGGCTGGAGTTCAATGGCGCGATCTCGGCTCACCGCAACCTCTGCCTCCCAGGCTCAAGCGTTTCTCTTGCCCCAGCCTCCAGAGTAGCTGGGATTACAGGCGCGCACCACCAAGCCCAGCTAATTTTTTGTATTTTTAGTAGAGAGAGGGTTTCATCATGTTGGCTAGGCTGGTCTCAAACTCCTGACCTCAGGTGATCCACCCGCCTTGGCCTCTCAAAATGCCGGGATCACAGGCATGAGCCACCGTGCCTGGCCATTTTCTGCATATCTTCTATGTAATCATTTTGGCCGCCACTGTGGCTCACTCCTGTAATCTTAGCACTTTGGGAGGTGGAGGTGGGAGAATTGCTTGAGCACAGGAGTTTGATACCAGTGTGGGCAACATAGCAAGACCCTGTCTCCAGGGAAAAAAAAAAAGGAAGAAATTTTCTTAAAAAAAATTCATATATATAAAATTAAATTCAAAATATTGGTGATAAGGAATTGAATTTGTTCAGATTTTCTGTTTTTTGAAATGTATCTATGAGGAAAGAAGTATAATAGTTTTGTATGCTAAGCTTTGTCTAATTCATCTGGCAATGAATTCTGCAGTGATTTTTCCAGATAACTGAAGTTTACCCTTTGAGGCCCTTAGACATTTTTAAAAAAGTTTACTAGGCTGGGTGTGGTGGCTCACGCCTGTAATCCCAGCACTTTGGGAGGCTGAGGTGGGTGGATCATGAGGTCAGAAGTTTGAGACCAGCCTGGACAACATGATGAAACCCCATCTCTACAAAAAAATACAACAATTAGCCGGGCGTGGTGGCACATGCCTGTAATCCCAGCTACTCGGGAAGCTGAGACAGGAGAATTGCTTGAACTCAGGAAGCGGAGGAGCGGAGGTTGCGGTGAGCTGAGATCACGCCATTGCACTCCAGCCTGGGTGACACAGCGAGACCCTGTCTTAAAAAAAAAAAAAAGTTGACTAATCTGAATGGAAATATTTCTAAAATACATTATCTTTTTATGCTTTGCAATTCCTCATAGTGTAGGTTTGTTTCATTGTTTTTTTTAAATACTGAACTTTATTCTGAACATCTCTTATTGACCCCAAACTATGTACTATAATTTATCAGTTTCATGTCTGTTTTTTTTTCTTTTTTTTTCTTTTTGAGACGGAGTTTCGCTCTGTTGCCCAGGCTGGAGTGCAGTGGCACAATCTCGGCTCACTGCAACCTCTGCCTCCCGGGTTCAGGCAGTTCTCCTGCCTCAGCCTCCCTAGTAGCTGGGATTACAGGCATGCACCACCACGCCTGGCTAATTTTGTATTTTTAGTAGAGACAGGGTTTCACCATGTTGGCCAGGCTGGTCTTGAACTCCTGACATCAGGTGATCTGCCTGCCTCCGCCTGCCAAAGTGCTGGGATTACAAGTGTGAGCCACCGCGCCAAGCCATATCTGTTCTTTTTTTTTTTTTTTTTTTTTGAGACAGAGTCTCACTCTGTTGCCTAGGCCAGGCTGGAGTGTGCAGTGGTGCGATCTCGGCTCACTGCAACCTCCACTTCCCTAGTTCAAGGGATTCTCCTGCCTCAGCCTCCCTAGTAGCTGGGATTACAGGTGCATGCCACCACACCTGGCTAATTTTTGTATTTCTGTAGAGACCAGGTTTCACCATGTTAGCTAGGCTGGTCTCAAACACCCGACCTCAGGTGATCCGCCCGCCTCTGCCTCCCAAAGTGCTGGGATTACAGGCATGACCCACCGCGCCTAGTCCATATCTGTTCTTTTTTTTTTTTTTTTTTTTTTTTGAGACAGAGTCTTGCTCTGTCGCCAAGGCCGGAGTGCAGTGGCGTGATCTCAGCTCACTGCAACCTCCGCCTCCCGGGTTTAAGCGATTCTCCTGCCTCATCCAAGTAGCTGGGACTACAGGCACCTGCCATCATGCCAGGCTAATTTTTGAATTTTTAGTAGAGAAGGGGTTTCACCATATTGGCCAGGCTGGTCTCGAACTCGTGACCTTGTGATCCACCCGCCTCGGCCTCCCAAAGTGCTGGGATTACAGGCCTGAGCCACCGCACCCGGCTAGCCTGTGTCTGTTCTTTAAAATTGTTTTGTTTTCCTTACTCTCAGATTCTTCTTGCTGCTTATTGTGCCTTGTTGCTGCCTGTTGTGCAATTTCTTCCCTCTTGTATTTTACTGAACTTCATCTGAAGAAGCCTTAGTAGCCAGATAAACAAGCTTGTTTGGGCTAAAAAATCAATTGCTGTGTGAGAGTTTGTTGGATTCTCTTCTGAGTAAAGGGTATGTGTTTTATTGTACGGACTTTGTATCACCTATTTTGGCTTTTCATCCAGGCCTTTTTTTTTTTTCTTTCTTTTTAGCTTCCTGGTTCTAGATACAACTGATACTCTGATACAACCTGGGTAAATGTGGTCTTGAGTAGTAAATTATCTGTGAAGCTTCTCCGAACTTTGCCACATAAATGAGCCTGCTCTTGTTGTGAAGTAAATCTTACTCTAATCTGTATGTGAGTCAGTGGGAAATAACTGAGCCTTCGGATGGCTTTTGTTGTTAACTGAGATTAGTTCTCTAGATTTTAGTGATTTTGTTTTGAACACCATACAAGTATGTGGTTCTTGGTTTATTTGGTCACTTGTAATCTCTTTAAAATTTTATTTTAAATTAGGAAGTATTTTAGAAATACAAGAAAGTCACACACTATGAGATTAAACAGATGTTAACATTTTGCCCCATTTTCATCAGACTGTGCATGCTTTTTTTGGGGGGGAATAAAATGTCACAGATACCACTAAAGCCCGTTTCCATCTCGTCCCACCCTGCCTCTAGAAGTAACTTCTTTCTTCAGGTAGGTGCGTATTATTCCTTTTTATTCCTACGTATAGTTTAAAACTTTAATTGCATATTAGTAGCCACAAACATCACATACCAATATTCTGTGCCTTTTGCATTTTTACATTAATGGTAATTATTTTTGACCTTCTGCAAATGGCTCTTTTCAGTGTTTCTTGTTAGAAAACTTGGCTCAACTTGAGTTTACTAATTATCTGCTTCTTCTTGTCTTTAGCTATTATAGAACTGTTCCACCAAGGCAACAATTATTGCTATTTTAATGGTGAAATCAGTTTTATTAGGCAAATTGACTCAGGCTTCAGACTGGCATTTGGAATTGTCACACTGGAGATTTTCTTTTACTGAAGTCTCAGGACATTGACAATCAGAAAAAAACCCTCTTGAGTCTTACTATCGTACATGTAAGATATGTTCCTGAGTGACTATAGTAAAGACTCATTCAGGAAAATGTTATCTCCGATTTCTGCCTCCCTAGCTCATAGGAAACTTCCATTGTAAAGTTGTTACCAGGCGTCAAGCTGCCTCTTTGGTACAGCCCTTACTTAGTATTTGGCTCAGTTGAAGTGCAGTCTATATAGGAGGCCAAGAAGACTTAATCCTGGGTTTGAAACAAAGCAAGGATACACTAACATTCTATCCTTTAATAACATCAAGTAGAAAAATTGAAAATGAGCTTGTTATCAGTGCACTTTTATATGCCAACCTTGTTTCACTTGTGTTTTAAACTGGGAAACTGAAGATTTTAATGCTGAAATTTCTTTGAATTATTACCTGTTTTTTTGATAGTGGAACACACAGCTAATATTTACTAATATGAAGGTGTCAAAGGTGAGAAATCATGTACTACACCATCAGGTCAGCACTACTGTTTGGAAGAGCAGCATCACAAAGAGCAGTGTTATACTGCGTTGTAGTCAGCACATACACTTATGTCCAGACAGATATTTTAAATTACCTTCTTGGGGTAGTACACATATGCTGATATCCAAAGTGCCATATAATACAATACATAGTTTTTAAACTTCATATCATTCTGATCAGAAGCTTTATAAACTGTTAGGTGAATGCTGTTAGATGATATGAGAGCACAATTTAACCTGTGTGTGTGTATATGTATGTCTTAACATCTATTAAGTGATGACTACATATGAGGCACTAAGTGCTAAAACAGAGACTTTACATAGATTATCCCATTATTGGTCAACTTTTTAAATAAGTGCATCTCTAATATAAGACAAGATGCTGACCAATTTTTAAAATGTGAATGGATTTCTATTTTTAAGATAAGTACCTTTGTTCCTTTGGTTCCTCCCTCCCACCCTTCCAGAAATGGTAGTATCCTGGAAAAAAAAAATTAGTAGCAATTCAAGAAACAGCTTAATTCATTAGTATAAATAGATGAGTTTCCCCTAAACACAGGAGGAGTTGGAAGGTACTTGAAATTGGATGTTGTGCATGGTGCCTTTCCAAAATGCACAAATACTTTCTCTCAAATGGTTGCAGTAGTAATGTGCTGTGTGATTTGGCATGTATAATGTTGTACAGGTATCTTGACATTGGTGGATTAACTGCTTGGCTACTGTGAAATTCACTGTAGATGTTGATGGATGAAAGTGTGGTTGCCTAGGTAATGATTAAGACCAGTAACTAAACCACAGTTATTATTTTGCTGGCATAAACTTCAAACTCAGAAAGGTTTTTATTCATTTTACCCATTGGAGCATACCCCAGTAAGTGCTTCATTTCTTTGTGTTTCTGATTTTTTTTTTTTTTAAGATGGAGTCTTGCTTTTGTCGCCCAGGTTGGAGTGCAATGGCGCGATTTCGGCTCACTGCAACCTCCACCTCCTGGGTTCAAGCGATTCTCCTGCCTCAGCCTCCCGAGTAGCTGGGATTACAGGTGCCTGCCACCACGCCCAGCTAATCTTTGTATTTTTAGTAGAGATGGGGTTTCACCATGTTAGCCAGGCTGGTCTCGAACCCCTGACCTCGTGATCCACCCACCTTGGCCTCCCAAAGTTCTGGGATTACAGGCATGAGCTGCCGTGCCCAGCCATGTTTCTGAATTTTTAAGTCAACTTCTGAATAGGCAAAGAATTCTTTTTGTTTTTTTGTTCAACTTTAGTGCTATAAATCGCCAGTTGGACACAAAGGTTTTAGTGCTATTTAGGTATGTTTTGGTGAAATAGTGTGAAGGAATATTGCTGCTTAAAAGATAAGCCATTCATTAAATGACGTCTTTGTTTTGAAACATGAAGACTTATGAGAAGCATTTTTTTTGTAAGCCAAAGTAGTTTCACTTTATGTGTTACAGATTTTGAATAGCTCATTATAGACTTTGTAATTTACTGTCTCTCATTTAGGCAGGTAATTTTAGTTGCCAGCTAATCATGTTTAAATATGTATTGGTTATTAATAAATGATTACCCGTATACAGGTCTTTCATGCAGATAGCGTACTACTCTGATGTTCTTACCTAGTTTTGTGGTATGTTCAGTTGTCTAAGAGCATTGTTGATCTGCACACAGATTTTGTTTGGTCTATACAGTGTTTCTGAAAACTTGAATTAGTTACCATTAATAAAAAATAGAGAGACTGCACATGAAATCTGAATTTGTAGCTTTTAAAAAAAAAAATTGGAAGATCAGGCCAGGTGCGGTGGCTCATGCCTGTAATCCCAGCACTTTGGGAGGCCGAGGCGGTCAGATCACCTGAGGTCGGGAGTTCGAGACCAGCCTGACCAACATGGAGAAACCCCGTCTGTACTAGAAATACAAAATTTACCGGGCGTGGTGGCACATGCCTGTAATCCCAGCTACTAGGGAGGCTGAGGCAGGAAAATCGCTTGAACCTGGGAGGCGGAGGTTGCGGTGAGCCGAGATCACGCCATTGCACTCCAGCCTGGGCAACAAGAGCAAAACTCCGTCTCAAAAAAAAAAAAAAAAATTGGAAGATCTGTCAGCACTAAACCTGCCAGTCACCATAGCGATAATTCTTTGGCTCCAAGAAATGGCTACCACCTCCTTCTTTTAAGGGGTTGTGCACAGCTTCCACATGGCTTGCTACACTTACCTGCCTCAGGAAGCATTTCTTTGTGATTTAGGGCATCTGTGTTTTTGTTATTTTAGATTTAGAACATTCAAATGTCTGGAAATGAATTTGAAGTTTTGTTTTAAGCAAGGTTATGACTAAATTGAAAAATGCACAAGAGGCCAGGCGTGGTGGCTGACGTCTGTAATCTCAGCACTTTGGGAGGCTGAGACGGGCGAATCACGAGGTCAGGAGTTTGAGACCAGCCTGACCAACAAGGTGAAACCCCATCTCTACTAAAAATACAAAAATTAGATGGGTGTGGTGTTGCACACCTGTAATCCCAGCTACTCAGGAGGCTGAGGCAGGAGAATCACTTGAACCTAGGAGATGGAGGTTGCAGTGAGCCAAGATCGCATCATTGCACTCCAGCCTGGGTGAGAGAGCGAGACTCCATCTCAAAAAAAAAAAAAAAAAAAGAAAAATGCACAAGAGTGTTAAACAAGCAGTTCACAGTGGAAAAACTTAATGGCGCGTGCACACACACACACACACACGAGAAAAGATGCATAGTAACCAATGTTATTAGTAATCAGGGAAATTCTGATTAAACCAATGGACTATCAGTACAAAAATTTTTTTTTTTAATTTTTGAGACAAAGTTTTGCTCTTGTTGCCCAGGCTGGAGTGCAATGGCTCAATCTAGCTCACTGCAACCTCCACTACCTGGGTTCAAGTGATTCTCCTGCTTCAGCCTTCCAAGTAGCTGGGATTACAGGCACGCACCACAGGCCTGGCTAATTTTTTTTTTTTTTTAGTAGAAATGGGGTTTCACCATGTTGGTCAGGCTGGTGTTGAACTCCTGACCTCAAGTGATCCACCCACCTCAGCCTCCCAAAGTGCTGGGATTACAGGCGTGAGCCACTGTGCCTGGCCAGGACTATCATTTAATACCCATTAGATTGTCAAAAATACTAAAGTTTTTCAGAACATGCTGAAAGTGGGATTTCTTCATTCTTTGCTCATGGGAATGTCAGTTGACACCACTCTAGAGGATAATTTGGCAGTTCTTGGTAAAGTTGAAGATTTATGTCCAACAATCCAGAAAGTCCACTATTAGGTTCCTTTCCATGGAAAAATTCTCTCATGTGTGCACAGGAAAACATGGACCAAGATGCTAGTTTGTTTGTTTATTTATTTATTTATTTATTTTTGAGACAGAGTCTTGCTCTGTTGCTCAGGCTGGAGCGCGGTGGCACAATCTCCGCTCACTGCAAGCTCCGTCTCCCAGGTTCACATCATTCTCCTGCCTCAGCCTCCCGAGTAGCTGGGACTACAGGCACCTGCCACCATGCCCGGCTAATTTTTTGTATTTTTAGCAGAGACGGGGTTTCACCATGTTAGCCAGGATGGTCTCGATCTCCTGACCTCATGATCCGCCTGCCTCGGCCTCCCAAAGTGCTGGGATTACAGGCGTGAGCCACCGTGCCCGGCCTTAATTTTTGTATTTTTAGTGGAGATGGGGTCTCTCTACTCTCTATGTCAGCCAGGCTGGTCTTGAATTCCTGGCCTCAAGTGATCTGCCTGCCTGACCCTCCAAAAGTGCTAGGATTACAGGTGTGAGCCACCACACTCGGTGGTAAGAGTTATTGTATAAAGTTTTGACATAATTTATAGTATCAGCCTTCTTCCTCTATCCTCACAGAAGGCCTCATGGTGAGTTTGATGTGCAGGTTAAAATATATAATTATTGCAATATGTTGTAAGAAATGTTTCCTAATTAAGATTTTTATGAAATTAAACGTATTTATTTATTTATTTTGAGATAGAGTTTCACTCTGTTACCAGGCTGGAGTGTAGTGGCAGGATTTCAGCCCACTGCAATCTCTGCCTCCCGGGTTTAAGCAATTGTCGTGCCTCAGCCCCCTGAGTAGCTGGAATTACAGGCCTATGCCACCTTGCCTGGCTGATTTTTGTATTCTTTTTTTTTTTTTTGAGACGTAGGCTCACTCTGTCGCCCAGGCTGCAGTGCAATGGTGCGATCTCGGCCCATTGCAAGCTCACCTCCTGGGTTCAAGTGATTCTCCTGCCCCTGCATCGTGAGTAGCTGGGATTACAGGTGTGTGCCACCAGACCTGGCTAATTTTTAGTAGAGATGGGGTTACACCATGTTGGCCAGGCTGATCTCAAACTCCTGACCTCAAGTGATCCGCCTGCCTCGGCCTCCCAAGGTGCCAAGATTACAGGTGTGAGCCGATGCCCCCAGCCTATTTTTATTTTTTGAGACAGAGTCTCACTCTGTTGTTCAGGCCGGAGGTCAGTGATGTAATCATAGCTCACTGCAGCCTTGCTTGACCTCCTGGGCTTAAGGGATCCTCCTCCTTCAGCCTCTCCTGTAGTTAGGACTATAGGTGGGTACCATCACACCCTCCTAATTTAAAATTTTTTTTTGTCTCACTGTGTTGCCCAAGCTGGTCTTGAATTTTTGACCTCAAGTAATCCTCCTGCCTCAGCCTCCCAAAGTGTTGGGATTACAGGCATGAGCCACTGTGCCCAGCCCTTTAATAGTTTAAAATCAAAGTTTAAGTAGAAAACATTATTTTATTTGGCTCATTGGTTAGATGTAAGTGATGTGAAATACTTAAACATCCATTATTGTTTTTAATATAATTTGGAAAATATGAGTTGCTTTGGATTATTACAACTTCATTTATTTGTACCATTGATGCATAAATTCTCAGTCTAGGTTTTAGCGAAGTCTGGATTTTAAAAAATTGACTGTGATATTAGTTCAAGTCTTACGAACATCATTATTATTATTATTTGAGAGACACAGAGTCTTGCTCAGTTGCCCAGGATGGAGTGCAGCTGCACAATCACAGTTTATTGCAGCCTCAACCTCCTGGGCTCAAGCAGTCCTCCCACTTCAACCTCCCGAGTAGCTGGGACTATAGGCACACATCACAACTCCTGGCCAATTTTTGTATTTTTTGTAGAGATGGGGTTTCGCCATGTTTTCCAGGCTGGTCTCAAACTCCTGGGCTCAAGCGATCCTCTTTGCTTAGCCTCCCAAAGTGCTGGGATTACAGGTGTGTGCCAACACACCTGGCCAAGTTGTATATACTATTAATCTAGGCTATTTCTGACACTGTTGATTTTCCTTTTCCCCTTAGGTGAGGCAGGCGACTAATCAGATTGTGATGAATTGTGCTGATATTGATATTATTACAGCTTCATATGCACCAGAAGGAGATGAAGGTAAGAGCTGTTTTCCATTTTAATTTGCTGTCTGCATGTGCATATGTGGGGGGTGTGTGTGTGTGTGTGTGTGTGAGAGAGAGAGAGAGAGACATTTTCAGGTTAAGACTTCAGTGTTTGTTACTTTAGAAATGGGTAAATTCAGCTGGGTGAAGTGGCTCACGCCTATAATCCCAGCACTTTGGGAGGCTGAGGCGAGCAGATCCCTGAGCCCATGAGTTTGAGACCAGCCTGGGCCACATGGCGAAACAAAAACAAACAAACAAACAAAAATATTAGCTAGGCATAGTGGTGCGTGCCTGTAGTCCCAGCTATTTGGGAGGCTGAGGTGGGAGGATCTATTGAGCCCAGGTGGCCGAGGCTGCAGTGAGCCATGACTGCGCCGCTGCACTCCAGCCTGTGCGACAGAGTGAGACCCTGACTCAAAAAAAGAAAAAGAAAAAGGGTAAAATGTTTATGGGAAATATTGAATAGTATAACCTAACAGTATTGTGAAATAAATGTCACAATTTATTTTACTTTTAAATTTATTTTTATTTTTATTTTTTTTGAGACAGAGTCTTGCTCTGATGCCCAGGCTGGAGTGCAGTGGCATCATCTAAGCTCACTGCTATCTCTGCCTCGTGAGTTCAAGCAGTTCTCCCTGCCTCAGCCTCCTGAGTGGCTGAGATTACAGGTGTCCACCATCATACCTAGCTAATTTTTGTATTTTTAGTAGAGACAGGGTTTTGCTATGTTGGCCAGGCTGGTCTTGAACTCCTGATCTCAGGTGATCTGCATGCCTCCCAAAGTGCTGGGATTACAGATGTGAGCCACCACACCCGGGCAAATGTCACAATTAAAATTCCACTTCCAAGATTAACTTATTTTGTGGTACTAGGGAAATCATATTTTCATAAGTATAAAATGAATATAATACGCATAATAAAGCTGATGAGTTATTTGAAAAATTAAGTACTTTGAACATGAAAGGCTCCTCAAAGAGGCTTCGTTTTTATGTTTTTCTTAAAGTTTTTTTTTCTTTTTGTACTATAGTTTAAAATTGAGATAAGTCATACTCCTAATTCAGAGAAAAACATTTGCTTTATGAGACAATATGAAGATTAGAAGCTAAATAATGGAGTTAGTTACAGGGGAAGAACATGCTAAAAAGAAACATGGTATAGAATGTGGAACTCGATTAGTGTCTATAAAATGAGAACTGTTTTATTTTATTTTATTTTATTTTATTTTTTATTTTTTTTTGAGACGGGGTCTCGCTCTGTCCCCCAGCCTGGAGTGCAGTGGCGCGATCTCGGCTCACTGCAAGCTCCGCCTCCCGGGTTCACGCCATTCTCCTGCGTCACCCTCCGGAGTAGCTGGGACTACAGGCTCCCGCCACCACGCCTGGCTAATTTTTTTGTATTTTTAGTAGAGACGGGGTTTCACCGTGTTAGCCAGGATGGTCTTGATCTCCTGACCTCGTGATCCACCCGCTTCGGCCTCCCAAAGTGCTGGGATTACAGGCGTGAGCCACCGCGCCCGGCCGAGAACTGTTTTAGACCTTATAATTTTAGTATGAAAGTAGTCCGTTTTGACTGGAAATCTTATTCCCGTATGAGCTGATTTTTAAATAGATACCAAGTTTGGCATAAACTCTTACAAGTACATCAGTATTGGAGCTGGATTGCTTTTTACTTTTTTTTTTTTGAGAGAGTCTCGCTCTGTCACCCAGGCTGGGGGGCAGTGGCATGATCTCAACTACCACAACCTCTGTCTCCTGGTCTCAAGCCATCCTCCCACCTCACCCTCCCAAGTAGCTGATATTACAGGCGTGTACCACCATGCCTGGCTAATATTCGTATTTGTATTTTTTTATAGATATGGGGGGGGTCTTCCTATATTGCCCAGGCTGGTCTTGAACTCCTGGGCTCAAGGGATCCGACCTCTTCGGCCTCGCAGGTTGCTGGGATTACAGGCAAGAGCCACCACACCTGGTTGCCTTTTTACTTTTGATTTCACCTAGACATTCCTTGTCAAAATGGTTATTGGTTACTCTGAGACTTCTTTAATAAAAAATAATTTAAGGCCGGGCGCAGTGGCTCACGCCTGTAATCCCAGCACTTTGGGAGGCCCAGGTGGGCGGATCACAAGGTCAGGAGATAGAGACCATCCTGGCTAACTCGGCGAAACCCTGTCTCTACTAAAAATACAAAAAATTAGCCTGGCGTGGTGGCGGGCGCCTGTGGTCCCAGCTACTCGGGAGGTTGAGGCAGGAGAATGGCGTGAACCCGGGAGGCGGAGCTTGCAGTGAGCCGAGATCGCGCCACCGCACTCCAGCCTGGGCGACAGAGCGAGACTCCGTCTCAAAAAAAAAAATAAAAAAATAAATAAAATAAAATAATTTACACATTTGATCTTTTAACTTACATTTTATATTTTGATTTCCTCTCTCCTTTACATTATACTGAAAAGAAGTTTCATTTTAAGGCCTCATAACATTTATGATTTTTTCTTAAACTATTTTGTCTATAGGAAGTCAAAGTAGTAGCAGTTGAACATACTGTTCCGAAGAAGTACTTAAGTTCAATTGATTGTAAATTAGATCAAACTGCTGGAAGAACAGATTCTTCAAATGGACTTGAATGAGTGCCACTTTTAAAAAATTGTCTGGTAAATGAAAGAGTGATTATTTAATTTCTTTAACTGTGGAGAAAAATAGAAGTACTTTAGCCAGGTATATCAAAGCAACAAGGCTTTCTTTGTTGCAGGTAGAGAATGTTTAAATTCGATGTGTGGTTTTAAAGTGGTATGTAGATAGGTAGATCTAGTAATATAAATGTGTACCTTCCAGCTGGCATGGTTTCAGCTCAAGTTTGTTTTTTATCTTCCTGTACTAAAAATGTCGGGATAGAATTCAGGTGACTGAAAAGTTCTTTTTTTTTTTTTTTGAGATGGAGTCTAGCTCTGTCGCCCAACGATCTCAGCTTGCTGCAACCTCCACCTCTGGGGTTCAAGCAATTCTTCTGCCTCAGCCTCCTGAGTAGCTGGGATTACAGGCGTGTGCCACCACACCCGGCTAATTTTTGTATTTTTAGTAGAGATGGGGTTTCACCATGTTTGTTAGGCTGGTCTTGAACTCCTGGCCTCGTGATCCACCCTCCTCAGCCTCCCAAAGTGTTGGGATTACAGGCGTGAGCCACCGCGCCCGACCTGACTGAAAAGTTTTGAATATGTGTAACCGAATGTTGCTAAGCTCATAATGATCTGTATCTCACGGAAGCCCAGTTAGTGTTCTTACTAAGAGAGTCAGGAGAGAAATGAAAACTTAATGGAAAAGAAGATTTGAAGAGAGATTCTGATAAAACATTAAATTATTTTAGATACATAATATATATTCAGTGCTGGGTGCAGTGGCTCACGCCTGTAATCCCAGTACTTTGGGAGGCTGTGGTGGGTGGATCATGACGTCAGAAGTTCAAGACCAGCCTGGCGAAGATGGTGAAACCCCATCTCTACTAAAAATAAAAAAATTAGCTGGGTGTGGTGGCGGGTGCCTGTAATCCCAGCTACTCAGGAGGCTGAGGCAGAGAATTGCTTGAACCCAGGAGGCAGAGGTTGCAGTGAGCCAGGATCGTGCCACTGCACGCCAGCCTGGGTGACAGAGACTCTGTCTCAAAAAAAAAATATTTTCCTTCAGAACTAGCTAAGGTACATTTCTCAACACTTTTCTACCACAGCAACAGGAAAAAACCTGAAGTCATGTGTAAGCCCATGTAATTTTAGAGTTTAAGAGAATGGGAAGTTGTATGAGTTGTTAAAGTTTGAATTGGGGGCAGCCAGGTGTGGTGGCTCACACCTATAATCCTAGCATTTTGGGAGGGCTAGGTGGGCGGATCACCTGTGGTCAGGAGTTTGAGAACAGCCTGGCCAACATGGTGAAACACCGTCTCTACTAAAAACACAAAAATTAGCTGGGCGTGGTGGCAGGCACCTGTAATTCCAGCTACTTGGGATGCTGAAGGCAGGAGAATCGCCTGAACCCGGGAGGTGGAAGTTGCAGTGAGCGGAGATTGTGCCACTGCACGCCAGCCTGGGCGACAGAGCAAGACTCTGTCTCAAAAAAAAAAAAAAAATAGTTTGGATTGGGAACAGGGATAGATTTGGGCTTCCACATGTATGTATGTGTGTGTGTGTGTGTGTGTGTGTGTATATATATGTAATAAAAAAGATAAAAGTAAAATCAGAAAATTACTTTTAAGGCATGAAATTGTTGCTTCTTTTAATTTTTTTTTTTTTTTCTTTTTGAGATGGAGTCTTCACTCTGTCGCCCAGGCTGGAGTGCAGTGGCGCAGTCTCGGCTCACTGCAAGCTCTGCCTCCCGGGTTCACGCCATTCTCCTGCCTCAGCCTCCCCAGCAGCTGGGGCTACAGGCGCACGCCGCCACGCCCAGCTAATTTTTGTATTTTTAGTAGAGACGGGATTTTACCGTATTAGCCAGGATGGTCTCGATCTCCTGACCTTGTGCTCCGCCCGCCTCGGCCTCCCAAAGTGCTGGGATTAAAGGTGTGAGCCACCGTGCCTGGCCAATTGTTGCTTCTTTGTGTAAGTTTTTATTTGAAGAAAAAGGCCATTTTTTTGTGATATGTGCAGTCATCCTAAAAGACCTATGGGCATGTGTCTGTTTTTTTTTTTTTTTTTTTTTTTGAGATGGAGTCTTGCTGTATTGCCCAGGCTGGAGTACAGTGGCGCAGTATCGGCTCACTGCAACTAGTAGAACTTTTTTTTTTTTTTTTTAAAGAACTTGTTTTAAAATAATCCTTAATAGGCTTTTATTAACTCTGTTTGGATATTAGTTATGTACCCTTTTCTCTTTGCAAAAATGAAAAATCATTTCAAGTAGAAATTAAAGGTTTGTTTCTCATCCCTTTCTTTAGATATAGTAACAGTTATACCAGATATATATATATATATGTTTTTTTGTTTTTTTTTTTTGAGACAGAGTTTCACTCTTGTTGCCCAGGCTGGAGTGCAATGGCATGATCTTGCTCACTGCAACCTCTGCCTCCCAGGTTCAAGCAATTCTCCTGCCTCAGCCTCCCGAGTAGCTGGGATCACAGGTGTGCACCACCACGCCCAGCTAATTTTTGTATTTTTAGTAGAGACAGGGTTTCACCATGTTGGCCAGCCTGGTCTCGAACTCGAGACCTCAGGTGATCCACCTACCTCGGCCTCCCAAAGTGCTGGGATTACAGGCATGAGCCACCACGCCCGGCCCAGTTATACCAGATATAAGCAAATTTGCTAGTAGTTTAGATTTCTGGAATTGTGCCAACTACACATCAAGAGACTATTTAGCTTTGTTACAGAAGTCAGTATCAGTTTCTTGTTATAAGATGAGACCTGGTTTTACAGACTTTTCTATTTCTCAATGGAACTTTACTCTGAAGATATACTCTTCCATTTAAATACTAGTTCCAAAACCTACATTATATGGTGGCTGCTTAATAAACATTTAACATTTTGGTTAATTTAAATCTTGTTGATGTGTATACATGAATAACTGGGCTAAAAGCAGATACCTTTGATTATTGTGAAACTTCAAGTAAATATTGTGTGAAAAGGACCCCTTCTGTCTCACAAATTCTGGCCCTTCAGCTCATTGTCTGAACAGTGATTCCCTTGCATATAATAAATTCCCTTGGCTTATATATAATAATAAATGAAGTTTATTATTTATTTGAACTTTTTACCCCTGTAAATACCAAGGTTCTTTTTGCCTAAGTGGTAATTTGTGTCATTCAAAGAGTTTTTATTAAATATTATTATTATTATTTGAGATAGAGTCTCACTCTTATTGCCCAGGCTGGAGTGCAGTGGCACTATCTCGGCTCACTACAGCCTCCGTCTCCTGGGTTGAAGCGATTCTTGTGCCTCAGCCTCCCAAGTCGCTGGGATTACAGGTGTGTGCCACCAAACCTGGCTAATTTTTAAATTTTTGTAGAGATGGGGTTTCCCCATTTTGGCCAGGCTGCTCTCAAACTGTTGACGCCCACCTTGGCCTCCCAAAGTGCTGGGATTACAGGTGTGAACCACTGCACCAGACCTTAAATACTCTGTTTAAGTGATAGTTTGATAAGTGTGAACGCAAGTCTGAAATAGGTTTCTTTGCTTGTGAGAAAGTATAACGAATTGCCAAGACAATAGTGACAAACAGAGGGCATATTTTTCAAAGAGGAAGAGTTTATATAGTGTTAACATTAAGACAAAAGTCTTAAGTTTCTAATTTCTGATCTTGTTTGTTGGGATTTCTTTTTTTTTTTTTTTTTTTGAGACAGGTCTTTCTCTGTCATCCAGGCTGGAATGCAGTGGCACAGTCATGGCTTACTGCAGCCTCCTGGGCTCAAGTTACTCTCCCACCACAGCCTCCCGGAGAGCTGGGATGGCAGGCATGTGCCACCACACCTGGCTAATTTTTTAATTTTTGTAGAGATGGGGTTTTGCAATGTTCCCCAGGCTGGTCTCAGACTCCAAGACTCAAGCAGTCCTCCTACCTCAGCTTCCCAAAGTGCTGGGATTACAGATATGAGCCACTGTGCCTGGCCCTTGTTTGGATTTCTATGCTTATCTGTGAAGTATATTCTGGTTTCTATGCAGGATAGATCCATTCTCAAATAAACAACCCTTAAGTATCATTAGTTCAAACTGGAGCCAAATAAATGTCAGCATTAGAAGGAGCAAGTGATAGTTAGCCAGCCCCTTTATTCCTTTTTAGTGCAAATCAGAGATAAAGAACATGAAGTTTGCAGTGTATTTGCATTCTTTCATTTTTACATTTGTTGGTTTTGAATAATATTGAGGGGCTGTCTGATAAAGAACCTGTGTAGGTTTCCATATGGCTATATACAAAGTATATGAGCGTAGAATAGTTTTAAATTTTGTCTTAGTTATACTTGGTAAGTTTTAAAACGTTATTTAAATAGCCTTAAGGTGATATGGATTGCTTTAGTGACTGCTGTTTTAGGAATTTAGTTGGCTTATTGCTGACTATAGAGGGAACGTTTTATCTTCTTTTTAACCTCCAGTTCAGGTTAGGTGTCTAACCAAGTGAAACATTTTTCATAATATAATGTTTAATAGTGATAATTATAAAAATAATGATGAGTTTAGTGTTTACTCTATACCAGGCACTAAGTGCATTACCTGTTCATATAGAGAACAACCGTAGGCACAGAGAGGGTATCTACTTTAGGTAATAAAACTGATAAATGTTAGAGCCAGGATTCAAACCCAGGCGGTTTGGATCTAGGGTCCATGTACTTGCCACTCTATTGCTTGTCATTAATGTAACCACACCATATTGCAATTATTTGTTTGTGTCATGTCTGTACTACTTTTCAATGGAATCTTAAGATCCTTGAGGGGCCGGGCATGGTAGCTCATGGCTGTAATCCCAGCACTTTGGGAGGCCGAGGCGGGCGGCTCACCTAGGGTCAGGAGTTCAAGACCAGCCTGGCCAACATGGTGAAACCTCGTCTCTACTAAAAAAAAAAGTACAAAAATTAGCTGGGTGTGGTGGTAGGCGCCTGTAATCCTAGCTACTCGGGAGGCTGAGGTGGGAGAATTGCTTGAACCTGGGAGGCAGAGGTTGCAGTGAGCCAAGATCACGCCATTGCACTCCAGCCTGGGGGACAAGAGACTTCTACTCAAAAAAAAAAAAAAAAAGATCCAGTAATTATGATTCATTCTTTTTCATTTGTGGTTTTCCCTGGTATCTGACATATAGTAGGGATTTAATAAATATACATTGAATGAAACGAAGAAAATCTAGATAAATGGAGTAAGTCTGTCATACAGTAGTTCCTCCTTATCTATGGCAGATGTGTTCTAAGACCCCCAATGGTACGCCTGAAACCACAGATAGTAGCAAAACTTATATATGCTATGTTTTTCCCTATACATATGTACTATGATAAAGTTTAATTTTTACATTAGAAATAGTAAGAAATTAACAAAAGCTAATAAAAAATAGAACCATTATAACAATATACTGTAATAAAAGTTACATGAATGTTGTGTGCATCTCTCTCTCTTTTCTTTTTTTTGAGACTTTGCTCTGTCGCCCAGGCTGGAGTGCAATGGTGCGATCTCAGCTCACTGCAATCTCTGCCTCCCAGGTTCAAGCGATTCTCCTGCCTCAGCCTCCTGAGTAGCTGGGACTACAGGCGCATGCCACCACACCCGGCTAATTTTTTGTGTTTTTAGTAGAGACGGGGTTTCACCGTGTTAGCCAGAATGGTCTCCATCTTCTGACCTCGTGATCTGCCCGCCTCGGCCTCCCAAAGTGCTGGGATTACAGGTGTGAGCCACAATATCTTTTTTTTTTTTTTGAGATGCAGTTTCACTCTTGTTGCCCAGGCTGGAGTGCGATGGTGTGATCTCGGCTCACTGCAACCACTGCCTCCCGGGTTTAAGCAAGTCTCCTGCCTCAGCCTCCCAAGTAGCTGGGATTACAGGCATGCGCCACCACGCCTGGCTAATTTTGTATTTTTAGTAGGGACAGGGTTTCTCCATGTTGGTCAGCCTGGTCTCAAACTCCTGACCTCAGGTGATCTTCCCCCCTCAGCCTCGTAAAGTGTTGGGATTACAGGCATGAGCCACCGCGCCCAGCCAATATCTTCTTTTTAAAAAAAATTATTTCTTTTATTTATTTTTAGAGGCAGAGTCTCTGTTGCCCAGGTTGGAGTGCAGTGGTGCCATCATATCTCACTGCAGCCTCAAACTGCTGGGCTCAAGTGATCCTCCTGCTTCAGCCTCCCAGTTAGCTAGGACTATAGGTATGCACCAACACACCCAGCAAATTTGTAAAAATTTTTTGTGAGTCAGGTCTGGCTTTATTGCTGAAGTTGGTCTTGAACTCCTGGCTTCAAGCGATCCTCCTGCCTCAGCCTCCCAAAGTGCCAGGATTACAGGCATGAGCCACTGTGCCCAGCCTCTCTTATAGTATCTTATTGTATTATACTCACTCTTCTTCTTTGACATTTCCAAACTGCTAGCATCACTACTCTTGTGCTTTGAGGCCATTATTAAGTACAATAAAGGTTACTTAAACACAAGCCTTGTGATACATTGACAGTCAATCTGATAACTGAGATGGCTACTATGTGACTAATGGGCTGGGTGGCATATATATACAGCATGGATAGGTCGGAGAAAGGGATGATTCATGTTCTGGGCAGAATGGAATGGGAGGGCACAAGATTTCATCACACTATTCAGAACAGTACAGTTTAAAACTTATGAATTGTTTGTTTCTGGAATTTTCCATTTAATATTTTCAGACTGTAGTTGACTCTAGGCAATTGAAACTGTGGAAAGTGAAACTGCAGATAAGGGGGACTTGTCAGGTCTGCATTTCTTCATGTGCTCTATCCTAGTAACTTTATGGGTAACAAAATTATTTCGTATTTGAGATTATTTTGTTACCAGCTTTAACTTGTATTTTACTTCCCTTTGAGGACTACCATCAAGATACTTACTAATTGTAAAGATTCTTTACAGTATTTTAAATATTAAGAAAATGGAGAGCATAAAAAACTGCTGTAAATTATGTAGTTTTTGCATTAAATGTAGAGAAAACACTGATTGCATAATGTTAGTAACATTGTAGTGTATGCTGTTCTTTTTTTTTTTTTTTTTGAGATGGAGTTTCGCTCTTATTGCCCAGGCTGGAGTGCAATGGCATGATTTCGGCTCGCCGTAACCTCAGCCTCCCGGGTTCAAGTGATTCTCCTGCCTCAGCCTCCTGAGTAGCTGGGATTACAGGCATGCACCACCACAGCCGGCTAATTTTGTATTTTTAGTAGAGATGGAGTTTATCCATGTTGGTCAGGCTGGTCTCGAACCTCCGACCACAGGTGATCCGCCTGCCTCAGCCTCCCGCAGTGCTGGGATTACAGGCACAAGCCGCCGCGCCCGGCCGTGTATGCTGTTCTTAAGTGTGAAGCTGGAAGAGTTAGTTGTTCTCCAAATCAATGCTTCCTTACTTTTTTTCAAGGCATTAGTAGAAACTGATGTTTTCCTGGTACATAAGGAAGAGGAGGCTCACAACTGGAGGGTATCAGAGATCTTTCATTGCTCTAGGCCTACCAGGCTGGTCCAAGGGCCAAGGGAATTATTATCTTGATAAACCTGTAATACATGTTTGGATCTGCCACAGTTAGGGAAGCTCTGCTATAGTTTCAAGTTAATAGAATTAGAAGGGAAGTTAGGTAGTAGTCAGGGCTCATTTTATTTATTTGTGCCTTCTGTTTTACTTTTTTTTTTTTTTTGAAATGGAGTCTTGTGCTGGCGTGACCTCGGCTCACTACAACCTCTGCCTCCCGGGTTCAAGCAGTTCTCTTGCCTCTGCCTCCCAAGTAGCTGGGACTACAGACGCAGGCCACCACGCCCGGCTAATTTTTGTATTTTTAGTAGAGATGGGGTTTCCCATGTTGGCCAGGCTGGTCTCGAACTCCTGACCTTGTGATCCACCTGCCGTGGTCTCCCAAAGTGCTGGGATTACAGGCATGAGCCACCGCACCCAGCCTGTTTTACTTTTTTCTTGATCCCAGATCTTTTTCAGTTTTCTTGCTTTTTTTCTCAAAGAACTAACCATTGCTTTGTAGACCTCAGTTAACTATTATTTCCTTATTAACTTCTGCTTCCTTTGGGTTTACTTTGCAAGGTTTTTTTTTTTTTATTTTTGAGACGGAGTCTTACTCTGTCACGCAGGCTGGAGTGCAGTGGCGTGATCTTGGCTCACTGCAATCCCTGCCTTCTGGTTTCAAGTGATTCTTATGCCTCAGCCTCCTGATAGCTAGGATTAAAGGCATGTGCCACCACACCCAGCTAATTTTTGTATTTTTAGTAGAGGCGGAGTTTTACCATGTTGGTCAGGCTGGTCTCAAACTCCTGACCTCAAGTGATCGGTTCGCCTTGGCCTCCCAAAGTGCTGGGATTACAGGTGTGAGCCACCGCTACCGTGCCCGGTCTACTTTGCAGATTTAAAAAAACTTCTTTAGGCTGGTCCCAGTGCAGTGGTGTTTATAACTCATCAATCATAGCCAGTTACAGATTTCTTTATTCCTCCTTCACTCCCACTGCTTCACTTGACTGCCCTTAAAAAAAAACAAAAAACAAACAGAAGTCTTGAGATGGATGTTTGGCTTATTACTTTTCAGTCCTTCTTTCTATTATATTCATTTAAATATAAATTTTAATCCTAAAAATGTACTGCTTTTAGCTGCAGCCCACACTTTTTTTGGTTTGTTTGTTTTGGGGGAAATTCTCCAGGCAGTAGTTATGGCTGTTGTTGCTTGCTGCTGCTGCTTTCCTATTTTTGTTGATAGCTTTGTGAGAGTACCTGTAATGTTGACATACTATAAAGGGTACATCTTAAAATATGTAATTTGATAAGTTTTCTCATGAATGTAACCAGGTAATGAGCATATTCATCACCCTAGAACATTTCCTCATGCCCCTTTATAATCCTTTTCTCCCCTTTTCCTTGCTCCTTCCCCAGGCAATTATGATTTGATTCCGTGTTATTTTTTTTTTGTACAGAGTCTCTGTCACCCAGGCTGGGGTACAGTGGCTCTATCTCAACTTACTGCTACCTCCACCTCCCGGCTTAAAGCAATTCTTGTGCCTCAGCCTCCCGAGTAGCTGGGACTTCAGGTGTACGCCACCACACCTGGCTCATTTTTGTGGGTTTTTATTTGTATTAATTAATTAATTTTTATTTATTTATTTAGAGATGGAGTCTCGCTCTGCTGCCCAGGCTGGGGTGTAGTGGTGTGATCTCGGCTCACTGCAACCTCTGCCTCCCAGGTTCAAGCAGTTCTCCTGCCTCAGCCTCCCAAATAGCTGGGATTACAGGCTTGTGCCACCATTCCTGGCTAATTTTTTCTATTTTTAGTAGAGATGGGGTTTCACCACGTTGGCCAGGCTGGTCTTGAGCTCCTGACCTCAAGTGATCCACATGCCTCAGCCTCCAAAGTGCTGGGATTACAGGCATGAGCCACCACACCTGGCCCACCCCCCACTTTTTTTTTTGAGACGGAGTCTCGCTCTGTCACCCATGCTGGAGTGCAGTGGCTAGATCTCGGTTCACTGCAGTCTTTGCCTCCTGGGTTCAAGCGATTCTCCTGTTTCAGCCTCCCAAGTAGCTGGGATTACATGCGCCTGCCACCACGCCTGGCTAATTTTTGTGTTTTTGTAGAGACGGGGTTTCACCATGTTGGCCAGGCTGGTCTTGAACTCCTGTCCTCAGGTGATCTGCCTGCTTTGGCCTCCCGAAGTGCTGGTATTCTAGGCGTGAGCCACCATGCCCGGCCTCTTTTTTTGTTAAGATAGGGTCTTGCGGTTGGGTGTGGTGGCTGACGCTTGTAATCCCAGCACTTTGGGAGGCCGAGGTGGGTGGATCACAAGGTCAGGAGATCGAGACCATCCTGGCTAACATGGTGAAACCCTGTCTCTACTAAAAATACAAAAAATTAGCCGGGCGTGGTGGCGCATGCCTGTAGTCCCCCCTACCTGAGAGGCTGAGGCAGGAGAATTGCTTGAACCCGGGAGGCGGACGGAGGTTGCAGTGAACCGAGATTGCGCCATTGCATTCCAGCCTGGACAACAGAGCGAGACTCCATCTCAAAAAAGAGGGAAAAAAAAAAAAGACAGGGTCTTGCTCTGTCACCCAGGCCAGAGTGCAGTGACAGGATCGCAGCTTACTGCAACCTCAAACTCCTGAACTCAAGTGATCTTCCCACCTCAGCCTCCTGAGTAGCTGGAACTACAGATATACGCTACCATGGTGCCTGGCTAATTTTTTTTAGTAGAGATGGGGTCTTGCTTTGTTGCCTAGGCTGGTCTCGAACTCCTGGCTTCAAGGGATTCTCTCACCTCAGCCTCCCAAAGTGTTGGGATTACAGGCATGAGACACCGTGCCTGGCCTGTTTTTTCTTATTACATATTTTTGTTCTAGAATTAATTTTTCCAGATTTGCTTGTTTTCTTTGTTTTGCTTGGTTTTGGGTTTTTTTGGGGGTTTTGTTTGTTTGTTTGTTTTTTTAAAGTAACTTCGCGTTACTTGCCAAATTTTTCAGGATTGGGATTTTATATTTTTGAACATAGTAAGCAGGTATATGAATAGTTTGCTAGTATCTAGGGGAGCTTTGTTTTGTTCCCCGTTGGTTACTAATACTTAAGGTTCATCTTTTTCCAGTGTCTGGGCTTCAGATGTTCAGAAGTTTAATCACATTCCACTTGTGGACTGCTTTTCTTCTTGTTCATCTTTCCTGGTAGGATATCACTTTTTTGGTTTCAAGCCCAAAGGAGGGGGTCATTTACTCAAGCTTCTTGTCTTGTCTTGTCTTGTCTCTTCTAATAGAGATAGAGTCTCACTGTGCTACCTAGATAGACTATGTTACTTAAACTCCTGGGCTTAAGCAGTCCTTCCACCTCGCCTCCCAAAATGCTGGGATTACAGACACAGTGCCCACCCAGCCACAAAGCCCCCAGTGTTGATGGGCCCTGGATTTCCACTTTTGTCCCTGGGGCCTATAGCCTCAGCTTCCAAATCTGCTACATCTCTGCTAGATCAGCAAATGACCCCAGAGCAAAAGTGGCCTAGAATGCAAAGCTTCCTCTTTATGGAATTTCATCCTCTTCTTCATCTTGATCACCTTATCTTGTTCTATGATTCTTTTAAGGAGAAGTTTTCCCTTCCTTCCAGCTTTTTTAGTTTTGTGGGTGTCAAGTAGGAGAGAGATAATTAGTTTGAATTATATACTCCTCTATTACCCAAATATAAAATCCTTTAAAAAAAAAAAAGATAAACTGAGACCTAGACAAATTAAGTAACCGTGTAAGACCACATAATCAATGGAAATCCTGGTCCAGAATCCTGAGTGATTTTAATGAAATAGTTCACAGTCATTTATTAAGAGCAGGGGCACCCTAGAAGGAATTTTTTGATTCTGTTGAACCAGATTTATATTTGGCACATGCTCATTCTTTTTAGACTTTTTAGATAGCCTAATAGGATAGAACCATCACTATGTTATATAAATGTGAAATCCATTTGGAAATATGGGACCTGTCAGTATAGGTACTGCTTGAACTGTAACTATGCATATATCTGATTGGCTTTTATGCCCTACGGTGAGAAGGAGGTCACCTTGAAGCTTTGCAAAGTAAGTTCTTGGTTCCATTTTTCACTTGAATCCCCCTTGGATATCCTCCAGAATGATGTGTTTTCTTTCCCATTGCAACATTATTTTCAGCTTTGTGGAGAAACAAAGTATGTTCCAAGTAGCAGGTAGTCACTGTAGGCCTTCTTTGAACTGTGAACTTTATTTTTTTGCACCTGAACTGCTTTCTAAAACCACATAAACAATATGATAGGGAAGTTGCTATCTGAATAAAAAAACAAAATAAAACCTCACAATGTGTTTGATCTAGTACTGAGCTACACTGGTATATGTGGGCTATATAGAATTATGTGGTTTAGATTACTTGTTTAAGTATAGCAGTGGCTTGGAGGAAAATACATTCTGAGTTTCAAATAGATAATTTGTAAAGGAAAATTTGAAGTACAGTTGACTTGGCACTTCTGATATTGAAATTTTAGAAGATTTTATTTCTGTATCTCAATGTAATGCCTAGGCAGAATCCACTAGATGCTTGTATAGATGGTATAAGCAATAATGATTTCAGCTATTTTAAAAAATTTCAATCTTTTTTTAATGTTGCCTCTTGAAATACCATCTTGTACTTCTCATTTTCCCTATACCTCCTTTTATGTGATTAAGTTTTATTATGTATAGACATAAAGGGGGCCTGGCACAGTGGCTCATGCCTGCAATCCCAGCATTTTGGGAGGCCAAGGCACAAGGATTGCTTGAGCCCAGGAGTTCAAGACAAGCCTACGCAATGCAGTGAGACCCTGTCTCAAACAAAAAAAAAAAAAAAAAAAAAAAAGGTTGGGGAGGGTGCTATGATATTATGATACATATGTTGGTTTTCATCCACAGTTTCTGTCATAGAACACCCATAGTCCCTGTTATTTCCTAAGTGACTAAAACAATATACATATATTTTATTGAAATATTTGGCCTTTTATTCTTGGTTTTTGAAGTGGCTTCAGTACAGCTTCAGATCAATAAAAGTGAAAGATGGTCTTTTGTAATAACGTTGGGGCACTTTAAACCTCAGAAGCAGGCTTCAGAAAACAGAATCGCTCTCTGACCTTTTCTTGCCTTGCTTTTACCTGCTCCTTTTTCTCCCCAAGCAGGCAATAGAAACTAAAAATATACTCTGATCATCCCCCAACATTCTGTCTTGGAGCTGACAGCAAAGAAATTATCTGACCTACCTTGTCTGATTGGAGGTCATAAGACCCCCATTTCAGAAGGCATCCTGCCCTGTACTTGGGAGGAAAGAAGTTGCACAGAGAGGCCAAGAAGACTCTGAACAGAGAGGCCTTGCTAGGTTTCCCCACTCAGTCTGTTAGCATTAGGTCCTACTTTGTCCAATCATATTTCTACCCGGTTGTCCATGCTTCAGTCGTGACGGTCCAGTGAAGTCCTGGACCGGGTACAGAGAGCTTCCAGATAGCTGAACACGTGGAGGGTCCTGGAGGGTGGTGCACCCAGGGAGGGTATGAGAGCTCTGCACCCCTTCCCACATGCCTTGTTCTGTGCACCTCTTCATCTGCATTCTTTGTGCTATTCTTTATAATAAACCAGTACACGTGTTTTCCTGAGTTCTGGGCACAGCTTTAGCAAATTAATCAAACCTAAGAAGGGGGTCATGGGAACACTGACTTGAAGCTGGTTGGCCAGAAGTTCTGGATGAGGCCTGGCCTTACAACTAGTGTCTGAAGTGGGGGCAGTCTTGTGAGACTGAGCCCTCTCTCAGCCTGTGGGATCTAATGCTATCTCCAGGTAGATAGCATGAGAATTGAATTGGATTAGAAGGTGCTCAGCTGGTGGTATCTTCTGCAGAACTGATTGCTTCTTGTTGGTGGGGAGAAATCCCCACACATTTGGTCACAGAAGTCTACTGTGTTGATGATTGTGGTGTAAGAGCAGAGGAAAAGCAATTTGATTTTTCTCCACAAGGGGAAGAAAATGTTTCATGATTCAACTAATGATTTACCTTTCATTGTAAGGTTATCATGCTCAAGTATTAATGTAGGAAGGCTTTTTTGATGCAGAGTGTGTGTGTGTGTGTGTGTGTGTATATACGTGTGTGTTTGTAGAGGGCTAACATTAAAAAGGGAAATGTAATAAGGAAGAAGAAATGGTGTTCTAAACTTAAAACCCATTTCATCTGCTAAATCGTCCTAGTGAAATACCAACTTTAGTTAATTTTAAAAAAAGTTTAGTTAATTGTAAAAAAAAAAAGAATCTCTTCATTATATTTTAAAAACCATTTGTGTTTCCTTTTTCTGTAATTTATTCATATTTGTCCATTTTAAATTTCAGTGTTATTCTTATTCTTGTTATTGATTTTTTAAAACGTGGTCTTTATATTTGAGTGAAATTAACCTTCCATCATGAGTTGGAGCATTTTTCCCCCAATATATACTTCTCTTTTGATTTTGCTTATGGTCATTTTATAATGCCATGGTTTTTTTTGTTGTTTTTTTTTTTTTTTTTTTTTGAGACGGAGTCTCGCTCTCTCAGCCAGGCTGGAGTGCAGTGGCGTGATCTCAGCTCACTGCAACCTCCACCTCCCCGTTTCAAGCGATTCTCCTGCCTCAGCCTCCCGAGTAGCTGGGATTACAGGCGTGCACCACCACGCCTGGCTAATTTTTGTATTTTTAGTAGTAATGGAGTTTCACCATGTTGGACAGGCTGGTCTCAGACTCCTGACCTCAGGTGATCTGCCCATCTTGACCTCCCAAAGTCCTGGGATTACAGGCATGAGCCACCATGCCCAGCCTGGTCATGGTTTTATACATGCTATGTTTATAATCAAATTTTACTTCTATTTAATAGATGACTAACACACTTACACATAGATGCTTATACCCAAATATATATGTTTATAGATTTTAAAATGCTAATTATATTTAAAAGGCCTAATAAGTAGTTTCAGCAAAAGCTGTTATATATATGTATATAATGGACCAATTGCAGTTGGATCAATAAAGAACTGTAAGGTGTGTTATGATCTAGAAAAGTGATTCTTTTTTTTTTTTGAGATGGAGTCTTGCTCTGTTGCCCATGCTGGAGTGCAGTGGCACGATCTCGGCTCACTGCAAGCTCCGCCTCCCGAGTTCACGCCATTTTCCTGCCTCAGCCTCCTGGGTAGCTGGGACTACAGGCACGTGCCACCACACCCAGCTAATTTTTTGTATTTTTAGTAGAGACGGGGTTTCACCATGTTGGCCAGGATGGTCTCGATCTCTTGACCTCGTGATCCGCCCTCCTTGGCCTCCAGAAGTGCTGGTATTACAGGCGTGAGCCACTGCTCCCGGCCCTGAAAAGTGTTTCTTAACAATAACTAGGAACTGTGCTGTGTGTTTTATATAAGAGTATATTATATAATTTTTTTTTTCTTTGAGATGGAGTCTCACTCTGTTGCCCAGACTGAGTGCAGTGGTGCGATCTCAGCTCACTGCAGCCTCTACCTCCCAGGTTCAAGCGATTCTCCTGCCTCAGCCTCCCAAGTAGTTGGGATTACAGGCGCACGCCACCATGCCGTGCTAATTTTTGTATGTTTAGTTTTACCATGTTGGCCAGGCTGGACTCAAACTCCTGACCTCAAGTGATCCTCCCACCTCGGTCTCCCAAAGTGCTGGGATTACAGGTGTGAGCCACCGTGCCTGGCCCCCAATCTTTAATTAAGAAGCAGGTGCCAGGCACAATGGTATACTCCTATAATCTCAGCTACTCAGGAGGCTGAGGTGGGAGGATTGCCAGTGCTTGAGCCCGGGAGTTTGAGACCAGCCTGAACAACATAGTGAGACCCTTATCTCAATTTTAAAAAGAAAGAATTAGGTAATGATATGATTTTAATTTTATAGGTGTGGAAACGGAGGCTTAGAGAATTGAATAATCATATATACCTTATAAGATTCTCTCATACTCCATTTTTAAAAGTTTTCGATCAAGTTTAAGTTGTATTGATACACGATATATAGTGAAGTGTCTATGTACAATGCTTAATTTACATATATATACATTTCCAATTATGAATATATTGCAAACTGTATTAGTGAATGAATTATTCATTTATCATATCAGTATTATATATTACTATAATATATAAATATACTAATTATATATTAGTATTAATGTAAACATTAATTTAGAAATACTTTTTTCTCCAGTGAAGCCTCCTCAGACTTCTCATATGCATCTTCAGTATTTATGGGTTTCTACCCTTTAAACAATCTAACAGTTCCAGAGCAAATATTATCTTCTAAGAGGTTTGAGATAGATCCTTATTTGAATCAGTATATTATGTTGTGACTGGAAATTTTATCCCTAGCCATGTCTCTATTCACATAACATTAGTAAATGTGATTTTTCATTAATATATTTCATATGAGTAGCATTAATGATCTCCATGACATAATTACTTAGTCTGTTGCTTTTGAAGTGATTCATTCATTCTACAGATACTTACTGAACACACACTATGTGCCAGAAACTGCTAGCATTGGAAGTAGAGCTGTGAACAAAATCAAGCATCAACATTTCTGATATTTGAGAAGACAGGCAACAAGCAAATATGTGATGTAAAGTAGTGATAAGTGCTGTAAAATCACAAGAGGGTATAGAATGAGGATTGTTCTTCAAGTTGATAGAACAGATCTTTAAAGAAGTGATTTGAGGCTGGGCGTGGTGGCTTACACCTGTAATCCCAACACTTTGGGAGGCCGAGGCGGGTGGATCATGAGGTCAAGAGACTGAGACCATCCTGGCCAACGTGCTGAAACTCCGTCTCTACTAAAAATACAAAAATTAGCCAGGCGTGGTGGTGCGTGCCTGTAGTCCCAGCTACTCGGGAGGCTGAGGCAGAAGTGCTTGAACCCGGGAGGCGGAGGTTGCAGTGAGCCAAGATCATGCCACTGCATGCCAGCCTGGGCGACAGAGCAAGACTCCATCTCAAAAAAAAAAAAAGATGATTCGAGGCTTCGTGTGGTGGTTCATGCCTGTAATCCCTGCACTTTGGGAGGCTGAGGCAGGAGGATCGCTTGAGCTCGGGAGTTTGAGGCCAGCCTGGGCAACATGGTGAAACCCCATGTCTATAAAAAATACAAAAATTAGTCGGGTGTGATGGTGGGCGCCTGTAGTCCCAGCTATTTGGGAGGCTGAGGTGGGAGGAACACTTGAACCTGAGAGGTCAAGGTTGCAGTGAGCCAAGATGGCAGCACTGTACTCCAGGTTGGGCAACAGAGTGAGACCCTGTCTCAAAAAAAAAAAAAAAAGTGATTTGAGCAGAGGCCTGAATGACATAAAGTGTTTAGATATCTGGAGACTTTGCAAGCAGATGCAGAAACCCTGGGGTTGGAAAATGCTTACAGTCTGAATAGTAAAAGAGGCACCACCAGCATGACTTCTAGTTATTGTGCTACACCCTGCACATTTTTTTTTCTTTTTCGAGACAGGGTCTCACTCTGTCACCTAGATGGGAGTGCAGTGGCATGTTCATGGCTCACTCCAGCTTCAACCTCCTAGGCTTCAGCAATGCTCTTGCCTCAGCCTTTGGAGTAGCTGGGACCACAGGTTTGTGTCACCACGTATGACTAATTTTTTTTTATTTTTCCTGTGTTGCCCAGGTTGGTTTTGAACTCCTGGGTTCAGGTGATCCTCCTGCCTTGGCCTCCCAAAGTGCTGGGATTCCAGGCAAGAGCCACCATGCCTGGCCCTGGGCAACATTTTTATTGTCAGTCATTTAATAGCCTAGTCTAATGGATGTGTAGTGATATGTCATTGTGATTTTAATTTGCCTTTCCTTAATGGCTAATGATGCTGAACACTTTTTTATGTGCTTTTTTTTTTTTTTGCCATTTATAAATTTTCCTTTGTGAAGTTTAAGTCTTGCCATTTTTAAATTGGGTTGTTTACCTTTTTATTCAACAGCTGTAGGTTTTTTGTTTTTTTTTTTTTGATACAGAGTCTCACTCTGTCTCCAGGCTGTAGTGCAGTGGCACATCTTGGCTCACTGCAACCTCCGTTCCCAGGTTCAAGTGATTCTCCTGCCTCAGCCTCCCAAGTAGCTGAGATAACAGGCATGCACCACCACGCATGGTCCACCCACCTCGGCCTCCCAAAGTGCTGGGATTACAGGCGTGAGCCACTGCGCCCAGCCCAGAAAGGAACATTCTTAAGCATTGAAGTGATTCTTGTCAAATTTGATTTCTATTCAAATTTAGGAGCTGGGCCAGGCACGGTGGCTCAGCCCTGTAATCCCAGCACTTCGGGAGGCTGAGGTGGGTAGATTGCCTGAATCCAGGAGTTTGAGACCAGGCTGGACAACATGGGGAAACCCCTGTCTCTACTAAAAATACAAAAGATTAGATGGGCCTAGTGGCACCTCACGCCTGTAGTCCCCAGCTACCCCGGAGGCTGAGGTGGGAGAATCTCCCGAACCTGATGGGAAAGGTAGCAGTGAGTTGAGATAGTGCCACTGTACTCCAGCCTGGGCAACAAAGTGAGACCCTGTCTCAAAAAACAAAACAAAACCAAACAAATTTAGGAGCTAGCTTGTGATTGTAGAAATAATTTTGGCAATAGAAGTGAGGGAACTGAGTTGTAGTCTAGCTAGTTAACATGTGACAAACCATTAACTTTATATGTCTCATTTTCTTCATCTGTAAAATGAGGAAGATTTGATTAGAGGATTTATTAAAGTTCTTTTAAAATCTGAAATTACAGTTTCTTAATTGGTTTTGTAGAGATTTTGGCTTTATAAAAATGTGTGAACCATAGTGACAGCAGAAACATTTGAAATCCTATATTTGGGTGATTCATAAAAGAAAGGAAGAATTATGGGCATCTTGCCTGTAAAATGTTATGTAATCTGAATCATTGTTACCCACAGCATCCTGTGACTGATAAAGGTACTCATGGCCACCTCTCCTCCCTTGTCTTTCTGTAGTACTTTCCTTTCTCCCCACCTCAATAATAGCTTTATTGATGTATAATTCACATACCATACATGTCATCTATTAATATTTAAAGCATACAATTCAGCGGTTTTTAGTCTATTTACAGAGTTGTACAGCCATCATCACAATCAATTTTAGAACACTTTCTGAACTCCAGAAAGAAAGTACCCTGCCTATTTCCCCTCTATCACCTAGCCCTAGGCAACTATGAATCTACTTTCAGCCTCCATAGATTGCCCTGTTATGGACAAATATGTGGCTGGTTTCTTGGTATAATGTTTTCAAGGTTATTTACGTTGTAGCATGTGTCAGCTATTTCATTTCTTTTTATTGTCAAATAACATTCAGTTGTATGGATATACCACATTTTATCTATTCCATCAGTTGATGGACATTTGAGTTGTTTTCATTTTGGGATTATTATAAATAATGCTACTATGAACATTTGTATACAAACATTATGTGGACATGTGTTTTCATTTCTCTTGGACATATACTTAGGAATGGGATTGCTGTATCACATGATACCTCTGTATTTAACCTTTTGAGGAATTGCCAAACTGTTTTCCAAAAGTGGCTGCACCATTTACATTCCCACTATCAATATATGCTCCAGTTTCTCTACATCCTACCTTATACTTTTTTTTTTTTTTTCTTTTTTTGAGACAGAGTCTCGCTCTGTCGCCCAGGCTGGAGTACAGTGGCACAATCTCGGCTCACTGCAACCTCCGCCTCCTGAGTTCAAGCAATTCTAAATTATCATGCCTCAGCCTCCCGCATAGCTGGGATTAGAGGCGTTTGCCACCATGCCTGGCTAAGTTTTATATTTTTAGTAAAAATGGGGTTTCGCCATGTTGGCCAGGCTGTTCTCGAACTCTTGACCTCAGGTGATCCACACGCCTCGTCCTCCCAAAATGCTGGGATTATAGGTGTGAGCCACCATGTCCGGCCTGATTGGCCAGCTTTTCATTTGGAATGGGGATAGGACATAGTTGGAAGTTGGTGTCTTTGGTTATTTCCCTAACATGTCCAAGCATCCTAAAGTATCAGTCAAATAAGCAGTCTCTTCTCATTCCTGGCAGAGAGTAAGTCAAAGCCTTAATTCAATTTGCATACCTGTTTTCATGTAACAACAAATAATTTTTTTTTTTTTGAGACAGAGTTTCTCTGTTGTTGTTTAGGCTGGAGTGCAATGATGCGATCTTGGCTCACTGCAACCTCTGCCTCCCGGGTT
Organism: Homo sapiens; assembly: GCF_000001405.40. NCBI lineage: Eukaryota > Metazoa > Chordata > Mammalia > Primates > Hominidae > Homo > Homo sapiens. The sequence goes on along the minus strand of NT_187614.1, from coordinate 2,254,904 downwards.
CAAGCGATTCTCCTGCCTTAGCCTCCCAAGTAGCTGAGATTATAGGCATGCACCACCACAGCCGGCTAGTTTTGTATTTTTAGTAGAGACGGGGTTTCTCCGTGTTGGTCAGGCTGGTCTTGAACTCCTGACCCCAGGTGACCCGCCTGCCTCGGCCTCCCAAAGTGCTGGGATTACAGGCGTGAGCCACCACGCCTGGCCACAACAAAGAATTTTACCAGAAGTGGGTATGATTTATATCTTAGTTTGAATTGCTACTTACCTTTGGGGAACAGACCTTTCCTTGATGTATCTTTAACACTGAAATCTTGGCAAGTTGCCAAGTCTCAAATGTTCATGAGTAAGACTGCAATATCACAATATCATCGTCACACAGGAATCTGATAGAAAAGCATCACATTTATAAAGCCTTCTTTCCTGTACATCACTGACGTTTTGTGAATTTTAAAGAATTTGTAATTATTTTTAAGGAGCATATTTAATGTAGTTAATGTAACCTAGAATAGGCTCATTTGAAATGAAACTCTTGCTAATAGGAACTTAATTCACCAAATTAAGAATATTTAGTTTTTGTAGAGATTTTGCTCTTGAAAATGTTGCAGTCTTGATTTCGTCTTGTCAGTCCAGTCAGAATTGTGAAGTATTTTTTTTTCTCATTCCAGAAATACATGCTACAGGATTTAACTATCAGAATGAAGATGAAAAAGTCACCTTGTCTTTCCCTAGTACTCTGCAAACAGGTAAGAGACATAGCTTTTGTAAAATCTCGTGATGAATATAGTGACATCTGACTTCCTCCAGAGAAATTTATTGTATGCCATTTTTTCCCTCGTTGTTATTAGCAGATTAAGTATTAAGAGCTTTTTTTTTTTTTTTACTTTGAGACGGAGTCTTACTCTATTGCCCAGGCTGGAGAGTAGTGGCATGATCTTGGCTCACTACAACCTCCACCTTCCAGGTTCGAGTGATTCTCCTGCCTCGGCCTCCCGAGTAGCTGGGATTACAGGTGCCTACCACCACACCGGCTAATTTTTTTGTATTTTTAGTAGAGACAAGGTTTCGCCATGTTGGCCAGGCTGGTCTTGAACTCCTGATCTCAAGCGATCTGCCCGCCCTGGCCTCCCAAAGTGGTAGGATTACAGGCAGGAGCCACCGCGCCCAGCTGTATTAAGAGCTTTTTAAAGAGGTTTGTTGCAACTTTTGGGCCACCAGCATTTCCTTCTGCGGAAGTTGGGCTACGAAAAGCAGGGTTTCCACCTCCTGTCACTCTATATTCTCTTTAAACAAACAAGCCAAGAAAAACAGGACAAAAACTAAAGATCATTCTATCCTAGAATGTAATGTATTGTTTTCCAGTTTTACCTTTTTAAAAATACCTTTACCTAGGCCAGGCGTGGTGGCTCACACCTGCAATCCTAGCGCTTTGGGAGGCCAAGGCGGGCTGATCACTTGAAGCCAGGAGTTAGGGACCAGCCTGGCCAACATGGCAAAACCCCATCTCTACCAAAAAATACAAAAATTACCCAGTGTGGTGGCTCATCCCTATAATCCCAGCTACTCAGAAGGCTGAGGCAAGAAAATCGCCAGAAGTCAGGAAGTGGAGGTTGCAGTGAACCGAGATCATGCCACTGCACTCCAGCCTGGGTGATAGAGTGGGACTCTGTCTAAAACAAACGAACAAAATACTTTTACCTAGCTCCATCTTCTATTAATTCAATCCAAATCCCTGAAGTGAATGGTCACAGATGATTTTGATATACAACCAGAGATCAAATAGGTATTGTGTTATTGAGGGCACAGAAAGAAAGATACGTTGATATGTTACTATTGTTAGGTATAAAAGCACAAAGAAATAGACTTTCTGAGCTTAGTATATGTGGAAGAAATTATATACCAATCAATTGGTGAAGTACTAAGACTTTGATGAATGAACAAATGAAAAGGAACAGATAATTCAAAAGGAAGAAAATGTAAATGACTAATAAACATGTGAAAAGATATTGAGCCTCCTAGTAATGAGAAATTTTTGCTTCTCATGTGAGCTGAAATTTAAAAAATTCCCAATGATATGGCTGCCTTGATATCGCTGGGGGGAGTATAAATCCATGTAATTTTTTTGTAAAGCATTCTGGCAGTATATCAAGAGCCTAAATATGTTCATGTCCTTTGACCCAGCAATTCTGCTAATAGGAATATATCCCAAGGAAAAGTCATAAATACAGAAAATACTTTATGCCCAGAAGTGTCTGAGATATTACTTACGGTAGTAAAAAATTATAATTAATATATTTGTTCAACACTAAGGAAATGATCAAGCCAGGAATGATATATCTATATAGTGAAATATACTTAGCAATTAAAAGTGAGGTTTGCGAATTCTTAACCCTGTAAAGTGCTTATTATAATGTAAAATTGAAAAGAAGAATATAAAATTACATATTTAAGGTGGTGAATCATGTCTCTAAATGGCACAAATAAAATGATAATTATGTCTGGGTGTTGACATAATTGGTGATTTTTATTCTTATTTATATCTTTTGTCTGATTTTCACAATTTTCCTACTGAGAATCTATTGAATTAATATAAAATTATTTTTAGAAAAAATTTAAATTGGAGATGTTTAGTCTTTTATTTCAGTGCTCTTGGAGGCCCTTTATGTGTAATTATTATAAAAATAAATGGGCCGGGCGTAGTGGCTCACGCCTGTAATCCCAGCACTTTGGGAGGCCGAGGCGGGCGGATCACGAGGTCAGGAGATCGAGACCATCCTGACTAACACGGTGAAACCCTGTCTCTACTAAAAATACAAAAAATTAGCTGGGAATGGTGGCAGGTGCCTGTAGTCCCAGCTACTCGGGAGGCTGAGGCAGGAGAATGGCGTGAACCCGGGAGGTGGAGCTTGCAGTGAGCCGAGATCGCACCACTGCACTCCAGCCTGGGTGGCAGAGTGAGACTCCGTCCCAAAAAACAAAACAAAACAAAACAAAAAATGCTTTTGCCATGAACATGTATTAAAAGCTATTGAAGAATATAATTTGAAAAGGAAGGAGATTCTTTCGCTGATTTCTTCTACTTCCATTGTCTGGTGAATCTGTCTAGAAATATTCCTATGTATATATAAATTTATGTATATAATTTAAGCCACAGATAGGATCACAAATCTCAGTGGCTTATAACCACTGAGATTTCTTTCTTTTTTACACATGGGCCATGAGGACTGCTGATCATATGCAGCCATATCACCAACTCTGCTGGCTCCACTTGGCTCCCAGCTGTCTTTCCAGGACTAGTAGTCAGCGAGCAGCCACTCTCTGTATCATGCATGGCAGAGGGCAGAGGCTCAGGGATGGGGAGAAAGCTAGACCACAAAGACACATTTAAAACTTCTGCATGGCCAGGCGTGGTGACTCACACCTGTAATCCCAGCATTTTTGGAGGCTGAGGCAGGAGGATTGCTTGAGCCCAGGAGTTCGAGACCAGCCTAGGCAATGTAGTGAGACCCTGTCTCTATAAAAAATAAAATAAAAAATAAAATTTCTGTGTGATGGTGGTATACTTGATGTCTACTCACATTTCATTGACCAAAGCAAGTAGCATGACCAAGCCCAAAGTCACTGGGGTAGCATTTAACAGACATTTGCGAAAAGTTTCTAATGAAAGATAGGGCAAAAAGCAAAATTATAAGTATAATAGAAATAAAGGAAGTTGGAAAAAGCAAAGACAAATCTAAAGAAAGTTAAAAAAAAAAACAAACCCATAGCTAATTACTATCCTTAGAGAGTTAAGAGAAAGCATTGCGTGCATTAAACAAGGACAGGACAGAATGCCATCAGATAGGAAGAATTACAGCAGGAAAACTTGGAAATTATGATAGGTATAAAAAACCCAGTAAAAGTGTTAAAGATGAAGTTGAGGAAACTTCCAAGCAGTAGAAAAAACAGATAGAAAACAGAAAAATAGATTTGAGAACCAGTCCAGCAGAACCAACATCCATCTAGTAAAACAGAAAGCAGAGGAAATGGGAAGAGGATTTTTTAATTTTCATTTTTGCAACAGAATCTTGCTCTGTCACCCAGGCTGGAGTGCAGTGGTGCAATCTCGGCTCACCACAGCCTCCACCTCGTGGGTTCCAGTGATTCTCCTGCCTCAGCCTCCTGGGTAGCTGAGATTACAGGCACACACCACCACGCCCAGCTGATTTTTGTATTTTTAGTAGAGTTGGGGTTTCACCATGTTGGCCAGGCTGGTCTCGAACTCCGGACCTTAGGTGATGTGCCCACTTCGGCCTCTCAAAGTGCTAGGGATTACAGGCGTGTGCCACTGTGCCCGGCCAGAAGAGAAACTCAAAAAGACAGGAACATTTCCTTGAACTGATAGAGCAGGAGCCTTCAGTTTGCAAAGGTACACCATTGAGAGAGACTAGCTTAAAAAATGTAAAAATTGCCACACTGACTGAAATTTTAGAACTTCTGCGATAAAGTAAAACTCCCAGAAAGTTCCTGTCTGGGATAGGGGGCAATAGGAGGGAAGGCAGGTAGCATACTACCTTTAAAATTTAGGAATCAGAATAGTCCTAGACTTACCATTAGGAACAGTGGAAACTTAGACTCTAATGAAGCTGTTCATTCAAAATACAAAGTGAATCTGATTTTCAACCTAAGATTGCATGCTTAGCCCAACTTTGAATTTCGGAGTAAAAATATTTTCAGATTTGCAAGGTCATAGAAAATTTGATTCTTTGTAAAAGATATTGGAGTGGGGGATGGATTAGCTAAAGCATGACTTTCTACAGTGAAGAGAAAATGTCTAAAGTTGAAAAATGAAGAAATAGGCCGTGGTCGTGGCTCATGCCTGTAATCCCAACACTTTGGGAGGCTGAGGTGGGAGGATTGCTTGCCCAGGAATTGAAGGCTGCAGTGAGCCGTGATTGTACCACTGCCCTCGAGCCTGGGCGACAGAGCAAGACTGTCTCAAAGAAAGGAAAAGAAAAAATAGCTGTGTAAGCAAGACATTTAGAAGTCACAGAGTTTGAAATTGATTGCTTCTAGGGGCAGGGTGTGGGGAGTAGGGCCTAGTGTTGAGCAGGGCCTGGAGCTTACGTATTTTAAACTGTGAACTATTACTTTGATAGAAATTTAAAAAATTTTAGAGTTTTAAATCTATATCATTACAGACTATATATATTCTGTGTTTACACTGTGAAAAAATTAGAAGTCAATAGAAAAAGAGAAATGAAAAAAATCCCTTTTTATATATTTGAAAAAATTATACCTCTGAATAATTGAGTCAAAGAAGACTTGTTATGGAAATTAGAAAATATTTAGAACTGAATAATGAAATTACCACATATGAAACATTAGGGATAAACATGTTTCATATGCAGATAAAATATTAGAATATTTAGTTAAGAAGAAAGACTGAAAATTAATTAGCTAAGCATTAAACTCATAAAAACAAAAGGTAACTTGGAGAAAGTAGAAGAAAGTTTTAAGAGCAGAAACAAATGAAATAAGTGAAGTGAGGGGCAGAAATATTAAAAAACTGATATTTAAAAATAGTCCCAAAAGATATATAAACCTAGCCAGTATAGAAAATAAAAGCGTAGATTGAATTGTTGTTCAGCATTAGGAAATATGGTAACCATTTTTCATTAAATTTAAAAAGTTAAACATTCTATATTTATCAAAAGGAATCAGTTTATTTGCTAGAATTCACCAGGGAAGAGTAGACAGAAACTTCTAACATGATAGAAGATATGTATTACACACACACACACACACACACACACACACACACACACACACGACATAATCTGTGCCAAGTACTGTTTTAAGTGCCTCAAAAATATTAATTTATTTAGTCCTTTCAACAACCTTTTGAGGTAGATTTGTTTTGTGACAAAGTCTCTCTGTCACCCAGGCTGGAGTATAGTGGTGCAGTCACGGCTCACTGCAGCCTCAAACTCCTGGGTTTAAGTGATTCTCCCACTTCAGCCTCCCATGTAGCTAGGACTGCCTACACATGACAGTGCATCTGGTTAATTTTTAAATTTTTTTGTAGAGACAGGGTCTCGTTATGTTGCCTAGGCTGGTCTCAAATGCCTGGCCTCAGGTGATCCTCCTACCTCAGAGAGAGGATCTTGCCATCCTCCCAAATGTTGAGATTACAGGCATGAGCCACTACGCCAGCCAGATTCTGTTACTTCTATTTTGTAGATAAACTAAGGCAGAAAAATGATTTCAGTAACTTAAATAATTTGTCCAAGGTAACATAGCTAGTAAGTAACATAGCTGGGATTTAAACCCAAGCAGTTTAACTCAAAAGTCTGCACTTTTAACCACCACATTGTGCTATCTTTATTTTTCAAATTAAATATTTCAAAAACATAGTACATTTACATAATTTGAAATTCAAATGCTATGCAATGAAATTTTGTTTGCCAGTCTACCCTGTCTTCTTTCTCAGCTCCATTCCTCAACAGAATGAAATGAAATTTTCCTTTCAAAACTATACCCTGCTTTTGTAAGCATTTATATATATACTTTTTAAGAACACAGAAATCACCATGCCATACATAATGTTCTGCACCTTTCTTCTTTTCCCCTTAACTGTAAATATTGGAGGCCATTTATTACTAGTATATAAGAGATGTATCATTCTTGATAAGGTCTGTTTACAGCAGACATGCTAAATGGTGAAGCTATTTCAAATAATAACAAACAAGTTAGAGAAGGTTATGACCATTAGTATAGTATGATTTAACATAATTTTTGATATTTTTGGCCAATATAACAATTTTGAGCTAATATAACAACTGATATAAATATTAGAACAGAAAAATTATCTTGCAGGTGTGACAATATTGAATTATTATTATTATTATTTTTTGAGATGGAGTCTCGCTCTGTCGTCCAGGCTGGAGTGCAGTGGCGCGATCTCAGCTCACTGCAAGCTCTGCCTCCTGGGTTCATGCCATTCTCCTGTCTCAGCCTCCCGAGTAGCTGGGACTACAGGTGCCCGCCACCACGCCCGGCTAATTTTGTTTTTGTATTTTTAGTAGAGATGGGGTTTCACTGTGTTAGCCAGGATGGTCTTGATCTCCTGACCTCGTGATCCTCCCGCCTCGGCCTCCCAAAGTGCTGGAATTACAGGTGTGAGCCATCACGCCCAGCCGACAATATTGAATTATTGAATATCTGTTTGAAACCATTGGCTTTCACATTTTCCCAAGGTTTGCTTTAAAAATGAAGTTAATCTTTTTCAAGACAGATTGCACAAGTGATCTATCTGATAATGAAGCAAATACTGAGCTTATCTTAGGAGGACATTAATAACCTTTGTGTTTAGCCTCATCAAATTTAACAGTAATGCAAGCTATTATACAGCTAAGTAAAACCTACTTTTCTGAAATTGGCACCATTCTGGGATAGTGATTAAATTACCATAATTATTGTAAGGTCTAACAACCTTAGAATTAGTGGCTGAGGGTCCTGAGGGTGGCATTTATATGGAGAAACACTGGTAGTTGTCAGCATTTTGAAGAGTCAAAAACAAGATAATAAAAAGTGGTGACACATGGCGAAACCCTGTTTCTACTAAAAACAAAAATTAGTCAGGCCTGGTGGCGCACGCCTGTAGTTCCAGCTACTCAGGAGGCTGAGGCAGGAGAATTGCTTGAACCCGGGAGCCGAAGGTTGCAGTGAGCCGAGATTGCACCACTGCACTTTAGCCTGGGTGACAGACTGAGACTGAGACTCCATTTTCCAAAGAAAAAAAGAGGTGGTGACACAAAGGCAACGATCTTTATTCCCTTTTTGTATAAATTAATCTCTTTATTTTTATAGCATTTAGTAGACTCATTAAATTTCTTATTATTAAAGTATTTCAAGATTTACTCCAGGTTTTACAATTGTTATACTCTCCTAAGCTTTAAACATTTAAGGTTTTTGATGGAAGTCCCAATTTTTCAGTTGTTTACTTTATAAACGAGCTTGATGTATGTTTCAAAAGGTTTACAACCCCAAACATAAATATTTCATACATTGGATATGAAATAAGGTATCTAATTTGAGGAAGTGGTGTAAATTATGTGTGTTGATAGGTATAAAATTAGACAATTTGGCAATCCGTTCATTAATATGGTGTAAATTTGATAAATGAAATTTATTAAAAAGTCATTTTTTCTCCTACTTGCCCTAAAATTCTACTATATGAATAGTAAGTAAATACTTTGTAATTGGTATCATATAATGTGACACTAATTAAACTTATTAATGATTTTTAAATACTTTAACTTGTGTTTTGTTTGAATTTCAGGTAATAACTCTTTCCAATACTTTGTATTTTGTTTAGTATGCCACTTTTTGGAAGTGGTCACTGTCAATATCTTGTTATGGTTTGATGGCCTTGGAGATTTAAAACCGAGTAAAAGTGTAAGCAGTCTTTCTTATTTAGTTATGAGTTTTAAAACCACTTATGTTCCAACTAGGAAAAAATGCAAGTAGATTTACCATGAAATATGAATTATATTTAAAAAACATCTTAACAGTTGACTGACTTAGTGAAACAGACTGGGCAATTCCACTTATGGAATTGTAACATAAAATTCCATCATATAGTTTCCATTAAAGGTAGTAGGTTTTTATAATCTGTTAGACGTTCTTTGCAAACTTTATTAATGTGAATACATTTGCTTTTTTAAAAAAATTAAGTGAACTTCTAAAGAAAATAGAAATTAAAAATTTTTAATTTAAATTTTGCTTTATAGTTTAATTTTTTAGTATCATTTAGAATTATCAATTATTTTACTATATCCATATATACTGTCCCAGTAACCTGTCATTCTCTTTAAAGAAAAAAGTATTCATTGTCCTCTTTAGATATTTACAAATATCTGATTTCTAAAAAATAAACATCACAAATGTCTATTCAATTAAGCTTCAGTTGAGTTGTTTTTTTCTCAGAATGATTAAGAATATAGCACTTTCATTAGTGGTGACTTTGCTCTAAAGGTCTGAAATTTTCACTTAAATTACTTTCAGAACCAGTTTGAGGCATCAGGCTAGAGACAGTTTGTAGTTTGTCATTCACTTATTCTGTAGACTCGCACTCCCCATAACTTTTGGTCCTTTCCAAAAGCAAATTCAATTTTATAAGATGAAGATTTGACTTTGAGATCATTCAAAAGAGTGTCAGAGGGGCTGGGCACAGTGGCTCATGCCTGTAATCCCGGCACTTCGGGAGGCCAAGGTGGGTGGATCACTTGAGGCCAGGAGTTTAAGACCAGCTGGCCAACATGGCAAACCCCTGTCTCTACTAAAAATGCAAAAATTAGCCAGGCGTGGTGGTGCCCGCCTGTAGTCCCAGCTACTCAGGAGGCTGAGGCACAATTGCTTGAACCCAGGAGGCGGAGGCTGCAGTGAGCCGAGATCACACCACTGTACTCCAGCCTGGGCAACAGAGTGAGCCTCTGTCTCAAAAAAAAAAAAGAGAGAAAGAGAAAGTCACAACATTTTGAACAATGTCAAATGTCATTGCTCTTTAGCGTTCCAAAATGACAATTTGAAACATTAGGATATAAAAGTTTGGTATGATTGGTTAATTACTTTATAGTCATGCCCTATCTTTGATTTGTTAGACTTCCCATGCTTTAAATCTTGATATACGTAGGGCCTTTAAAATGGTCAACTAAAAAGTCACCATTCCTCTACGTTTTTTCGTGACTTGATTTGTAAAACACAGAATGGGATTACTGTTTTGCCATGCATCTGTATTTAGCAGATGATTACTAGATAATAATTATAATTTTTTATGTTATAAAAAAGAAAGTATATAAACTCAAAAAAGCTCACTTTTTTGTCTAAATTGTTTTTGCTCTTATACAATAGAATACATATTTAAGTTGTATTTTTATTTGCATTTAATAATTTATTAATTAAATGTATTTCTTTGTCAGATTTCAAATGATTGAGGTGACTTGTAAGAATTTGTTTTATGCCCTGTTGCTGATCAAATCATTGGTCTTCCCTATAGCTCCTTACAAAATTATGCAATCAGTGTTCCATTTGGAGTAAACATTTAGTGTCTTATCTTGATAGAGTAATTGGCTACATTTCTCTTTCTATGCATGAAGTTGTGTAAAAGGACCAATTCACATGTATAATTGGCAGAGAGCATGAATTCTGGACTTAACATTTTATCCCATTCTCACTACTTACTAATTTTATGACACTGGACAAGTTATTTAGCTTCTCAGCCTCAGTTTCCTCATCTGAAAAAATGAGGACAATATCTACTTCCAGGTTTATAAATAGTTATATATATTTTAAAAGCACTGTGCACAATAGCACATATCAGGCATTTAAGAATAAATGTTTGTTTCCTTTCCTGTTCTTATTTCCACATATTGGTAGTTTGAGACTAAGTTAATAACTTTTTAGGCAGTCACCCTAAACATGACTTTCAAGAGTTATTTTAGGATTAGTCTGCCTTTTACTTTAGTAAGTACTGTATTCTCTCCATTGCCAGGAGGAATATTTGAAAAAGGAAGGAATGATTTGAACATTGTAAATAGCTAACTGAATATAGTGTCTTGAGGACATATTTTTGGTAACTGTGTTTAACATCTCCATAAAAGTGTTTTTTATTTATCTTCAATCACAGGTACGGGAACCTTAAAGATAGATTTTGTTGGAGAGCTGAATGACAAAATGAAAGGTTTCTATAGAAGTAAGTATACTACCCCTTCTGGAGAGGTGCGCTATGCTGCTGTAACACAGTTTGAGGTATGGGTTATTCTTCTCTAAAATATTATTATTCTTAAATTAGGCATTCTGACAAAGGTGTGTTTATTATGTGGGGTGATTATTTGAGGCTAGGTGCCCTTGGCCATGATTGTATTCACAATTTTAGAATTTTTATTTTATATTTAGCCATTATCTCTATAGAAAGGAGGGAATTAAGGGTATGGGTTGGGGAATGATTATATACAGTTATACACACAGACATTCAAACACACGACACATTTTGATACCTGAATTGCCTATATACTGTGTACCTTTCTTAAAATCATTCTCTTAGTATTTGACACCTATGGCTTTTCCTACAGTATTATTAGCTGTTTTCTAGAATTCCTTTCCTTCTTTGACATCTTTTGTTTATCTTACTGTAGTATCTGTGCTGTCTTTGATTTTTTTTCTCTCTCTCTGTGTGTGTGTGTGTGTGTGTGTGTGTGTGTATACATATATATATATACACACATATATATATTTGCTGTCCTACGTAGGCCAGGATGATTTTTATTTGTCAGGTATTTGCAAATTATATAAATTGTTTTGAATCTGCTAGTCGTATTTTTAAGTGTTAAATCTAATTAAATTTATTTCTATAAATTTCAGTATGGATAAAGAAACAATTCATGATATCCATTCTTATGTTTCTGCCCATATCCCTATATTGTTTGCTTGTTTGGGATAACCTAAAATTTTTTATCCAGTTTACTACTAATTTGTTTTACCTGATGTATCTTCTCTTTCAATAATTTTATGTTACCTTCTGTTTAGAATAATATTTGCCACAGATATTTAGGTTTAATTCTGTGTTTGAATGATTCCAATGCCTTTCTCTACCCACTTTGAACACTTCATCCTGGAATGGTTGGCTGATGTATGTCTCTAAACAATTTTTTTTTTAGGAGAAGGTATGTGGGTAATGTAATTCCTAAACCTTTGCTTTTCTGAAAAATCTTTCATTTGCCTTTATACATGACCAGATTTACTGGGTATATAGATTTGTTGATGAAAAAAGGTAAAAAGAGCAACTTTTGACATCCAGAGGTTGTCTGGCACTCACAGCTAGCCCGTGTTATTCTCCCTATTAGACATAATATTACAGAATACCAACTTTAGACAAGGCTACTTGAGACCATAATAAAGTGAGACAAAACAAGGGATCCATAATTTTGCCTAGGTACAGTACATACAGGATCACTATGCTACCCGCAAAATATCAAACATCTCCATCTCTCAGTTAAAATGAGTGACTACTGCTTCTTTACCAATTACGGTTTTAGATTTGCTCTAGTCTGGCCTCCGTATAGATAAGATTTATTGAGATACATACCCATAGAATTGCCTCATAGGACTTCTTGCAGCACTCAATCTAGAGTGAATCCCTGTTTACTTAGACCCTCTTCCAAATCATGTAAACCAAATCCCAAATCGTATAGTGGGTTCTTTCTTACATTCTTATGGAGACACCAGTGGTTCCCTGTGGTGTGAGTTCTCTCTTGCCATGAGTAATAGGCCCAGCTCATTCAATTGTAAGAGTAGTACAATCAGCTTACAATTTTTCACTTTCAAAAGTCTGTGAATATTGTTTCCAAAGTCTTCTACATCTCACTTTTTCAAGAGGAGGGGTCACAGACTAAAATGTTTCTTCTTCCTTTGTAGGTAAGATGTTGTTTCGTTTTGCTTTATTTTCTTCCTGCTTGCTTGTTAAATTATATCTTGATATCGAAAATTAAACTGTTTTTTAAACCAGGTGTTCACTTTTCATTGATTTTTGCATAGTACTTGGTGAACCCTATTGATTTTTAGATTCAGGTAATTTTTCAGTGTGAAAGAGTTTTTCTGTTATATCTTCACTGTGATATCCATTCCATTCCCTTCTCAGTTAATACTCAGTTTAGCTCTAGTATCTGTCTCTCAAATTATGTTTAATTGCTTTTATCACTTTGTCCTTTAGATATTTTCAAACTTAAATCTTGTTATCTGTCATTAATTTCCTTTAGTATAAATTCATTTCTCTACTGCTGCTGCTTCTAATTTAAATGCTTCTGTGCTGCCATTTCTTTCCTTATACTCTCCCTTCTTTTCAGATGTCTTTTTTATTCATTGATAGAATTCATTATTTATTTAATGTTTTTGAGAATGTAGTCAGCCAAGTTTCTTCTACCTCTTTGGTTTGTTTGTTTGTTTGTTTGTTCGTTTGTTTGTTTGTTTTTTAGTCGGAGCCTTGCTCTGTCGCCCAGGCTGGAGTGCAGTGGTGCAATCTTGGCTCACTGCAACCTCCGCTTCCCAGGTTCGAGCCATTCTCCTGCCTCAGCCTCCCGAGTAGCTGGGATTACAGGCATGTGTCACCATGCCTGGCTTATTTTTGTATTTTTAGTAGAGACGGGGTTTCACCATGTTGACCAGGCTGGTCTCGAACTCCTGACCTCAGGTGATCCGCCCACCTCGGCCTCCCAAAGTGCTGGAATTACAAGCATGAGCCACTGCACCCAGTCTGTTGTTTCTTTTTATGATACAGTATCTTGTCATTGGTTCCATTTTATTTACTAAATAAATGGAAAATTCTGTTTACTGAAGTGTCTTTCCTTTATAACTGATACCCTGCAGAACCCCTAAGTTTTATTTTGCTTTCATAAGGTTGCTCTTTTTTAAATTTTTAATGAAAGAGTAAGGACTCAAGTAGGTCAAGTGGCGACAGTTTTATGTGTAGCATATGGAAGTGCCATTAAATGAATGACCTGTCTTGAATTGATAGAGCATCTGTCTTTATTCCCATTGCTGCCATCCCAGATAAAGAACAAAGCACATCAAAGATTGAGAATATTTTTATTTTTAATTCAAAAATAAAAGCCAGAGAGGCAACTTACCATGTTTTCCCAACTTTGAATTCTTATAGCATACTCTTTACTGTTCTGTGCTCTGTGCTGTGTTAACATTATTGATTTGAAGGCATTTGCATTAAATTTGAAATGTTAAAATGTAAACAAAAATTTAGTTGTAAATAATTATAATATATTGTTAAAATCCATAGCAGACACTGTTCCTGGATATTTGCTGGAATGGCAGTGGTAGCAAGTGTTGTCTTTTCTTTCTAGTTAATGCCTAGCTTGTTGCCTGGCACTGAAGAGAAAGTAAATATTTGAACAAGGGAATGAATGAATGACAGAGGGAAATGGCGACTGCTTTATGAAATAACTTGTTAGGTTAATTCTAAGGTATTTATATTTCATATTCTTTTCTTAAGGCTACTGATGCCCGAAGGGCTTTTCCTTGCTGGGATGAGCCTGCTATCAAAGCAACTTTTGATATCTCATTGGTTGTTCCTAAAGACAGAGTAGCTTTATCAAACATGGTATGTATGTGTTTATAAGTTTATCTAAAATTTTAATAGGCTTTAGCAGATTTAGTTTGCTGATTAGATGGGATAATATGAAACCACCTACCACAGTGCTGGTATATTATAGGAACATAAATAATAGTTTTCTTTATTTTCAATAAGCCTCTTTTTCTTTCTTTTTTTTTTTTTTCTGTAGAGTTGGGGTCTCATTATGTTGCCCAGGCTGGTCTCAAACTCCTGGGGTCAATCTGTCTTCCTGCCTCAGCCTCCCAAAGTGCTGGGATTAGAGGCATGAGCCACCATGCCCAGCCAAGACCTCTTTTTCTTGATAGCTTTATTTTTGGAGGATTTTCTCCTTGTCAAATTCCTTGTTAAATACATTTATAAGATTATCTACTTCTTTTAATTTAGAGAGGTAAATTGACAAGTTTAATAGATTTATAGTAACTAAAAGCAAAAGTCTTGGGCTGGATATGGTGGCTTACACCTGTCATCCCAGCACTTTGGGAAGTCAAGGTAGGCAGATCGCTTGAGGTCAGGAGTTGAAGACCAGCCTGGCCAACATGGTGAAATCCTGTCCTTACTAAAAATACAAAAATTATCTGAGTGTGGTTGCACACACCTGTAGTCCCAGCTACTTGGGAGGCTGAGGTGGGAGGATCACTTGAACCCAGGAAGCGGAGGTTGTAGTGAGCTGAGATCACACCACTGCACTCCAGCCTGGGTGACAGAGCCAGACCCTATCTCAGAAAAAAAAAGAAAAAAAAAAGAAAAAGGTCTTGACTTATTAAATGTCATAAGAAAGCCAGGTACAGTGACTCTTGCTTGTAATCTCAGTGCTTTGGGAGGCTAAGGCAGGAGGATTGCTTGAGGCCAGGAGTTTGACACCAGTCTGGGCAACATAGTGAGACCTCATTTCTACAAAAGATTTAAAACTTAAAAGTTAGCCAGGTATGGTGGCAGGTGTCTGTAATCCTAACTACTTGGGAGGCTAATGTGGGAGGATCTCTCGAACTTAGGAGTTTGAGGCTACAGGGAGCCATGATTGCGCCACTGTATTCCAGCCTGGGTGACAGAACAAGACCCCATCTCTTAAAAAAAAAAAATAGGCCAGGCATGGTGGCTCATACCTGTAATCCCAGCACTTCAGGAGGCTGAGGCAGGTGGATCATTTGAGGCCAGGAGTTCGAGACCAGCCTGGCCAACATGGTGAAACCCCATCTCTACTAAAAATACAAAAATTAGCCAGATATGGTGGCAGGCACCTGTAACCCCAGCTACTTGGGAGGCTGAGGCAGGAGAATTGCTTGAACCTGGGAGGCGGAGGCTGCAGTGAGTTGAGATCGCGCCACTCCGCTCCAGCCTGGGTGACAGAGCAAGACTCCATCTCGGGGGGAAAAAAAAAAGGTTGCAACAGAGCAAGACCCTGTCTCTATCTTTTTAAAAAGTTAAAAGAATTCAAAAGATGTAGCTGCATAATGAAGTATATTTAGGTTTCTGGCTGTTTGTATTCTTGGAATGTATTCTCTTCACCAGTGTTATTGATCTCATTCATGAACAGGGTAAGCATTCCCCACTTGAAGTGTGTTGTCTAGGACTGTCTTGTGTGGGGAACTTGGAAAAACCTGCTGCACCTGAAAATAACTCTTTTATGTATTTACTGGGGGAGAGCATCCCATAAATAGAATGTCATTCTCTTCACACATATTCTTAGAAGAGGAGGCTAATACATTAAGCAGAAATATTCATTCACACTTTAGTATGAGTGAATTTATCAGTGTGTTCTTGAATAAGTCTTCCTTGGAAGGAAGAATAGAGAGAGCTTGAGGAAATGGAGCCTGAATAGGAAAAAGAGGGAGAACACCAAAGGAAATTAGGGACTCCAAAGGTAAAGTTGAAATTTCTTCACAAATAAGCTTAGAGCCAACTTTGGTAGAGAATGCCCTCGATCTAGAAGTTTGTATCCTTTGAAATGGGAGATTCTACAATTATATTATATTTTTTTTATTTATTTTTGAGAAGGAGTCTCGCTGTGTCGCCCAGGCTGGAGTGCAGTGGTGTGATCCCAGCTCACTGCAAGCTCCGCCTCCCTGGTTCACGCCATTCTCCTGCCTCAGCCTCCCAAGTAGCTGGGATTACAGGCACCCCCCACCATGCCTGGCTAATGTTTTGTATTTTTAGTAGAGACGGGGTTTCACCATGTTAGCCAGGATGGTCTTGATCTCCTGACCTTGTGATTCGCCCGCCTAAGCCTCCCAAAGTGCTGGGATTACAGGCGTGAGCCACCGCGCCTGGCCCCTATTTTATTTTTATTAATAGTCATTTTCTCCTAAACTTATGTCAGTTGAAAAGTATGAAGCCCTTACTTAAATCATCCCAATGCCTGGCTTATAATAAGTATTCGAGAAAAGTCCATTCCTCTTTTCTCTCACAGGTCCTTGGTAGTTTTAACACTTCAGCCTCCAGCTTCTTAGTATGAGTGTTTTATCAGACCACTTTCCTTCTTAAAGACAGCATAAAAGCACTGGATGAATTGGGGTAGAGAAATAAGCCATGCTAGAATAGAAAGGGGGAAAGAGATGCAATAAAGCCTACAGTTTTTGGCTGGTATTTGCTCTATGGTATTAATGTAAACCTATTTAAATTTTTCTTTTTTTTCTTTCTTAAAGAATGTAATTGACCGGAAACCATACCCTGATGATGAAAATTTAGTGGAAGTGAAGTTTGCCCGCACACCTGTTACATCTACATATCTGGTGGCATTTGTTGTGGGTGAATATGACTTTGTAGAAACAAGGTCAAAAGATGGTGTGTGTGTCTGTGTTTACACTCCTGTTGGCAAAGCAGAACAAGGAAAATTTGCAATAGAGGTAAATGTACTTGAAGAGGATTGTTCCAGCAGTCCATAACTCCAGGTTGGGGAATTTACATTTCTGGTCAATTATTAGTACAGTTATTTATAATTTAATCTGAAAGTTGTGCTACTTGGTTTATTTTTAATAGAATTTAGGAAATGCCAACCTTGGTGTTTTGTTATTTTACAAAATAATAA